>NC_000007.14:63718900-64021930 GCF_000001405.40 Homo sapiens
ATGACTGTCTCACATCACCCCCAGATGGGACCATCTAGTTGCAGAAAAACAAGCTCAGGACTCCCACTGATTCTACATTATGGTGAGTTACATAATTATTTCATTACATACTACAATATAATAATAATAGAAATAACGTACACAATAAATGTAATTTACTTGAAATATTCCAAAACTGACCTGCTGCCCCCAGTCTGTGGAAAAATTGTCTTCCACAAAACCAGTCCCTGGTGCCAAAAAAATTGGGGACCGCTGCACTTGAGCACTTACAGAGAGAAAAACAAAAAGTTCAAGTCTTTACCTCTCAGCATAAGTTGCGGTCTAAGATCCAGAGAGCTTCCATGATAGCCCAAACACAATTCCTTATTTTTTGTATCCACAGGGCTGATATTGAAAATCAAACACAAACTTAAATGTGCGGGTTGCTGAATTGCAATGACAGTTGAATTCACCTACCCTCCAGCCACATGGAATGTCAGTTTCCTTCCGGGACTTTACTGGTCCTTGAGGAAACCCTCTCCCTACCCCCATCATCACTCTTTCACTCTCATCTTTGCTCATCTTTAGCCTCAGCTGAGATGTCTCACCTCACTCTCTATGATGCAACGAGAAGCCCCTTGGGAGCGTTTCAGTCCCTCTCTATACTCCTGTCATTGTGCTCATCACAGTCTGGTAAGTGTTGACATACGATTCCTCCTATATTAGTCCATTTTCCATTGCTATAAGGAAACACCTGAGGCTAGGTAGTTTATAAAGAAAAAAGGTTTATTTGGCTCACAGTTCTGCAGACTGTACAAGTAGCATGGTTCCAGGCTGGGCCATGGCCCACACCTGTAACCCCAGCACTTTGAGATGCTGAGGCAAAAGGATTGCTTGAGCCCAGAAGTTTGAAACAAGCCTGGGGAACATGGTGAGACCTTGTTTCTACTAAAAATAAAAAAAATAGCCAGGTATGATGGTACACTAATGCATGCCTGTTGTCCCAGCCACCTTGGAGGCCAAGGTAAAAAGATCTGGGAAAGTGCTGGGATTATTGGCATGAGCGACCACATCTGGCCAGTTTATTTTCTATTACTGGCTCAATGTAAAGGCTGCATCTCAGGAACAGCCAATGAAAGAGATGCACAGGGTAAGGTAAGTGGGAAAAGGGGCACTTCCATGCCCTCTGTTGGGCACACTACCCTTCCAGCACCTCCTTGTGTTCAGCAAAACAGAAGCTCTCCAAACCGTATTGTTTAGGGTTTTCATGGAGGCATGATAAAATCATTGGCCATTGGTCATTAAATCTCCAGACCCTTTTGCCTCCTGGAGTTCAGCGAGTGAGGCTGAAAGTTCCAAGCCTCAAAAAATGTGGTTGGGGCCAGATGCAGTGTCTCAGCCTGTAATCCCATAACTTTGGGAGGCCAAGGCGGTGGATCACTTGAGTTCAGGGGTTCAAGACCAACCTGAACAACGTAGTGAAACTCCGTCTCTACTAAAAAAACAAAAATTAGCTGGGCATGGTAGCGGGCACCTGTATGTAGTCCCAGCTACTCGGGAGGCTGAGGCAGGAGAATCATTTGAACCCAGGAGGTGGAAGTTTCAGTGAACCGAGATCACATCACTGTACTCCAGCCTGGGTGACAGCGAGACTCTGTCTCAAAAAAAAAAAAAAAAAAAAAGTTGAAAAAAATTAGCCAGGCGTGTCAGCTCCTAGGGAGGCCAAGGCAGGAGGATTGTTTAAGCCTGAGAGGTTGAGGTTGCTGTGAGCTGTGACTGCACCACTGTACTTTATCCTGGGCAATAGAGAAAGACCCTGTTTCAAAAAGAAAGAAAGAAATGAGCATGATGGAAATGGGGACAGATGGCAATGTTAAGTAGAGTGGTCAGGGTTGGCCTCATAAGTGAAAATTGAGCAAAAGTTTGAAGCAGGTGATGGAGCTGGCCAAGGTGCTGAGGGAAGAGCACTGTAGGCTGAATCAACAGGATAAAGGCATTGGGAGGAAACTCCCTGGTGTGTCTGAGGCTCTGGAAGGAGGCCAGTGGAGCAAACAGATAGAGGGAGAGAAGTAGGGGAGGAGCCAGGGAGTTGCTGGGCTGGGATCAGTACAGATCGTGTAAGCCCTGGGAGGCCATTGCTGGGGCTTTGGCTTTTACTCTGACTAAAATGGGAACTGTGGGGTGGTTCTGAGCAGAGAGGCAACATGATCTGTCTCCTGATTTAAAAGCACCCCCTGGCTGCTGAGTTGAGAAAGACTGTGGGAAGATTTGGGTAGAAGCACAGGGGCCAAGCTGTGGCAACATCCAGGTGGGAGATGATAGTGGTCCTGACCAGGGTCATGGTGGTGGTGAGAGATGGTCAGAGCCCGGATACATGTTGAAGTCAGTCAATAGGATTTCCTGACAGACTGGATGTGAACTGCGAGAGAAGGTGGGAGTCAAGCTTGAGTTTGATTCTAATTGAATTATTAATTAAAAAAAACACTACTACCTTTCTCAGTCCTACTAAGTAAAGGATGCAAGATTAAAGAAGTCTCAAGTCAGGCCAGATGCAGTGTCTCACACCTATAGTTCCAACAGCTTGAGAGGCAGAGATGGGAGTACGTTTTAAGGCCGTGAGTTTGAGAGCAGCCTGGGCAACATAGCAAGACCTCCTCTCTACAAAAATAAAAGAAATTTAATAAAATAAAATAAATATAGCTGGGCATGGTGGTGTGCACCTATAGCCTCAGTTACTCAGGAGGCCGAGGTAGGCAGATCTCTTGAAGCTAGGAGTTTGAGGCCAGCTTGGGCAATATAGCAAGACTTCTCTCTTTACAAAAATGAAAAAAATAGTGTGACATGGTGTTACTTGCCTGTATTCCCAGGTACTGGGGCAGCTGAGGCAGGAGCATCTCTGGAGCCCAGTTGGTGAAGGCTGTCGTGAGCTATGATTATACCACTGCACTCCAGCCTGGGTGACAGACTGGGACCCTGTCTCAAAATACAAATACAAATGAAATGAAATCTGAAGTCAGACCAGTCCCTTCTAGGCTATGCAGTCCTTACAACCGCATAGCCATGTGATCGGGTTTTTGTGGCTGTGGATGAGGAGACCTCTTTCCAGTTGTTGTTGGCTATATAATCAGTTTATTTTTAAATATAGTAATCAAATACGTTTCCTCATACTTGATCATCTCAGATATGTGTGGGTTTTGAAATTCTCCTTGAAAGAAATTGTAACACCTTATTGGCTCCATCATTCCATAATTTTTTTATCTGATCAGTTTTTTAAAAGATCAGAATTGATATTAGACCACCAAGTCAGTTTTGATTAATGAGAAAATGAAATTGCATTGTTTGCACTTTATCCAAGATTGGTGTCATATTGGCTAAATCAAATCAAAACACAAAATTAGAACTTTTTTATCATGAAACTATGTCATTCTTGAAGAAGATGCCATTTTTTTTTTTTTTTTTTTTTGACAGAGTCTTGCTTTTGTCACCCAGGCTGGAGTGCAATGGCATGATTTTGGCTCACCGCAACCTCCCCCTGCTGGGCTCAACCACTTCTCCTGCCTCAGGCTCCCAAGTAGCTGGGATTACAGCCACGTGTTACCACACCCAGCTAATTTTTGTATTTTTAGTAGAGACACGGTTTCACCATGTTGGCCAGGCTGGTCTCGAACTCTTGACCTCAGGTGAACTGCCTGCCTAGGCCTCCCAAAGTGTAGGGATTACAGGCATGAGCCACCATGCCCGGCCTCCATTTCTTTTTTGTAGTCTTTAGTAAACAGCTGCTATCATTGCAGACTTGCTATTCAGACACTTAGGAATTTTTCACTAGGAGGCATGTAAAGAAAGACCATGAGCATTTGTAATGAATTTAGCATTCATTCTTTGACTGCATGGCTATCCCCAGAGCTGTAACTTTACTAATGAATTTTTTAGAAGCTGATAAGCTAGCAACTGAGCCTAACCAGCCACTCACCTTCATTATTCAGTGCCCTTTTATTCTTGTCTATTTCTCCACCAACTTGGCTACACTCACAAAGTGGTAAAAACTTGCATTTCTTTTCTTTCCTTTTTAGAGACAGAGTTTTGCTCTGTTACCCAGGCTGCAGTACAGTGACATGATCATGGGTCACTGTAGCTTCAAACTCCTGGGCTCAAGCAATCCTCCCATGTCAGTCTCCCAGGTAGCTGGGACTACAGACATGTGCCACCATGCCCAGCTAATTTTTTTATTTTTTTATCATAGAGACGGGATCTTGCTAGGTTGCTCAGACTGGGCTCAAACTTCTGACCTCAAGTGATCCTCCTGCCTCAGCCTCCCAAAGAGCTGGGATTACAGGCAGGCATGACTACCTGTGCCCAGCCCCTTATTATTATTATTTAAAATAATAGCTTTATTAAAATATAATTCACATACCATTCACTTTATTTATTGAAATCTGCAATTCAGTAGGTTTTAGAGTATTCCCAGAGCTGTACATCGATCACCACAGTCACTTTTAGAAACTTTCATTACTCTATAGAGAAATCCGCACCCCTTAGCCACTACCTCCTACTCCCCCCACCTGCCTTGGCCACCAGCCTTAGGCAACCATTGATCCATTTTTTTGTCACTATAGATTTGCCTAACCTGGACAAATAGAATTGTATAATATGTGGTCTTTTGTGGCTTTTTTTCCCTCTCAGCACAATGTTTTCAAAGTTCCTTTATGTCATAGTGTGTATCAATATTTCATTGCTTCTATGGCTGAATAATATTCTGTGGTAGAGACACACTGCATTTTGTTTATCTGTTCATCAGTTGGTGGACATTTGGGTTTTTTCCATGTATTGGCCATTATGAATAATGGTGCTATGAAGATTGCTGTACAAGTTTTTGTGTGGACATATATTTTTATTTCTCTGGGATATATGCCTAGGAGTGAAATTGTTGCATTATACGACGACTGTACATTTAGCATTTTGAGACACTGCCAGACTGTTTTCTAAAGTGGCTACACCAACTGGGTGCAATGGCTCACAGCTGTAATCCTAGCTACTCAGGAGGCTCAGTTGTGAGGATGGCTTGAGCCCATGAGTTCAAGACAAGCCTGGGCAAGATAGTGAGACCCTGTCTTGATTTTTTTAAAAATCCAGTTAAAATGACAAGAAAAGAAATACCCAAGCAAAGTGGTTACATGATTTTATGTTCCCACCAGTAATGTATGTGGGGTTCCAATTCCTCCACATCTTCACTGACATTTTTTTTTTCTAGACAGGGGCTTGCTCTGTCTCTCAGGCTGCAGCACAGTAATGCCATCACAGTTCACTATAGCCTTGACCTCCCAGGCACAAGTGATTCCCTCATGTCAGCCTCCTGAGTAGCTGGGAATTATAGGTGCATGCCACCATGCCTGGCTAATTTTTATATTTTTTTGTAGTAATGGGGTTTGACTATGTTGATTAGGCTGGTCTCGTACTCCTGGCCTCAAGTGATCTGCCCACCTCAGCCTCCCAAAGTTCTGGAATTACAGGCTGAGCCACTGTGCCCGGCCTTCACCAACATTTGTTATTATCTTTTTTTTTCTTTATACCTTAAAGCAGTGTAAGAACAAGTATCTTCAATTATTCTAAACAAAAATTATAATCCCAGGGCATTGGGAGGGTGAGATAGGAAGATCTCTTGATGCCGGGGTTTTGTTTTTGTTTTTGTTTTTTTTGTTTGTTTGTTTGTATTTTTCTTTTTTTGAGACAGAGTCTCACTGTCGCCCAGGGTGGAGTGCGGTGGTGCGACCTCGGCTCACTGCAGCCTCCACCTCCCAGGTTCAAGTGATTCTTCTGCCTCAGCCTCCTAAGTAGCTGAGATTACAGGCACATGCCACTACTGCCCAGCTAATTTTTGTACTTTTAGTACAGATGGAGTTTCACCATGTTGGTCAGGCTGGTTTCTAACTCCTGACCTCAGGTGATCTGCCTGCCTTGGCCTCCCAAAGTGCTGGGATTACAGGCATGAGCCCTCATGCCCAGCCTGATTCCAGGAGTTTTAGACCAGCCTTGGCAACCTAGCAAGACCTCATCTCTGCAGAATATTTAAAAATTAGCCAGATGTGGTGGTGTGGTGGTGCCTGCCTTATAGTCTCTCTCTTTTTTTTTTTTTTTTTTTTTTTACTTTTTGAGAAACTGTCTGTTTCTGTCACACAGGCTGGAGTGCAGTGGTGTGATCATGGCTCACTGCAGTCTGAAACTGCTGGGATCCAGTGATCAGTCCTCCCACCTCATCCTACCAAGTAGTGGGGACCACAGGTGCATGCCACCTGGGTCTCGCTATGTTGCCCAGACTGATCTTGAGCTCTTGGCCTCAAGCGATCCTCTCACCTTGGCCTCCCAAAGTGCAAGGATTACACGTATGAGCCACCATGCCTGACCCCTATCCTGCCTATTGAGAACCAAAAGAAGGATCCAAATTCTCCTTAGCTCAACTCGAGCCATTTCCCGATTGCTTCATCAGCAAGGAGCTGGTTATTGGGCTGTCCAGGCCTCCCAAACTGCACAGAAATGAGGTGAGGGAGTTTTTCTGCTGCTCCACTCTGTGAGGAGTTGGAGGATGATATTTACTTGTTTGCAGAGAGAGATGCATTGTAGGCACCTTAGGATGGAGGGGACCCTGATTCCAATGTCCTTTTTTTTCTTTAGAAACAGGACCTTGCTGTGTCACTCAGGCTGGAGTTCAGTGGTCCTATCACGGCTCATTGTAGCCTCAAACTCCCAGGCTCAAGCGATCCTACCACTTCAACCTTCCCAGTAGCTGGGACTACAGGTAAGCACCATGGCACACAGTGATTATTATTATTCTTTTTTTAGTAGAGATGGGGCCTCTCACTATGTTGCCAGGGCTGGCCTTGAACTTCTGCACGCAAGGGAATTTCCTGGCTTGGCCTCCCAAAGTATTGGTATTACAGGGATAAGCCATTGTGCCCACCATCTCTGGTTCTTAACTTTCTGCCTCCCTCTTCCACATTTAAAGAACACTTGTAATTACATGGGCTCTTCTAGATACTCCAGGATAATATTATTTTAAGGTCAGCTGATTAGCAACATTAATTTCATCTGCACTCTTAATTCCCCCTTCCTATGTATTTGTGCAGTGTAACATAGGACATGAGCAATTGGTGGGGTCGGGGGGGTCATTACTTTGGCCACCACAGTAACTTTTTTGTGCCAGGTACTCAGCTAAGCCCTGGTGAATTAAGCATGAATAATACATACTCGCTAATCTCCAACCATTCATGGGAGGAGCATTTCACCTCCCATGCTCCTGAGAATCTGGAGAGTCAAGGAAGGCTTCCAGGAGGAGGTGATGCCAAAGCGGACAAGTGACAGGAGCCAAAGCTAGCCAGGAAGAGAGTAGAGGTTTAAGGGGAAGTGTACTCTTTAAGCAGAGGGCATCACCTACTTCAGAGACTCCCAGAGGGGAAAGAGTGTGGATTCAGGATTCAGCTCCTTATGAGAATCTAATTCCTGATTCAGGGGGCAGATGAGACTCAGTTGGACTCCACAGCAGGTAAAATGGAGAGGGGCAAGCAGTGAGGCTGCTTTGCAAGGCAGGGCAGAGCAGGGGCTTTTAAGGAGTTTGGACTTAATCCCCGAGACAAGGAGAAGTGATGTAAATGGGGGAGTAAAGTGATGAGATTAATGGATTAGAGACATGGCTCAGGCTGCTGTGTGGAGAAGGCACCACGGGGAGCAGATGGCTCAGTGGGTGTGCAGGAGACCTAAAGCAGGGGACACACTGAGTTTAGGGAGAGGTTTTTAAAATAGAAGAAGTTTGAGTAATTTAGATGATGGTGGGAAGGAGCTAAAAGAGGGGGATAGGTTAAAGATACAGGGAAGTGGGAGGAAGAACTGACAAGTGAGGTTCCAGAGAGGGCTGGAGAAGAGGAGATTCCCATAGGGGGATTAGCACTTTCTTTTCTTTTCATTTTCTTTCTAAGACAGGGTCTCTGTCGTCCAGGCTGGAGTGCAGTGGCAGGATCTTGGCTCACTGTAGCCTAGACTTCCCAGGCTCAAGGGACCCTCCCACCCTAGACTCCCAAGTAGCTGGAACTACAGGTGTGTACCACTACCACACCTGGCTAATTTTTCTCTTTTCTTGGTAGACACAGGGTCTCATTATGTTTGTCAGACTGGTCTCCAACTCCTGGCCTCAAGTGATCCTCCTGCCTAGGCTTCCCAAATTGCTGGGATTACAGGCTTGAGTCACCATGCCTGGCTTCTGCTAGTTCTGTATTCTGTAGAGTTGTCTTTAATTTGTGCTAGTGTGTCCCTCATTATGCTGATCCTCTGTTAAAATTAATATTTTTTGTTTTGAGATGGAGTGTAGCTCTTATTGCCCAGGCTGAAGTGCAATGGCACGATCTTGGCTCACCGCAACATCCGCCTGCCAGGTTCAAGTGATTTTCCTGCCTCAGCCTCCCAAGTAGCTGGGATTTACAGGTATGTGCCATCACACCTGGCTAATTTTATATTTTTAGTAGAAACGGGTTTTCTCCATGTTGGTCAGGCTGGTCTCAAACTCCTGACCTCAGGTGATCCACCTGCCTCTACCTCCCAAACTGCTGGGATTACAGACGTGAGCCACTGCACCTGGCCAAAATTAATACTTCTTATATTAAATTTACATATATTGTTTTTCTTCTTTTTTTTTTTTTTTTTTAATACCGGGTCTCATGCTATCACCCAGGCTGGAGTGCAGTGGCACAATCTCTGCTCACTGCAACCTCCACCTGCCAGGCTTAAGCAGTTCTCCTGCCTCAGCCTCCTGAGTAGGTGGGATTACAGATACATGCCACCACACCTGGCTAGTTTTTGTGTTTTTTGTAGAGATGGGGTTTCACCATGTTTCCCAGGCTGGTCTCAAACTCCTGTGCTCAAAGCGATCCACCCGCCTTGGCCTCCCAAAATGCTGGGATTATAGGTGTGAGCCACTTTGCTCATTCTAGTTTAAACTTTTGAGTGGTTTGTGTCTCCTGATTGGACTCCTACAAATACAGAATTGATGATAGGAAGGATTCCAGGAGATAGACGCACACAGATGGGATTTGGGCATAGGTTTGGTTATCCAAGGAGCAGTGCTCAGCTGCTTTCCAATGGGACATGGGATGCTGGTCATTTCCAGGAAGTGACCTCACAATGACTCAAGCTACCACTTACTGTTGATTGTGATGAAATGCCAGCTGAGCCATAGGCCCTGCGAGCTTAGGAGTGCTACACTTGAACACTGTGGCAGTAAATATGACTCTGAAGAAGGGCATGGGATGGATCCTTTCAGATGCACTTTAGCAGGGGTCTCCAACCACAGGGCCACAGAGCCGGAGGTGAACAGTAGGCGAGTGAGGGAAAACTTCATCTGTATTTCTAGCCCTCCCATCACTTGCATGACCACCTAAGCATGATGTCCTGTCACATCAGCAGCAGCATTAGATTCTCCTAGGAGCACAAACCCTGTTATGTGCATGTGAGGGATCTAGGTTTCGTGCTCCTTATGAGAATCTAATGCCTGATGATCTAATGCCTGGGGTGACTGTCTCCCATCACCCCAGATGGACAGTCTAGTTGCAGGAAAACAAGCTCAGCGATCCCACTGATTCTACATTTTAGTGAGTTGTAGAATTATTTCATTATATATTACAATGTAATAATAATAGAAATAAAGTGCGCAATATACGTAATGCACTTGAATCATCCTGAAATCATTTCCTTCACCCCAGGTCTTTGGAAAAATTGTCTTCCACACATTCACTCTGTTATTTTTTGGTAGAGACAGGGCCTTAATATGTTTTCCAGGCTGATATCAAACTGCTGGCCTCGAGTAATATACCTCTCTCAGCCTCCCAAAGTGTTGAGATTACAGGCAGAAGCCACCACGCTCAACCAAGACTGAGTTTTTTAAACCAAATAAAAATTAAATGAGATTACCTGAGCCCAGGTGGTCAAGGCTGCAGTGAGCCCTGATTGCAGCACTGCACTCCAACCTAGGTGACAGAATGAGATTCTGTCTCAAAAAATAAAATAAAATAAAATACAAATTAATCCTTTATGACATTCCCAGTAAGTTTCCCTCCTAAGTGTTCCCCAAAAGGCTATGAATTTAGTTAGTTTCACATACCATTTAAAACATTTAAGAACTTATGTCTGTCTGTGTCACCGTTCTATTTCAAAAGAATGTCTTTTTGTCACTTCCAGCTGGATCTACCATGAAAGACTTCAGAGTCCAGGAAGAGAGACTGACTGGGCAACATGTTATTCAGGTACAAAAAGACTTGGAATATAACTCAAAAATGATCAAATAATAGTTCATGCATCAAGTGCAATGGGAAGCTCTTCTGGAGGGTGAGAGAAGGTTCCAGTTAAGGTGACTTTTGAAGCCAAGTCCTGAAAGATGAGGAAGAGTTGTATGAGAATGGGGTGGGAAGGGGGAGGTGGAGGGGAATGGGCTGGGGTGGGATGGAGTGAGCTGCCCAGACAGGGAAACCAGCACTGTAATGACCTGAACAATGAAGATGGCACATTTTTTTTTTCAGGAAGTGGTGAATTAAGTGTGGCAGGAATACTTTGTAGCGACAGTAATTTGCTTGTATGGAATTTTGCCTGAGAGACCTCACTACAGTTTCTAATCTTTTGATGTTATCATCCATCCCTGTCCTTGTCAAATAGTTTGGAATAGGTATGATGATCACAATAACACCAAGCATAATAGCTCATTAATTCTCACAAAATGACAGGTAGGTGCCACAGTTATCCTCATTTTATGAATGAAGTGATGAAGACTTAGGGATAACGAATGATTTGCCCAAGCTCACCTGGATATTAAGACTGAGTCAAATGTTGGGTCTGGTCTGACTTTAATGTTTGCTTTGTTCATGAGCACCACATATTGCCTCTCCTATGCAGTTAAGCAGGTAGACAGGTCAAAGAAAAGCCTGTGTTTGTCTCTGCTCATGCACTTTTGACTGAACATGTGTGTGGAGTTTGTATACCAAGTTTTCCAGTGTCCTGGATATTAACTGGGTATCCCACAATTTTATTCTGACACTACGTGGAGTTAGCACAGACTCCACAGATTAGGGGCTTAGTCCCACGAGACTATCCTCACTTCAGATGCCAGTGGCAAGTCCTAGGTTGTCACCTGTACTTTTGTCCAACCTGTTACAAATCAGGGTTTCCAATGACCCTCTTCTTGGGTTTAATGATTTGCTAGAATGGTTTACAGAACTCAGAAAAACAGTTTATTTTCTTTTTTCTGAGAAACAGGTTCTCATTTTGTTGCACAGGCTGGTGCGCAATGGTGCAGTCATAGCTCATTGCAGCATCAACTGCCTGGTCTCCAGTGGTCCTCCCACCTCAGCCTCCGTAGTAGCTGAGACTACATGCTTGCACCACCACATCTGGCTAATTTCTTTTATTTTTTTTTGTAGAGATGGGGTCTTGTTGTGTTGCCCAGGCTGGCCACAAATTCCTGGGCTCAAGTGATCCTCCCACCTCAGCCTCTTAAAGTGCTAGGATTACAGATGTGAGCCACTGTATCTGGCCAGTTCATTTCCTATTACTGGTTCATTGTAAAGGATACATCTCAGAAACAGCCAATGAAAGAGACGTACTTTCCGGATGCGGTGGCTCATGTCTGTAATTCCAGCACTTTGGGAGGCTGAGGTGGGAGGATTACTTAAACTCAGGAGTTTGAGATCAGCCTGGGCAACATGGTGAAAACCCATCTCTACAAAAAATTAGAAAAATAAAAATAAATAACCGGGTGCAGTGTTGTGCATCTATTATTCCAGCTACTAGGGAAGGTGAGCCGAGAGGATGCCTTGAGCTGGGGACTGGGGAGGCTTAGGTTGCTGTGAGCTGAGATTGTGCCACTGCACTCCAGCCTGGACAAAAGAGCCAGACCCTGTCTCAAAAGAAAAGAAAGATGCCCAGGGCAAGGTAAGTTAGGAGGGGCACAGAGCTCCCATGTCCTCTGTTGAACATGCCACCTTGCCAACATCTCCTGTGTTCAGCAACCCCAGAAGCTCTGCAAACCCCATTCAGGGTGTTTATGGAGGCTTTATTATGCAAGCATGATTGGTAAAATCTTTGGCCGTTGGTGATTAAGTCAATCTTCAGCCCCTCTTTCTCCTGGAGTTGAGTGCATGAGGCTGAAAGTTCCAAGCCTCTAATCATGTGATTGCCCCCAAAGTTCTTAGAGGGTCTTGTGTTAGAAACCTGGGACCAAGACTAAATATTGAAAACAAAAGATGCTCCTATCATGTCTATCACTGAGGTCTTTGTAAGAGCTTTGGAAGCTCTGTGCCAGGAACCAGGGACAGAGATTAAATATGTATTTATTTTCTTTTTTTGAGACAGAATCTCCCCGTGTCATCCAGACTGGAATGCAGTAATGTGATCATAGCTCACTATAGCTCTGACCTCCTGAGATCAAGCCATTCTCCCTCCTCAGCCTCCCAAGTAGCTGGGACTACACATGCATGTCACCCACACCCAGCTCGTTTTCGTAGAGATGAGATTTAGTTATGTCACCCAGGCCGATCTCAAACTCCTGGGCTAAACTGATCATCTCACCTCAGCCTCTCAAGTAGCTGGGACTACAGGTGCACACCACCATGTCCGGCTAATGTTTATTTTAATTTTTTTCTAGAGGTGGGATCTCACTATGTTGTTCAGGCTACTTTCAAATTTTGGGCTTCAAGTGTTTCTCCTGCCTTGATCTCCCAGTGTTGGGATTATGGGTGGGAGCCACCATGCCCAGCAATCACAAGGATCTTTATGAAAGAAAGAGGGTAGGACAGTTAGAATTGGAGCAGGAGATGTGGTGATGGAAGCAGAGATCAGAGAGGGAGATTTGAAGATGCTTCACTTCTAGCTTTGAAGACGGAGTCAAGGGCCATGATCCAAGGAATGTCGGTGGCTTCTAGAAGCGGGAAAAGCTAAAGGAACACTATAGAGTCTCCAGAAGGAATGCAGCCCTGCTGACACCTTGACTTTAGCCTTAATAGACCTGTTTTGGGCTTCTGGGCCCCAGAACTGTAAAATGGTAGATTTGTGGTGTTTTAAGCCACTAAATGTAAGAAACTGCAAACTGTTGCAGCAGGAAGAAGAACATGAAGCCAGTCATGGTGGCTAATGCCAGCAATCCCAGCACTTCAGGAATTTAGACAGGAGGATCACATGAGGCCAGGAATTCAAGACCAACCTGGGCAACATGGTGAGACCTTGTCTCTATGAAAAATAAAACAATTGGCTGGGCACAGTGGCTCATGCCTGAAATTTCAGCACTTTGGGAGGCCGAGGTGGGTGAGTCACCTGAGGTCAGGAGTTCGAGACCAGCCTGGCCAACATTGCAAAACCTTGTCTCTACTAGAAATACAAAAATTAGCCAGGCATGGTGGCAAGCACCTGTAATCCCCACTACTTGGGAGGCTGAGGCAGGAGAATCACTTGAATCCAGGAGGTGGAAGTTGCAGTAAGCTGGGATTGCACCATTGCACTCCAGCCTGGGCAAGAAGAGTAAAACTCCATCTCAAAATTTAAAAAAAAATAAAATAGGTCTGGCAGCCAAGATGGCCGAATACGAACAGCTCCGGTCTACATCTCCCAGCATGAGCGACGCAGAAGACAGGTGATTTCTGCATTTCCATCTGAGGTACCAGGTTCATCTCACTAGGGAATGCCAGACAGTGGGCGCAGGACAGTGGGTGCAGTGCACCGTGCGCGAGCCAAAGCAGGGCAAGGCATTGCCTCACTCAGGAAGCACAAGGGGTCAGAGAGTTCCCTTTCCTAGTCAAAGAAAGGGGTGACGGACGGCACCTGGAAAATCAGGTCACTCCCACCCTAATACTGCGCTTTTCTGATGGGCTTAAAAAACGGCGCACCAGGAGATTATATCCCGCACATGGCTTGGAGGGTCCTACGCCCACAGAGTCTCGCTGACTGCTAGCACAGCAGTCTGAGATCAAACTGCAAGGCGGCAGCGAGGCTGGGGGAGGGGCGCCCGCCATTGCCCAGGCTCGCTTAGGTAAACAAAGCAGCAGGGAAGCTGGAAGTGGGTGGAGCCCACCACAGCTCAAGGAGGCCTGCCTGCCTCTGTAGGCTCCACCTCTGGGGGTAGGGCACAGACAAACAAAAAGACAGCAGTAACCTCTGCAGACTTAAATGTCCCTGTCTGACAGCTTTGAAGAGAGCAGTGGTTCTCCCAGCATGCAGCTGGAGATCTGAGAACGGGCAGACTGCCTCCTCAAGTGGGTCCCTGACCCCTGACCCCTGAGCAGCCTAACTGGGAGGAACCCCCCAGTAGGGGCAGACTGACACCTCACACAGCCGGGTACTTCTCTGAGACGAAACTTCCAGAGGAACGATCAGACAGCAGCATTCGCGGTTCACAAAAATCCGCTGTTCTGCAGCCACCGCTGTTGATACCCAGGCAAACAGGGTCTGGAGTGGACCTCTAGCAACCTCCAACAGACCTGCAACTGAGGGTCCTGTCTGTTAGAAGGAAAACTGACAAACAGAAAGGACATCCACACCAAAAACCCATCTGTACATCACCATCATCAAAGATCAAAAGTAGATAAAACCACAAAGATGGGGAAAAAACAGAGCAGAAAAACTGGAAACTCTAAAAAGCAGAGCATGTCGCCTCCTCCAAAGGAACGCAGGTCCTCACCAGCAATGGAACAAAGCTGGTTGGAGAATGACTTTGACGAGTTGAGAGAAGAAGGCTTCAGATGATCAAACTACTCTGAGCTACAGGAGGAAATTCAAACCAAAGGCAAAGAAGTTAAAAACTTTGAAAAAAGTTTAGAAGAATGTATAACTAGAATAACCAATACAGAGAAGTGCTTAAAGGAGCTGATGGAGCTGAAAGCCAAGGCTCGAGAACTACGTGAAGAATGCAGAAGCCTTAGGAGCCGACGCGATCAACTGGAAGAAAGGGTATCAGTGATGGAAGATGAAATGAATGAAATGAAGCGAGAAGGGAAGTTTAGAGAAAAAAGAATAAAAAGAAATGAACAAAGCCTCCAAGAAATATGGGACTATGTGAAAAGACCAAATCTACGTCTGATTGGTGTACCTGAAAGTGACAGGGAGAATGGAACCAAGTTGGAAAACACTCTGCAGGATATTATCCAGGAGAACTTCCCCAATCTAGCAAGGCAGGCCAACATTCAGATTCACGAAATACAGAGAACGCCACAAACATACTCCTCGAGAAGAGCAACTCCAAGACATAATTGTCAGATTCACCAAAGTTGAAATGAAGGAAAAAATGTTAATGGCAGCTAGAGAGAAAGGTCGGGTTACCCACAAAGGGAAGCCCATCAGACTAACAGTGGATCTCTCGGCAGAAACTCTACAAACCAGAAGAGAGTGGGGGCCAATATTCAACATTTTTAAAGAAAAGAATTTTCAACCCAGAATTTCATATCCAGCCAAACTAAGCTTCATAAGTGAAGGAGAAATAAAATCCTTTACAGACAAGCAAATGCTGAGAGATTTTGTCACCACCAGGCCTGCCCTAAAAGAGCTCCTGAAGGAAGCACTAAACATGGAAAGGAACAACCAGTACCAGCCACTGCAAAATCATGCCAAATTGTAAAGACCATCGAGGCTAGGAAGAAACTGCATCAACTAACGAGCAAAATAACCAGCTAACATCATAATGACAGGATCAAATTCACACATAACAATATTAACTTTAAATGTAAATGGACTAAATGCTCCAATTAAAAGACACAGACTGGCAAATTGCATAATCAAGACCCATCAGTGAGCTGTATTCAGGAAACCCATTTCACGTGCAGAGACACACATAGGCTCAAAATAAAAGGATGGAGGAAGATCTACCAAGCAAATGGAAAACAAAAAAAAGGCAGGGTTGCAATCCTAGTCTCTAATAAAACAGACTTTAAACCAACAAAGATCAAAAGAGACAAGGCCATTACATAATGGTAAAGGGATCAATTCAACGAGAAGAGCTAACTATCCTAAATGTATATGCACCCGATACAAGAGCACCCAGATTCATAAAACAAGTCCTGAGAGACCTACAAAGAGACTTAGACTCCCACACAACAATAATGGGAGATTTTAACACCCCACTGTCAACATTAGACAGATCAACGAGACAGAAAGTTAACAAGGATACCCAGGAATTGAACTCAGCTCTGCACCAAGCGGACCTAATAGACATCTACAGAACTCTACACTCCAAATCAACAGAATATACATTTTTTTCAGTACCACACCACATCTATTCCAAAATTGACCACATAGTTGGAAGTAAAGCTCTCCTCAGCAAATGTAAAAGAACAGAAATTATAACAAACTGTCTCTCAGACCACAGTGCAATCAAACTAGAACTCAGGATTAAGAAACTCACTCAAAACAGCTCAACTACATGGAAACTGAACAACCTGCTCCTGAATGACTACTGGGTACATAACAAAATGAAGGCAGAAATAAAGATGTTCTTTGAAACCAACGAGAACAAAGGCACAACATACCAGAATCTCTGGGACACATTCAAAGCAGTGTGCAGAGGGAAATTTATAGCACTAAATGCCCACAAGAGAAAGCAGGAAAGATCCAAAATTGAAACCCTAACATCACAATTAAAAGAACTAGAAAAGCAAGAGCAAACACATTCAAAAGCCAGCAGAAGGCAATAAATAACTAAAATCAGAGCAGCACTGAAGGAAATAGAGACACAAAAAACCCTTCAAAAAATTAATGAATCCAGGAGGTAGTTTTTTGAAAGGATCAACAAAATTGATAGACTGCTAGCAAGACTAATAAAGAAGAAAAGAGAGAAGAATCAAATAGACGCAATAAAAAATGATAAAGGGGATATCACCACCAATCCCACAGAAATACAAACTACCATCAGAGAATACCACAAACACCTCTATGCAAATAAACTAGAAAATCTAGAAGAAATGGATAAATTCCTCAACACTTACACCCTCCCAAGACGAAACCAGGAAGAAGTTGAATCTCTGAATAGACCAATAACAGGATCTGAAATTATGGCAATAATCAATAGCTTACCAACCAAAAAGTCCAGGACCAGATGGATTCACAGCCGAATTCTACCAGAGGTACAAGGAGGAACTGGTACCATTCCTTCTGAAACTATTCCAATCAATAGAAAGAGGGAATCCTCCCTAACTCATTTTCTGAGGCCAGCATCATCCTGATACCAAAGCTGGGCAGAGACACAACCAAAAAAGAGAATTTTAGACCAATATCCTTGATGAACATTGATGCAAAAATCCTCAAGAAAATACTGGCAGACTGAATCCAGCAACATATCAAAAAGCTTATCCACCATGATCAAGTGGGCTTCATCCCTGGGATGCAAGGCTGGTTCATTATACACAAATCAATAAATGTAATCCAGCATATAAACAGAACCAAAGACAAAAACCACATGATTATCTCAATAGATGCAGAAAAGGCCTTTGACAAAATTCAACAACGCTTTATGCTAAAAACTCTCAATAAATTAGGTATTGATGGGACGTATCTCAAAATAGTAAGAGCTATCTATGACAAACCCACAGCCAATACCATACTGAATGGGCAAAAACTGGAAGCATTCCCTTTGAAAACTGGCACAAGACAGGGATGCCCTCTCTCACCACTCCTATTCAACATAGTGTTGGAAGTTCTGGCCAGGGCAATTAGGCAGGAGAAGGAAATAAAGGGTATTCAAGTAGGAAAAGAGGAAGTCAAATTGTCCCTGTTTACAGACGACATGATTGTATATCTAGAAAACCCCATTGTCTCAGCCCAAAATCTCCTTAAGCTGATAAGCAACTTCAGCAAAGTCTCAGGAAAAAAAATCAATGTACAAAAATCACAAGCATTCTTATACACCAATAACAGAGAAACAGAGCCAAATCATGAGTGAACTCCCTTTCACAATTGCTTCAAAGAGAATAAAATACCTAGGAATCCAACTTACAAGGAATGTGAAGGACCTTTCAAGGAGAACTACAAACCACTGCTCAAGGAAATAAAAGAGGATACAAAGAAATGGAAGAACGTTCCATGTTCATGGGTAGAAAGAATCAATATCGTGAAAATGGCCATACTGCCCAAGGTAATTTATAGATTCAATGCCATCCCCATCAAGCTACCAGTGACTTTCTTCACAGAATTGGAAAAAACTACTTTAAAGTTCATATGGAACCAAAAAAGAGCCCGCATTGCCAAGTCAATCCTAAGCCAAAAGAACAAAGCTGGAGGCATCACACTACCTGACTTCAAACTATACTACAAGGCTACAGTAACCAAAATAGCATGGTACTGATACCAAAACAGAGAGATAGATCAGTGGAACAGAACACAGCCCTCAGAAATAACACCACATATCTACAACTATCTGATCTTTGACAAACCTGAGAAAAACAAGCAATGGCGAAAGGATTCCCTATTTAATAAATGGTGCTGGGAAAACTGGCTAGCCATATGTAGAAAGCTGAAACTGGATCCCTTCCTTACACCTTATACACAAATTAATTCAAGATGGATTAAAGACTTAAACATTAGACCTAAAACCATAAAAACCCTAGAAGAAAACCTAGGCATTACCATTCAGGACATAGGCATGGGCAAGGACTTCATGTCTAAAACACCAAAAGCAATGGCAACAAAAGCCAAAATTGACAAATGGGATCTAATTAAACTAAAGAGCTTCTGCACAGCAAAAGAAACTACCATCAGAGTGAACAGGCAACCTAGAAAATGGGAGAAAATTTTCGTAACCTACTCATCTGACAAAGGGCTAATATCCAGAATCTACAATGAACTCAAATTTACAAGAAAAAAATAACCCCATCAAAAAGTGGGCAAAGGACATGAACAGACACTTCTCAAAAGAAGACATTTATGCAGCCAAAAAAACACATGAAAAAATGCTCACCATCACTGGCCATCAGAGAAATGCAAATCAAAACCACAATGAGATACCATCTCATACCAGTTAGAATGGCAATCATTAAAAAGTCAGGAAACAACAGGTGCTGGAGAGGATGTGGAGAAATAGGAACGCTTTTACACTGTTGGTGGGACTGTAAACTAGTTCAACCATTGTGGAAGTCAGTGTGGCGATTCCTCAGGGATCTAGAACTAGAAATACCATTTGACCCAGCTGTCCCATTACTGGGTATATACCCAAAGGACTATAAATCATGCTGCTATAAAGACACATGCACACGTATGTTTATTGCGGCACTATTCACAATAGCAAAGACTTGGAACCAACCCAAATGTCCAACAATGATAGATTGGATTAAGAAAATGTGGCACATATACACCATGGAATACTATGCAGCCATAAAAAATGATGAGTTCATGTCCTTTGTAGGGACGTGGATGAAATTGGAAATCATTATTCTCAGTAAACTATTGCAAGGACAAAAAACCAAACACTGCATATTCTCACTCATAGGTGGGAATTGAACAATGAGAACACATGAACACAGGAAGGGGAACATCACACTCTGGGGACTGTTGTGGGGTGGGGGGAGGGTGGAGGGATAGCATTAGGAGATATACCTAATGCTAAATGACGAGTTAATGGGTGTAGCACACCAGCATGGCACATGTATGCATATGTAACTAACCTGCACATTGTGCACATGTACCCTAAAACTTAAAGTATAATAATAAAATAAAATATATATAAAAAATAAGTAAAATAAAATAAATAATAAAAAAAAATGAGCCAGGGATGATAGCATATACCTGTAGTCCCAGCTACTAGGGAGGCTGAAGTGGGAGGACTGCTTGAGCCTGTGAATTTGAGGTTACAGTGAGCTGTGATTGCACCGCTGCACTCCAGCCTTGGTGACAGAGTGAGATCTTGTGAAAGAGAGACCGAAAGAGAGAAGAAACAGAAAAAGAAAAAACATGAGCATGGTGGGCATGGGGACAGATGGCAATGTTAAATAGAATGGTCAGGGGTGTCCTCCTAAGTGAAAATTGAGCAAAGACTTGAAGGAGGGGAAGGAGTTGGCCAAGGTGCTGAGGGAAGAGGATTATAGGCAGAAAAACAGGATAAAGTGTCTGAGGTGTGTCTGAGGCTCTAGAAGGAGGCCAGTGGAGCAGAAGGATAGAAGGAATTAGGGGAAGGGATCAGTACATATCACATAAGCCCTGGGAGGTTATTGCTGGGGCTTGGGCTTTGGCTTTTATTCTGACTGAGATGGGAACTGTGGGAGGGTTCTGAGCAGAGAGGCGACATGATCTGTCTCCTGATTTGAAAGCATTCTCTGGCTGCTCATTTTAGAAAGGCTGTGGGAAGATTTGGGTAGAAGCATGGGGGCCAAGCTGTGGCAACATCCAGGCAGGAGATATTAGTGGTCTTGACCAGGGTCGTGGTGGTGAGAGATGGTCAGAGGAGAGAAGTAGGGGAGGAGGCCAGGGAGTTGCTGGGTGGGAGTCCAGTACGTGGTGAAGACAGTCAACAGGATTTCCTGACAGACTGGATGTGGGGTGTGAGAGAAGGCAGGGGTCAAGGTTGAGTTTGATTCTCACTGAATTATTAAGTAATTTTAAAAAAACACTACTGCCTTTCTCAATCCTACCAAGTATGGGATGCTAGATTAAAGAAATCTCTTCATTTTCAGTGCAGTGGCTCATGCCTGTAGTCCCAGCTGTTTGGGAAGCAGAGATGGGAGTATCTTTTAAGGACAGGAGTTCAAGACCAGTGTGGGCAACATAGCAAGACCTCCTCTCTACAAAAATGTTTTTCAAAATTTAATAAAATAAATGTAGGTAGGCATGGTGATGTATACTTGTAGTCCCAGCTACTCAGGAGGCTGAGGTGGGCAGATCTCTTGAGGTCAGGAGTTTGAGGCCAGCTTGGGCAATATAGCAAGACCCCTCACTCTACAAAAAATTTAAAAAATAGCCAGATATGGTGGCACTCAACTGTAGTACCAGCTACTGGGGAGCTGAGACAGAAAGATGGCTTGAGCCCAGGAGATTGTGGCTGCAGTGAGCTCTAAGTACACAACTGCACTCCAGTCTAGGTGACAGAGCACGACCTGTCTCACAGTACAAATAGAAATACAAATAAAATAATGAAATCTCAAGTTAGAGCCTTTTGTCTCTGCAGCCCTTGCAACCCCGGAGCTGTGCAGTGGGGTTTGTCTCTGGGAATGAGGAGACCCCTGCCCAGTGTTGTTGCCTGACTAATCATAGTGTTTTTAAAAATGTATTAATTGGGGTGGGTGCAGTGGCTCATGCCTGTAATCCCGGCACTTTGGGAGACCCAAGGGGATGGATCACCTGAGGTCAAGAGTTCGAGACCAGCCTGGCCAACATGGTGAAACCCCGTTTCTACTAAAAAAAACACAAAAATTAGCTGGGCATGGTGGTGGGCACCTGCCCAGCTACTTGAGAGGCAGAGGCAGGAGAATCACTTGAGCCTGGGGGCGGAGGTTGCAGTGAGCCGAGATCGCGCCACTTCACTCCAGCCTGGGTGAAAGAGCGAGACTCCATCTCCAAAAAAAAAAAAAAAAAGTATTAACATGTAATGATTTTATTATTAATATGTAATGTATATTAAATATTTTTAAAAACTTGTATTATATCAACATGTAATGGTTTTATTAATATGTGATAATATTTTTAAAATTTAGTCATTTTCTAATTTTAATATATTTATGTAAAGAAAAAGTCTTAAGAGATCTTCAATAAAGTTAAAAAATGTAAAAGGATGCTAGACCCCGAAAGATTGAGAACTTCTAGTTTAGAAATATTCCAAGTAAGCCACATACAACTTGCTACTTAATCTATTTTCTTTCTTTCTTTTTTCTTTTAGGAGATGGGGTCTCACCCTGTCACCCAGGCTGGAGTACAGTGGTGCCATCACAGCTTGCTGCAGCTTTGAACTCCTGGGCTAAGGATCCTCCTGCCTCAGCCTCCTGAGTAGCTGGGACTGTAGGTATACATGATGACACCTGGCTAATTTTTAAATTGTTTTGTAGACATGGGGTCTCACTTTATTGGCCAGGCTGTTGTCAAACTCCTGGCCTCAGGTGACCCTTCTACCCCTGCCTCCCATCCTAGAGGTATGAGCCACGACAACAAGCACTTGTTCAATTTTCTAAAAAAATAAAAAATGTCTAAAGGCTGTGGGATGATGGCAGGAAAAGTAGAAAAACAGAAAAGTTCAAATAACTTACTCACACATATTCTTTTGACAGCAAGGAGAACTTTTAGTATATATGTTCCTTACAAAAAAACAAAAGGCAAATAAACTGTTGTATAAGAACTTCAACACACACTGTACAATATTCCCACCTTGCTGACATCAGTTATGGAAATTCTTCGTGGTTTACTTGACTATCGCTATCAGTATTTTGCTTCTCTGATCATTTTTATCAACTTCCTCGTCAGTTAACTGCTCTCCAAGGTATATCGTATTGTGACATACTGCTGCTGCACAAACATGGCCAGCGTCTTCTTATTAAACATACACAATGCTTCCCTAATTTCTTTTTTTTACCATCTATCTCTGTGTTTTGCATTTTTCTTACCTTTATTGTCAGAGACTCCAAAAAGTCCGTTGTACTGATTTATCACAATTTGCTTCATTTATTTTTCGCTTATATGGAATTTTACCCAACAGATCTCATTAGAATTTCTAACCTGTTTTGTTTTTTTTTTCCCCCCCCAAGACAAGGTCTTGCTCAGTTGTCCAGGCTGGAGTGTGGTGGTGCTATCACAGCTGTCTTCAGTCTCAACCTCCCAGGCTCAAGCAATCCTCCCACCTCAGCCTCCCAAGTTGCTGAGACTATAGGTGCTTGCCTCTATGCCCAACTCATATTTGGACTTTTTCTATATGTGGGTTCCAGAGGGATGACTGCGAAACGTGAGTATGCATGGATTTTGTTATATGCAGAGATAGGTGGCTGGAACTAATTCTCTCTGTATACCAAGGGACAACTGTATGTGGTTTTACAATTATGCTGTGGGACACATATTGTTCCATAGCCTTTAAAATAATAATTTGTAATGACAAATAATTTTTAATGGAGTGGAATAATAATATTGATAAAAGTAGCAACTGGCCAAGTGTGGTGGCTCACACCATTAATCACAATACTTTGGGAGGCTGAGGCAGGAGGATGGCTTGAGGTCAAGAGTTTGAGACAGGTCTCGGAAAGAAAGGGAGTCACCATCTCTATAGAAAAATACATGAATTAGCCTAGTGTGGTGATGTGTTCCTGTAGTCCCAGCTACTTGGGAGGCTGAGGTGGGAAGATCACTTGAGCCCAGGGAAGCTGAGACTGCAGTGAGTCATGATCAGGCCTCTGCACTCCAGTCTGGGTGACAGAGTGACACCCTGTCTCAAAAAAGTAGCAGCTAACATGAAGTGACCTTTTACCAGGTGCCTATAAATATCATAGTTTAATTTCTTATAACTGTTTATTCCATTTAACTACTCTGTCTTCAATTACTCCTAGATTTTCACTGTGTTTGTACAGTTGACCTTTTGTTTAGATTGAATTGTCTCCCCAAGGTATTTCCAGAAGCAAGATTACTGTGAGTAATGGTGAATGGACATTCTCATTGCCCTTGATGTAAACTGACAAGGTTTTGGGTGCCTCCCAGCTATAATCCCAGCCCTTTGGAGGCTAAGACAGGACGATTGCTTGAGGCCAAGAGTTGGAGGAGGCAGTAAGGTGAGACCCTGTCTCTATTATTTTAAAAAATTGCCAACCTTTACCCTGGAAGGCTATGTACTACTTAAACACTCCTCATAGTATAAGAAAGTGTCCATTTCACTGCACCTCTGCCAGCACAGGGTATTATAATTTAATGTTTTTTTCATTATTTTAAATAGATAAAAGACCTCATGTTACTTTGTCACATTTTAACATCTTTCCTTAGCTTATTAGCTCTATTTCTTTTCTGTCTGTAAATGGTTGTTGTTGTTTTGTTCTTTGAGACAGGGTCTTGCTCTGTCACCCAGGCTTGATGACTGTAATGGCATAATCATGACTCACTGCAGCCTTGACCTCCCATGCTCAAACTACCCTCCCATGTCAGCTTCCCAAGTAGCTGGGACTGCAAGTGTGCACCAGCACTCCCAGCTAATTTTTTTCTTTTTTTGGTTAGAGACAGGGTCTTGCTGTGCTGTCCAGGCCGGTCTCTAGCTCCTGGCCTCAAGCAATCCTCCTGCGTTGGCTTCTGAAATTGCTGGAATTTCAGGCATGAGCCATGATGTCTGGCCTGTGCTAGTCTTTTATTTTCCAGAGTTCTCTTTACTTTGTGCTAGCCAATCTCTCATTATGCTGTTCCCCTGTTATAATGAATAATTCTCTGTGTTAAATTTTACCACTTTAAACCTTTGAATGGTTTATGTCTCCTGATTGGACTCTAATATGCTAGGAAGGGTCCCAGGAGATAAACCCACACAGATGGGATTTGGGCATAGGTTTGGTTATCCAAGGGGCAGTGCTGAGCTCCTTGCCAATGGGAAATGGAATGCTGGTGATTTCCAGGAAGTGACCTCACAATGACTCAAGCTACCACTTACTGTTGATTGTGATGAAATGCCAGCTGAGGCACATGCCTTGGGAGTTAAGTGGTTGCTGCACTTGACCACTATGAAGACTGCTGTGGGAAGGGTCCTTTTGGATGCACTTGAGCAGGGGTCCCCAACCCCTGAGCCATGGAGCTGTAAGGAGCCACACAGCAGGAGGTGAGTGGTGTCAAGTGAGGGAAGCTTCATCTGTATGTACAGCCACTCCCCTCTGCTCACATTCCTGCCTGAGCTGCTCCTCCTCTCAGATCAGCAGCAGCATTAGATTCTCATAGGAGCTCACACCCTATTTGTGAACTGTGCATGTGAGGGATCTAGGTTGCGCTGTCCCTATGAGAATCTAATGCCTGATGATCTGTCACTTTCTCCCATCACACTGAGAGGATGGGACCATCTAGTCGCAGGAAAACAGGCTTAACACGGCCACTGATTCTACATTATGGTGAATTCTATAATTTCATTATATCTTACAACATAATAGGGGAAATAAAGTACCTAATAAATGTAATGTGCTTGGCTCTTTTGGCCCAGCTCCTGCCTCCCAGCAGCCTCTTCAGGCCCAGAACTTTCTCCACTCAGCCGCTACAGACCAAGCTCATGACTCACAATGGCCTATTTAGGCCCATACCATATCTCACGACAGTCTCCGCAGATGAGGCTACTGCCTCACAACAGCCTCCACAGGCACAGCTCCA
This sequence comes from Homo sapiens, assembly GCF_000001405.40. Classification (NCBI taxonomy): domain Eukaryota; kingdom Metazoa; phylum Chordata; class Mammalia; order Primates; family Hominidae; genus Homo; species Homo sapiens. The sequence goes on from NC_000007.14 coordinate 63,744,170, forward strand.
TCGTTACAATGGCCTCTTTAGACCCAGCTCCTGCCTCCCAGCCTTCTCTCCAGGCCCTGAACTTTCTCAAGTCGACCTCACCAGGCCCAGCTCCTGCCACTCATTGGCCTCCCAAGGGCCAGCTTTTGCCTCACGGCCACCTTCCAAGACCCAGCTCCTGTTTTACAGTGGCCTCTTGAGGCCCATCTTCTGACTCCTGGCAGCCTGTACAGGCCCAGCTCCTGCCTTACAATGGCCTCTTTAGTCCCAGCTCCTGCCTCTTTGCAGGAGGCCCAAATGTCCGTAAGTCCAGGCCACAAAATCCAGGGCCAAAATGTCCACAAGTCAGCCTCTCAAGGCCCAGCTCCTGCCTTTCGTTGGCATCTCTAGGCCCAGCTGCTGCCCCCAGGTGGCCTCTACAGGCTGTGCTCTTTCTTCTGACTGTGTCTGGAGGTCCAACTCCTGCCTCAGAACAACCTCTTTTGGCTCAGCTCCTGCCCAGCTCCTACTGGCCTTTGTAGGCCCCAAACTGCCTCAAGTCAAGCTTTCCAGGCCCACCTTCTGCCTCCCAATGGCCTGGACAGGCCCAGCTCCTGCGTGACAATGGCCTCTCCAGGCCCAGCTTTTGCCTCACAGAGGCCTTCCCCAAACAAGGTCCTACCTGCCTCCCAGCAGCCTCAACAGGCCCAGATCCTGCCTCACACTAATCTCATTAGGACCAGCTCATGCCTCACGGTGGCCTCTCCAGGCCCAGCTCCTGCCCCCCGACAGGCTGTCCGTGCCGGAAACTTCCTCAAGTCGGCCTCTCCAGGCACAGCTCCTGCATCCCAGCAGCTTCTCTAGACCGAGAACTTTCTCAAGTCTGCCATTCCAGGCCCAACTTGTGCCTTCCGTCAGCCTCTACAGGCTCAACGTCTGCCTCACAGCAGATTTTCCCAGCCCAGCATGTGCCTCACTGCAGCCCCCTAGGCCAAGCTCCTGCCTTTCAGCAGCCTCTACAGGCCCCACTCCTGCCTCAATGGCCTCTCTAGGGCAAGCTTATGCCTCACAGTGGCCATTCTGGCCCAGCTTTTGCCTTTTGGCAGCATCTCCAGACCCAGAACTTCCTCAAGTGGGCCTCTCCAGGTCCAGCTCTTCCTCCCGGCTGCATCTCCAGGCCCACCTCCTACCTCACAACAACCTCTTTCGGCTCAGCTCCTGCCCAGCTCCTGGCAGCCTTTATAGGCCCAAAACTTTCTCACATCAAGTTTTCCAGCACAACCTTCTGCCTCCCGGCAGCTTGAATAGGCCCAGCTCCTGAAAGACAGTGGCCTCTCTAGGCTCAGCTCTTGCCTCACAGAGGTCATCCCTGGCCAAGTTCCTGCCTGCCTCCCAGCAGGCTCAACAGGCCCAGCTCCTGCCCCTGACAGTCTCTCCAGGCCAAAATCTTCCTCAAGTAGGCCTCTCTACAGGCTGATCTCTTGCCTCACACTGGCCTGTTTAGGCCCAGTTCATGCTTCTTGGCAGCCTCTCCAGGCCCAGCTCCTGCATCTTGGCCTCTCCAGGCCCAGCCTCTGCCTCCCGTCGGCCTCTACAGTCACAACATCTGCCTCACAGCAGATTCTTCAGGCCCAGTATCTGCCTCACTGTGGACCCCCCAAGCCAAGCTCCCAACCTTTCAGCAGCTTCTACACACCCAGCTCCTGCCACCCAGTGGCCTCTTTAGGCCAAGCTGATGCCTCACAAGGGCCTTTCCAGGCCCAACTTTTGTCTCATGGCAACCTTCCCTGGCCAGATTCCTGCCTGTCTCCCAGCAGCCTAGACAGGCCCAGGTCTTGCCTCACACTGGCCTCTCTACATCCAACTCATGCCTCACGGTGGCCTCTCCAGGCCCAGCTCCTGTCCCAGGACGTCATCTCCAGGCCCAAAACGTCATCTCCAGGCCCAAAACTTCCTCAAGTCAGCCTCTCTAGTCCCAACTGCTGCCTCCTGGTGGCCTATGAAGGCCCAAAATCTCCTCAAGTTGACCTCTCCAGGCCCAGCTCCTGCCTCCTGTCAGTGTCTACAGGCCCAACCTCTGTCTCATGGCGGCTTCTCCAGGCCCAACTCTTCCTCTTGGCTGAGTCTACAGGCACAACTGCTGCCTCACAACAGCTGCCTCACAACAGCCTTTTTTGGCCCAGTTCCTGTCCAGCTCACGGCAGCAAATGTAGGCCCAAAACTTCCTCAAGTAAAACTCTCCAGGCCCACCTTCTGCTTCCCGGTGGCATGAACAGGCCCAGCTTTGACTTGAGAACAGCCTCTGCAGGCCCTCCTCTTACCTCTCAGGGGCTTCTCCAGGCCCAGCTCTTGTCTCATGGAAGCTGCTCCAGGCCAAGTTTCTGCCTGCCTGCCAGCAGCCTCAACAGGCACAGCTCCTCCCTCACAGTGGCCCATTTAGGCCCAACTCATGACTGTCGGGCCATTTCCAGGCCTAGTGCCTGCCTCCTGGCTGACTCTTGAAGCCCAAAACTTCCTGAAATTAGCCTTTTGCTCAACTTCTGTCTACTGTCGGACTCTACAGGCCAGCCTCTGCCTCACAGTGGACCCTCCAGACCCAGATGGTGTCTCACTGTGGCATCCTCAGGCGGAGCTCCTGCCTTTCGGCAGCCTCTACGGGCCCAGCTCCTGCCTTGCAATGGCCTCTTTAGGCCAAGCTCATGCCCCATGGCGACTTTTCCAGGCACAGCTTTTGCCTTTTGCAGCCTGTCCAGGCCCAGAATGTGCTTAACTCGGCATCGCCAGGACAAGCTCATCCTCCCGGTGCGTCTACAGGCCCGTCTCCTGCCTCACAACAACCTCCTTTGGCCCAAATCCTGCTGAGCTGCTGGCAGCCTCTGTAGGCCACAGACTTCTTAAAGTAAAGCTTTCCAGGCCCACCTTCGGCCTCCCAGCAGCCTCAGCAATCAAACTATTCCCTCACTGCGGCCACCGAAAGCCAAGTTTCTCCCTGCCTCACGGCATCCTCCGAAAACTGAGCATTTGCCTCACGGTGGCCTCCCCAGGCCACGAATCTGCCTGCCTCCCAGGCAGCTGCTGCCTCACAATGGTCTCTTTAGGCCCAGCTCATGCTAGAAGACGGACTCTCCAGGCACAGCTCTTGCCTCCTGGCAGCCTCTGCAGGCCCAAATTCTCCAAAAGTTGGCCTCTCCTAACTCAGCTCCTGCCTCATGTCGGCCTACACAGGCCCAGACTCTTACCACACAGTAGACCCTCCAGGCCCACCACTTGCCTGAGTATAGCCTCCTAAGGCCAAGCTCCTGCCTTTCAAGCAGCCTCTACAGGCCCAGTTCCTGCCTCGCAATTGCCTTTGTAGGCCAAGATCGTGCTGCGAAGTGGCCTTTCCTAGCCTAACTTTTGCTTTTTGACGCATACTCCTGTCCCAAAACTTCCTCCAGTCAGCCAGTCCAGGGCAAGCTCTTCCTCCCAAAGGCCTCTGCAGGCCAAAATCGTCCTGAAGTCACCCTCTGCAGGCCCAGCTCCTGCCTCCAAGTGCTGTGTAGGCCAAGCTAATGCCTCACAGCACACTTTCCAGGCTGAGCATTTCCTTTTGTGCATACTCTCCAAGCCCTGAACTTACTCTAGTTGGCCTCTCCAGGCCAAGCTCTCCCTCCCAGTGGCCTCTACAGGCCAAAATTTTTCTCAAATCAGCCTCTCCAGGGCCAACTCCTAGCTACCGGTGGCTTCTGCACACCAAAATCGACCTCAAGTCAGCCTCTCCACACCCAGCTCTTGCCTCTAAGTGGTCTCTGCAGGAGCAAAACTTCAAGTCGGCCTCTCCAGGCCCAGCCTCCTGCTTCCCAAGGGCATGTACAGGCCCAGCCTCTGCCTCACAGCAGACTCTCCACGCCCAGCTCTTCCCTGTCTGTGGCCTCTCCAGTCCAAAGCTGTTCCTGCCTTTCGGCAGCTTGTACAGGCCAAGCTCCTCCCTCACAGTGGTCTCTTTTGGCCCAACTCATGCCTCTTGCAACCTACCCAACTGTCAGCTCCTGCCTCACACTGGCCTGTTGAGGCCCAGCTCATGCCTCTTGTGGCCTCAACGGGCGCAGCCCCTGCCTGACGGTGGCCTCTACAGGCCCGGACTCTACCTCACAGTGGGCTCTCCAGGCCCATCTCTTCCTAACTGTGGCCTCCTGGGGCAATGCTCCTCCCTCTCGGGAGCCTCTGCGGGCCCAGCTCCTGCCTCCCAGTGGCCTCTGTAGGCGAAGCCCGTGCCTCAGGGCAGCCTTTCCAGGCCTAGCGTTTACTGCTTTGCATCCTCTCCAGGCCCTGGACTTCCTCCAGTCGGCCTCTCCAGGCTGAGCTCTTCCTCCCGGCGGCCTCTGCAGGCCCAGACTGTCAAGTCGGCCTGTCCAGAGCCAATTCCTGCCTCCTGGCAGCCTCTGCAGGCCCAAGTCATCCTCAAGTCAGCCTCCCTAGGCCTAGCTCCGGCCTCTCGGCGGCCTCTCCAGTTTCAAAAGTTCCTCGAGTCAGCCTCTCCAGACCCAGCTCCTCCTGTCTCCCAGTGGCCTCTTTCGGCCCAGCCCAGCTCATACCTCCCGGCGGCCTTCCCAGGCCCCGCTTTTGACTTTCGGTGGCCTCTGCAGGCCCCGAACTTGACGTCCAGTCAGCCTCTCCAGGCTCGGCCTCCTGCCTCCCAAAGGCTTGCACAGGCCCAGCATCTGCCTCACAGTGGACTCTCCACGAACAGCTAGGTCTCGCCTCACTGCGGCCTCCCGAGTCCAAAGCTCCTGCCTCTCGGCCGCTTCGGCAGACCCAGCTCCCGCCTGCCAGTGGTCTCTTCAGGCCCATAGGGCTCATTCCTCACAACGGCCTTTCCAAGCCCAGTTTTTCCCTTCCGGCGGCCTCTCCGGGCCCAGAAGCTCCTCAAGTCAGCCTCTCCAGACACACTTGCAGCCTCCCGGCGTCCTCTCCGGGCCGAACTCTTCCTACCGGCAGCCTCTGCAGGACCAGACTGTCGTCAAGTAGGCCTGTCTAGGGACAGCTCCTGCCTCCTGGTGGCCTCTGTAGGCCCAAGTCATCCTCAAGTCAGCCTCCCCAGGCCCAGCTCTGGCCTCTTGGCGGCCTCTCCAAGTGCAAAAGTTCCTCGAGTCCGTCTCTCCAGGTCCAGCTCCTCCTGTCTCCCAGTGGCCTCTTTCAGCCCAGGCCAGCTCATGCCTCCCAGCTGCCTTCCCAGGCCCCGCTTTTGACTTTCCACAGCCTCTGCAGGTCCCGAACTTGACCTCCAGTCGGCCTCTCCAGGCCCGGCCTCCTGCCTCCCGAAGGCTTGCACAGGCCCAGCCTCTGCCTCACAGCGGACTCTCCACGCCCAGCTCGCTCTCGCCTCACTGCGGCCTCCCGAGTCCAAAGCTCCTGCCTCTCCGCCACTTCGGCAGGCCCAACTTCCGCCTACCAGTGGCCTCTTCAGGCCCATGGGGCTCATTCCTCACAACGGCCTTTCCAGGCCCAGTTTTTCTCTTCCGGCGGCCTCTCCGGGCCCAGAAGCTCCTCAAGTCGGCCTCTCCAGACCCACTTGCAGCCTCCCGGCGTCCTCTCCGGGCCCAGCTCTTCCTCCCGGCTGCGTCTGCAGGCCCGACTCCTGCCTCCCAACAACCTCTTTGGACTCAGTGCCTGCCCAGCTCGTGGTGGCCTTGGTCGGCCCACAGCTTCCTCAAGCCAAGCTCCCCAGGCCCAGCTCAGGCCTCACGGTGGCCTCTCCAGGCTCAGCTCCTGCCCTCTGACGGCGTCTCCAGGCCCCAAACGGCCTCCGGTCGGTGGGCTTCTCCAGGCCCAGCTTGGGCCTCCCGGCGGCCTCTGCAGGCCCAAGTGGTCCTGAAGTCAGCCTCTCCAGGCCCAGCTCCGGCCTCCCAGCAAGCAAGCTCTTTTGGCTCAGCTCCTGCCCAGCTCCCGCCGGCTTTTGTAGACCCTGAACTTTCTCCAGCGAAGCTCCTCAGTCCCACCTCCTGCCTCCCGGTGGCCTGTACAGGCCCAGGTCTGGCTGGAGAACAGCCTCTGCAGGCCCCGCTCTTGCCTCCCAGGGGTGTCTCCAGGCCCAGCTCTCGCCTCACGGCAGCCTCCCGGGACCAAGTCCCTGCCTGCCTCCCAGCAGCCTGTGTGCGGCCCAGCTCCTCCGTCATGGTGGCCTGTTGAGGCCCAACTCATGCCTCTGGCACCCTTTCCAGAGGCGTGAGCCCCTGCCTCACATTGGCCTCTCTCACACTGAGGGAGGTCAGCGTGAGCCCCTGCCTCACACTGGCCTCTCTCACGCTGAGGGAGGTCAGCGTGAGCCCCTGCCTCACACTGGCCTCTCTCACGCTGAGGGAGGTCAGCGTGGGCCCCTGCCTCACACTGGCCTCTCTCACGCTGAGGGAGGTCATCGTGAGGCCCTGCCTCACACTGGCCTCTCTCACGCTGAGGGAGGTCAGCGTGAGGCCCTGCCTCACACTGGCCTCTCTCACGCTGAGAGAAGTCCTCCCTCACGCTGGCCTGTTGAGGCCCAGTTCATGCCTCTGTTGGCTTCTCCAGGCCCAGCCCCTGCCTGTTGGCGGCCTCTACCTCAACAGTGGGCCCTCCACGCCCACCTCTTGCCTCGCCGTGGCCTCCTCGGGCCAGGCTCCCACCTTGGGGCGGCCCCCGCAGGCCCAGCTCCTGCCTCACGGCCCTCCGGAGGCCAAGCTCATGCGTCAGGGCGGCCTCTCCCGGCCTGGCGTTTGCTCCTTTGCATGGGCTCCAAATCCTGCACTTCCTCCAGTCGTTCTCTCCAGGCCCAGCTCTTCCTCCCAGCAGCCTCTGCAGGACCAGACTGTCGTCAAGTAGGCCTGTCCAGGGACAGCTCCTGCCTCCCGGCAGACTCTGCAGGCCCAAGTCGTCCTCAAGTCAGCCTCCCCAGGCCCAGCTCCGGCCTCTCGGCGGCCTCTCCAGGTGCAAAAGTTCCTCGAGTCCGTCTCTCCAGGTCCAGCTCCTCCTGTCTCCCAGTGGCCTCTTTCAGCCCAGCCCAGCTCATGCCTCCCGGCGGCCTTCCCAGGCCCCGCTTCTGACTTTCCGCGGCCTCTGCAGGCCCCGAACTTGACCTCCAGTCGGCCTCTGCAGGCCTGGCCTCCTGCCTCCCGAAAGCTTGCACAGGCCCAGCCTCTGCCTCACAGCGGACCCTCCACGCCCAGCTCGCTCTCGCCTGCGGCCTCCCGAGTCCAAAGCTCCGGCCTCTCCGCCGCTTCGGCAGGCCCAGCTCCCGCCTGCCAGTGGCCTCCTCAGGCCCAGGGGGCTCATTCCTCACAACGGCCTTTCCCGGCCCAGTTTTTCCCTTCCGGCGGCCTCTCCGGGCCCAGAAGCTCCTCAAGTCGGCCTCTCCAGACCCACTTGCAGCCTCCTGGCGTCCTCTCCGGGCCCAGCTCTTCCTCCCGGCTGCGTCTGCAGGCCCGGCTCCTGCCTCCCAACAACCTCTTTGGACTCAGTGCCTGCCCAGCTCGTGGTGGCCTTGGTCGGCCCACAGCTTCCTCAAGCCAAGCTCCCCAGGCCCAGCTCAGGCCTCACGGTGGCCTCTCCAGGCTCAGCTCCTGCCCTCCGACGGCGTCTCCAGGCCCCAAACAGCCTCCGGTCGGTGGGCTTCTCCAGGCCCAGCTTGGGCCTCCCGGCGGCCTCTGCAGGCCCAAGTGGTCCTGAAGTCAGCCTCTCCAGGCCCAGCTCCGGCCTCCCAGCAAGCAAGCTCTTTTGGCTCAGCTCCTGCCCAGCTCCCGCCGGCTTTTATAGACCCTGAACTTTCTCCAGCGAAGCTCCTCAGTCCCACCTCCTGCCTCCCGGTGGCCTGTACAGGCCCAGGTCTGGCTGGAGAACAGCCTCTGAAGGCCCCGCTCTTGCCTCCCAGGGGCGTCTCCAGGCCCAGCTCTCGCCTCACGGCGGCCTCCCGGGACCAAGTCCCTGCCTGCCTCCCAGCAGCCTGTGTGCGGCCCAGCTCCTCCGTCATGGTGGCCTGTTGAGGCCCAACTCATGCCTCTGGCACCCTTTCCAGAGGCGTGAGCCCCTGCCTCACATTGGACTCTCTCACACTGAGGGAGGTCAGCGTGAGCCCCTGCCTCACACTGGCCTCTCTCACGCTGAGGGAGGTCAGCGTGGGCCCCTGCCTCACACTGGCCTCTCTCACGCTGAGGGAGGTCAGCGTGGGCCCCTGCCTCACACTGGCCTCTCTCACGCTGAGGGAGGTCAGCGTGAGGCCCTGCCTCACACTGGCCTCTCTCACGCTGAGGGAGGTCAGCGTGAGGCCCTGCCTCACACTGGCCTCTCTCACGCTGAGAGAAGTCCTCCCTCACGCTGGCCTGTTGAGGCCCAGTTCATGCCTCTGTTGGCTTCTCCAGGCCCAGCCCCTGCCTGTTGGCGGCCTCTACCTCAACAGTGGGCCCTCCACGCCCACCTCTTGCCTCGCCGTGGCCTCCTCGGGCCAGGCTCCCGCCTTGGGGCGGCCCCCGCAGGCCCAGCTCCTGCCTCACGGCCCTCCAGAGGCCAAGCTCATGCGTCAGGGCGGCCTCTCCCGGCCTGGCGTTTGCTCCTTTGCATGGGCTCCAAATCCTGTACTTCCTCCAGTCGTTCTCTCCAGGCCCAGCTCTTCCTCCCAGCAGCCTCTGCAGGACCAGACTGTCGTCAAGTAGGCCTGTCCAGGGACAGCTCCTGCCTCCCGGCAGACTCTGCAGGCCCAAGTCGTCCTCAAGTCAGCCTCCCCAGGCCCAACTCCGGCCTCTCGGCGGCCTCTCCAGGTGCAAAAGTTCCTCGAGTCCGTCTCTCCAGGTCCAGCTCCTCCTGTCTCCCAGTGGCCTCTTTCAGCCCAGCCCAGCTCATGCCTCCCGGCGGCCTTCCCAGGCCCCGCTTCTGACTTTCCGCGGCCTCTGCAGGCCCCGAACTTGACCTCCAGTCGGCCTCTGCAGGCCTGGCCTCCTGCCTCCCGAAAGCTTGCACAGGCCCAGCCTGTGCCTCACAGCGGACCCTCCACGCCCAGCTCGCTCTCGCCTGCGGCCTCCCGAGTCCAAAGCTCCGGCCTCTCCGCCGCTTCGGCAGGCCCAGCTCCCGCCTGCCAGTGGCCTCCTCAGGCCCATGGGGCTCATTCCTCACAACGGCCTTTCCCGGCCCAGTTTTTCCCTTCCGGCGGCCTCTCCGGGCCCAGAAGCTCCTCAAGTCGGCCTCTCCAGACCCACTTGCAGCCTCCCGGCGTCCTCTCCGGGCCCAGCTCTTCCTCCCGGCTGCATCTGCAGGCCCGGCTCCTGCCTCCCAACAACCTCTTTGGACTCAGTGCCTGCCCAGCTCCTGGTGGCCTTGGTCGGCCCACAGCTTCCTCAAGCCAAGCTCCCCAGGCCCAGCTCAGGCCTCACGGTGGCCTCTCCAGGCTCAGCTCCTGCCCTCCGACGGCGTCTCCAGGCCCCAAACGGCCTCCGGTCGGTGGGCTTCTCCAGGCCCAGCTTGGGCCTCCCGGCGGCCTCTGCAGGCCCATGTGGTCCTGAAGGCAGCCTCTCCAGGCCCAGCTCCGGCCTCCCAGCAAGCAAGCTCTTTTGGCTCAGCTCCTGCCCAGCTCCCGCCGGCTTTTGTAGACCCTGAACTTTCTCCAGCGAAGCTCCTCAGTCCCACCTCCTGCCTCCCGGTGGCCTGTACAGGCCCAGGTCTGGCTGGAGAACAGCCTCTGCAGGCCCCGCTCTTGCCTCCCAGGGGCGTCTCCAGGCCCAGCTCTCGCCTCACGGCGGCCTCCCGGGACCAAGTCCCTGCCTGCCTCCCAGCAGCCTGTGTGCGGCCCAGCTCCTCCGTCACGGTGGCCTGTTGAGGCCCAACTCATGCCTCTGGCACCCTTTCCAGAGGCGTGAGCCCCTGCCTCACATTGGCCTCTCTCACACTGAGGGAGGTCAGCGTGAGCCCCTGTCTCACACTGGCCTCTCTCACGCTGAGGGAGGTCAGCGTGAGCCCCTGCCTCACACTGGCCTCTCTCACGCTGAGGGAGGTCAGCGTGGGCCCCTGCCTCACACTGGCCTCTCTCAAGCTGAGGGAGGTCAGCGTGAGGCCCTGCCTCACACTGGCCTCTCTCACGCTGAGAGAAGTCCTCCCTCACGCTGGCCTGTTGAGGCCCAGTTCATGCCTCTGTTGGCTTCTCCAGGCCCAGCCCCTGCCTGTTGGCGGCCTCTACCTCAACAGTGGGCCCTCCACGCCCACCTCTTGCCTCGCCGTGGCCTCCTCGGGCCAGGCTCCCGCCTTGGGGCGGCCCCCGCAGGCCCAGCTCCTGCCTCACGGCCCTCTGGAGGCCAAGCTCATGCGTCAGGGCGGCCTCTCCCGGCCTGGCGTTTGCTCCTTTGCATGGGCTCCAAATCCTGCACTTCCTCCAGTCGTTCTCTCCAGGCCCAGCTCTTCCTCCCAGCAGCCTCTGCAGGACCAGACTGTCGTCAAGTAGGCCTGTCCAGGGACAGCTCCTGCCTCCCGGCAGACTCTGCAGGCCCAAGTCGTCCTCAAGTCAGCCTCCCCAGGCCCAGCTCCGGCCTCTCGGCGGCCTCTCCAGGTGCAAAAGTTCCTCGAGTCCGTCTCTCCAGGTCCAGCTCCTCCTGTCTCCCAGTGGCCTCTTTCAGCCCAGCCCAGCTCATGCCTCCCGGCGGCCTTCCCAGGCCCCGCTTCTGACTTTCCGCGGCCTCTGCAGGCCCCCGAACTTGACCTCCAGTCGGCCTCTGCAGGCCTGGCCTCCTGCCTCCCGAAAGCTTGCACAGGCCCAGCCTCTGCCTCACAGCGGACTCTCCACGCCCAGCTCGCTCTCGCCTGCGGCCTCCCGAGTCCAAAGCTCCGGCCTCTCCGCCGCTTCGGCAGGCCCAGCTCCCGCCTGCCAGTGGCCTCTTCAGGCCCATGGGGCTCATTCCTCACAACGGCCTTTCCCGGCCCAGTTTTTCCCTTCCGGCGGCCTCTCCGGGCCCAGAAGCTCCTCAAGTCGGCCTCTCCAGACCCACTTGCAGCCTCCCGGCGTCCTCTCCGGGCCCAGCTCTTCCTCCCGGCTGCGTCTGCAGGCCCGACTCCTGCCTCCCAACAACGTCTTTGGACTCAGTGCCTGCCCAGCTCGTGGTGGCCTTGGTCGGCCCACAGCTTCCTCAAGCCAAGCTCCCCAGGCCCAGCTCAGGCCTCACGGTGGCCTCTCCAGGCTCAGCTCCTGCCCTCCGACGGCGTCTCCAGGCCCCAAACGGCCTCCGGTCGGTGGGCTTCTCCAGGCCCAGCTTGGGCCTCCCGGCGGCCTCTGCAGGCCCAAGTGGTCCTGAAGTCAGCCTCTCCAGGCCCAGCTCCGGCCTCCCAGCAAGCAAGCTCTTTTGGCTCAGCTCCTGCCCAGCTCCCGCCGGTTTTTGTAGACCCTGAACTTTCTCCAGCGAAGCTCCTCAGTCCCACCTCCTGCCTCCCGGTGGCCTGTACAGGCCCAGGTCTGGCTGGAGTACAGCCTCTGCAGGCCCCGCTCTTGCCTCCCAGGGGCGTCTCCAGTTCCAGCTCTCGCCTCACGGCGGCCTCCCGGGACCAAGTCCCTGCCTGCCTCCCAGCAGCCTGTGTGCGGCCCAGCTCCTCTGTCACAGTGGCCTGTTGAGGCCCAACTCATGCTTCTGGCACCCTTTCCAGAGGCGTGAGCCCCTGCCTCACATTGGCCTCTCTCACGCTGAGGGAGGTCAGCGTGAGCCCCTGCCTCACACTGGCCTCTCTCACGCTGAGGGAGGTCAGCGTGGGCCCCTGCCTCACACTGGCCTCTCTCACGCTGAGGGAGGTCAGCGTGGGCCCCTGCCTCAAACTGGCCTCTCTCACGCTGAGGGAGGTCAGCGTGAGGCCCTGCCTCACACTGGCCTCTCTCACGCTGAGGGAGGTCAGCGTGAGGCCCTGCCTCACACTGGCCTCTCTCACGCTGAGAGAAGTCCTCCCTCACGCTGGCCTGTTGAGGCCCAGTTCATGCCTCTGTTGGCTTCTCCAGGCCCAGCCCCTGCCTGTTGGCGGCCTCTACCTCAACAGTGGGCCCTCCACGCCCACCTCTTGCCTCGCCGTGGCCTCCTCGGGCCAGGCTCCCGCCTTGGGGCAGCTCCCGCAGGCCCAGCTCCTGCCTCACGGCCCTCCGGAGGCCAAGCTCATGTGTCAGGGCGGCCTCTCCCGGCCTGGCGTTTGCTCCTTTGCATGGGCTCCAAATCCTGCACTTCCTCCAGTCGTTCTCTCCAGGCCCAGCTCTTCCTCCCAGCAGCCTCTGCAGGACCAGACTGTCGTCAAGTAGGCCTGTCCAGGGACAGCTCCTGCCTCCCGGCAGACTCTGCAGGCCCAAGTCGTCCTCAAGTCAGCCTCCCCAGGCCCAGCTCCGGCCTCTCGGCGGCCTCTCCAGGTGCAAAAGTTCCTCGAGTCCGTCTCTCCAGGTCCAGCTCCTCCTGTCTCCCAGTGGCCTCTTTCAGCCCAGCCCAGCTCATGCCTCCCGGCGGCCTTCCCAGGCCCCGCTTCTGACTTTCCGCGGCCTCTGCAGGCCCCGAACTTGACCTCCAGTCGGCCTCTGCAGGCCTGGCCTCCTGCCTCCCGAAAGCTTGCACAGGCCCAGCCTCTGCCTCACAGCGGACTCTCCACGCCCAGCTCGCTCTCGCCTGCGGCCTCCCGAGTCCAAAGCTCCGGCCTCTTCGCCGCTTCGGCAGGCCCAGCTCCCACCTGCCAGTGGCCTCCTCAGGCCCATGGGGCTCATTCCTCACAACGGCCTTTCCCAGCCCAGTTTTTCCCGTCCGGCGGCCTCTCCGGGCCCAGAAGCTCCTCAAGTCGGCCTCTCCAGACCCACTTGCAGCCTCCCGGCGTCCTCTCCGGGCCCAGCTCTTCCTCCCGGCTCCGTCTGCAGGCCCGGCTCCTGCCTCCCAACAACCTCTTTGGACTCAGTGCCTGCCCAGCTCGTGGTGGCCTTGGTCGGCCCACAGCTTCCTCAAGCCAAGCTCCCCAGGCCCAGCTCAGGCCTCACGGTGGCCTCTCCAGGCTCAGCTCCTGCCCTCCGACGGCGTCTCCAGGCCCCAAACGGCCTCCGGTCGGTGGGCTTCTCCAGGCCCAGCTTGGGCCTCCCGGCGGCCTCTGCAGGCCCAAGTGGTCCTGAAGTCAGCCTCTCCAGGCCCAGCTCCGGCCTCCCAGCAAGCAAGCTCTTTTGGCTCAGCTCCTGCCCAGCTCCCGCCGGCTTTTGTAGACCCTGAACTTTCTCCAGCGAAGCTCCTCAGTCCCACCTCCTGCCTCCCGGTGGCCTGTACAGGCCCAGGTCTGGCTGGAGAACAGCCTCTGCAGGCCCCGCTCTTGCCTCCCAGGGGCGTCTCCAGGCCCAGCTCTCGCCTCACGGCGGCCTCCCGGGACCAAGTCCCTGCCTGCCTCCCAGCAGCCTGTGTGCGGCCCAGCTCCTCCGTCACGGTGGCCTGTTGAGGCCCAACTCATGCTTCTGGCACCCTTTCCAGAGGCGTGAGCCCCTGCCTCACATTGGCCTCTCTCACGCTGAGGGAGGTCAGCGTGAGCCCCTGCCTCACACTGGCCTCTCTCACGCTGAGGGAGGTCAGCGTGGGCCCCTGCCTCACACTGGCCTCTCTCACGCTGAGGGAGGTCAGCGTGGGCCCCTGCCTCAAACTGGCCTCTCTCACGCTGAGGGAGGTCAGCGTGAGGCCCTGCCTCACACTGGCCTCTCTCATGCTGAGGGAGGTCAGCGTGAGGCCCTGCCTCACACTGGCCTCTCTCACGCTGAGAGAAGTCCTCCCTCACGCTGGCCTGTTGAGGCCCAGTTCATGCCTCTGTTGGCTTCTCCAGGCCCAGCCCCTGCCTGTTGGCGGCCTCTACCTCAACAGTGGGCCCTCCACGCCCACCTCTTGCCTCGCCGTGGCCTCCTCGGGCCAGGCTCCCGCCTTGGGGCGGCCCCCGCAGGCCCAGCTCCTGCCTCACGGCCCTCCGGAGGCCAAGCTCATGCGTCAGGGCGGCCTCTCCCGGCCTGGCGTTTGCTCCTTTGCATGGGCTCCAAATCCTGCACTTCCTCCAGTCGTTCTCTCCAGGCCCAGCTCTTCCTCCCAGCAGCCTCTGCAGGACCAGACTGTCGTCAAGTAGGCCTGTCCAGGGACAGCTCCTGCCTCCCGGCAGACTCTGCAGGCCCAAGTCGTCCTCAAGTCAGCCTCCCCAGGCCCAGCTCCGGCCTCTCGGCGGCCTCTCCAGGTGCAAAAGTTCCTCGAGTCCGTCTCTCCAGGTCCAGCTCCTCCTGTCTCCCAGTGGCCTCTTTCAGCCCAGCCCAGCTCATGCCTCCCGGCGGCCTTCCCAGGCCCCGCTTCTGACTTTCCGCGGCCTCTGCAGGCCCCGAACTTGACCTCCAGTCGGCCTCTGCAGGCCTGGCCTCCTGCCTCCCGAAAGCTTGCACAGGCCCAGCCTCTGCCTCACAGCGGACTCTCCACGCCCAGCTCGCTCTCGCCTGCGGCCTCCCGAGTCCAAAGCTCCGGCCTCTCCGCCGCTTCGGCAGGCCCAGCTCCCACCTGCCAGTGGCCTCCTCAGGCCCATGGGGCTCATTCCTCACAACGGCCTTTCCCGGCCCAGTTTTTCCCTTCCGGCGGCCTCTCCGGGCCCAGAAGCTCCTCAAGTCGGCCTCTCCAGACCCACTTGCAGCCTCCCGGCGTCCTCTCCGGGCCCAGCTCTTCCTCCCGGCTGCGTCTGCAGGCCCGGCTCCTGCCTCCCAACAACCTCTTTGGACTCAGTGCCTGCCCAGCTCGTGGTGGCCTTGGTCGGCCCACAGCTTCCTCAAGCCAAGCTCCCCAGGCCCAGCTCAGGCCTCACGGTGGCCTCTCCAGGCTCAGCTCCTGCCCTCCGACGGCGTCTCCAGGCCCCAAACGGCCTCCGGTCGGTGGGCTTCTCCAGGCCCAGCTTGGGCCTCCCGGCGGCCTCTGCAGGCCCAAGTGGTCCTGAAGGCAGCCTCTCCAGGCCCAGCTCCGGCCTCCCAGCAAGCAAGCTCTTTTGGCTCAGCTCCTGCCCAGCTCCCGCCGGCTTTTGTAGACCCTGAACTTTCTCCAGCGAAGCTCCTCAGTCCCACCTCCTGCCTCCCGGTGGCCTGTACAGGCCCAGGTCTGGCTGGAGAACAGCCTCTGCAGGCCCCGCTCTTGCCTCCCAGGGGCGTCTCCAGGCCCAGCTCTCGCCTCACGGCGGCCTCCCGGGACCAAGTCCCTGCCTGCCTCCCAGCAGCCTGTGTGCGGCCCAGCTCCTCCGTCACGGTGGCCTGTTGAGGCCCAACTCATGCCTCTGGCACCCTTTCCAGAGGCGTGAGCCCCTGCCTCACATTGGCCTCTCTCACGCTGAGGGAGGTCAGCGTGAGCCCCTGCCTCACACTGGCCTCTCTCACGCTGAGGGAGGTCAGCGTGAGCCCCTGCCTCACACTGGCCTCTCTCACGCTGAGGGAGGTCAGCGTGGGCCCCTGCCTCAAACTGGCCTCTCTCACGCTGAGGGAGGTCAGCGTGAGGCCCTGCCTCACACTGGCCTCTCTCACGCTGAGGGAGGTCAGCGTGAGGCCCTGCCTCACACTGGCCTCTCTCACGCTGAGAGAAGTCCTCCCTCACGCTGGCCTGTTGAGGCCCAGTTCATGCCTCTGTTGGCTTCTCCAGGCCCAGCCCCTGCCTGTTGGCGGCCTCTACCTCAACAGTGGGCCCTCCACGCCCACCTCTTGCCTCGCCGTGGCCTCCTCGGGCCAGGCTCCCGCCTTGGGGCGGCCCCCGCAGGCCCAGCTCCTGCCTCACGGCCCTCTGGAGGCCAAGCTCATGCGTCAGGGCGGCCTCTCCCGGCCTGGCGTTTGCTCCTTTGCATGGGCTCCAAATCCTGCACTTCCTCCAGTCGTTCTCTCCAGGCCCAGCTCTTCCTCCCAGCAGCCTCTGCAGGACCAGACTGTCGTCAAGTAGGCCTGTCCAGGGACAGCTCCTGCCTCCCGGCAGACTCTGCAGGCCCAAGTCGTCCTCAAGTCAGCCTCCCCAGGCCCAGCTCCGGCCTCTCGACGGCCTCTCCAGGTGCAAAAGTTCCTCGAGTCCGTCTCTCCAGGTCCAGCTCCTCCTGTCTCCCAGTGGCCTCTTTCAGCCCAGCCCAGCTCATGCCTCCCGGCGGCCTTCCCAGGCCCCGCTTCTGACTTTCCGCGGCCTCTGCAGGCCCCGAACTTGACCTCCAGTCGGCCTCTGCAGGCCTGGCCTCCTGCCTCCCGAAAGCTTGCACAGGCCCAGCCTCTGCCTCACAGCGGACTCCCCACGCCCAGCTCGCTCTCGCCTGCGGCCTCCCGAGTCGAAAGCTCCGGCCTCTCCGCCGCTTCGGCAGGCCCAGCTCCCGCCTGCCAGTGGCCTCTTCAGGCCCATGGGGCTCATTCCTCACAACGGCCTTTCCCGGCCCAGTTTTTCCCTTCCGGCGGCCTCTCCGGGCCCAGAAGCTCCTCAAGTCGGCCTCTCCAGACCCACTTGCAGCCTCCCGGCGTCCTCTCCGGGCCCAGCTCTTCCTCCCGGCTGCGTCTGCAGGCCCGACTCCTGCCTCCCAACAACGTCTTTGGACTCAGTGCCTGCCCAGCTCGTGGTGGCCTTGGTCGGCCCACAGCTTCCTCAAGCCAAGCTCCCCAGGCCCAGCTCAGGCCTCACGGTGGCCTCTCCAGGCTCAGCTCCTGCCCTCCGACGGCGTCTCCAGGCCCCAAACGGCCTCCGGTCGGTGGGCTTCTCCAGGCCCAGCTTGGGCCTCCCGGCGGCCTCTGCAGGCCCAAGTGGTCCTGAAGGCAGCCTCTCCAGGCCCAGCTCCGGCCTCCCAGCAAGCAAGCTCTTTTGGCTCAGCTCCTGCCCAGCTCCCGCCGGCTTTTGTAGACCCTGAACTTTCTCCAGCGAAGCTCCTCAGTCCCACCTCCTGCCTCCCGGTGGCCTGTACAGGCCCAGGTCTGGCTGGAGAACAGCCTCTGCAGGCCCCGCTCTTGCCTCCCAGGGGCGTCTCCAGGCCCAGCTCTCGCCTCACGGCGGCCTCCCGGGACCAAGTCCCTGCCTGCCTCCCAGCAGCCTGTGTGCGGCCCAGCTCCTCCGTCACGGTGGCCTGTTGAGGCCCAACTCATGCCTCTGGCACCCTTTCCAGAGGCGTGAGCCCCTGCCTCACATTGGCCTCTCTCACGCTGAGGGAGGTCAGCGTGAGCCCCTGCCTCACACTGGCCTCTCTCACGCTGCGGGAGGTCAGCGTGAGGCCCTGCCTCACACTGGCCTCTCTCACGCTGAGAGAAGTCCTCCCTCACGCTGGCCTGTTGAGGCCCAGTTCATGCCTCTGTTGGCTTCTCCAGGCCCAGCCCCTGCCTGTTGGCGGCCTCTACCTCAACAGTGGGCCCTCCACGCCCACCTCTTGCCTCGCCGTGGCCTCCTCGGGCCAGGCTCCCGCGTTGGGGCGGCCCCCGCAGGCCCAGCTCCTGCCTCACGGCCCTCCGGAGGCCAAGCTCATGCGTCAGGGCGGCCTCTCCCGGCCTGGCGTTTGCTCCTTTGCATGGGCTCCAAATCCTGCACTTCCTCCAGTCGTTCTCTCCAGGCCCAGCTCTTCCTCCCAGCAGCCTCTGCAGGACCAGACTGTCGTCAAGTAGGCCTGTCCAGGGACAGCTCCTGCCTCCCGGCAGACTCTGCAGGCCCAAGTCGTCCTCAAGTCAGCCTCCCCAGGCCCAGCTCCGGCCTCTCGGCGGCCTCTCCAGGTGCAAAAGTTCCTCGAGTCCGTCTCTCCAGGTCCAGCTCCTCCTGTCTCCCAGTGGCCTCTTTCAGCCCAGCCCAGCTCATGCCTCCCGGCGGCCTTCCCAGGCCCCGCTTCTGACTTTCCGCGGCCTCTGCAGGCCCCGAACTTGACCTCCAGTCGGCCTCTGCAGGCCTGGCCTCCTGCCTCCCGAAAGCTTGCACAGGCCCAGCCTCTGCCTCACAGCGGACTCTCCACGCCCAGCTCGCTCTCGCCTGCGGCCTCCCGAGTCCAAAGCTCCGGCCTCTCCGCCGCTTCGGCAGGCCCAGCTCCCGCCTGCCAGTGGCCTCCTCAGGCCCATGGGGCTCATTCCTCACAACGGCCTTTCCCGGCCCAGTTTTTCCCGTCCGGCGGCCTCTCCGGGCCCAGAAGCTCCTCAAGTCGGCCTCTCCAGACCCACTTGCAGCCTCCTGGCGTCCTCTCCGGGCCCAGCTCTTCCTCCCGGCTGCGTCTGCAGGCCCGGCTCCTGCCTCCCAACAACCTCTTTGGACTCAGTGCCTGCCCAGCTCGTGGTGGCCTTGGTCGGCCCACAGCTTCCTCAAGCCAAGCTCCCCAGGCCCAGCTCAGGCCTCACGGTGGCCTCTCCAGGCTCAGCTCCTGCCCTCCGACGGCGTCTCCAGGCCCCAAACGGCCTCCGGTCGGTGGGCTTCTCCAGGCCCAGCTTGGGCCTCCCGGCGGCCTCTGCAGGCCCAAGTGGTCCTGAAGTCAGCCTCTCCAGGCCCAGCTCCGGCCTCCCAGCAAGCAAGCTCTTTTGGCTCAGCTCCTGCCCAGCTCCCGCCGGCTTTTGTAGACCCTGAACTTTCTCCAGCGAAGCTCCTCAGTCCCACCTCCTGCCTCCCGGTGGCCTGTACAGGCCCAGGTCTGGCTGGAGAACAGCCTCTGCAGGCCCCGCTCTTGCCTCCCAGGGGCGTCTCCAGGCCCAGCTCTCGCCTCACGGCGGCCTCCCGGGACCAAGTCCCTGCCTGCCTCCCAGCAGCCTGTGTGCGGCCCAGCTCCTCCGTTACGGTGGCCTGTTGAGGCCCAACTCATGCCTCTGGCACCCTTTCCAGAGGCGTGAGCCCCTGCCTCACATTGGCCTCTCTCACGCTGAGGGAGGTCAGCGTGAGCCCCTGCCTCACACTGGCCTCTCTCACGCTGAGGGAGGTCAGCGTGAGCCCCTGCCTCACACTGGCCTCTCTCACGCTGAGGGAGGTCAGCGTGGGCCCCTGCCTCAAACTGGCCTCTCTCACGCTGAGGGAGGTCAGCGTGAGGCCCTGCCTCACACTGGCCTCTCTCACGCTGAGGGAGGTCAGCGTGAGGCCCTGCCTCACACTGGCCTCTCTCACGCTGAGAGAAGTCCTCCCTCACGCTGGCCTGTTGAGGCCCAGTTCATGCCTCTGTTGGCTTCTCCAGGCCCAGCCCCTGCCTGTTGGCGGCCTCTACCTCAACAGTGGGCCCTCCACGCCCACCTCTTGCCTCGCCGTGGCCTCCTCGGGCCAGGCTCCCGCCTTGGGGCGGCCCCCGCAGGCCCAGCTCCTGCCTCACGGCCCTCCGGAGGCCAAGCTCATGCGTCAGGGCGGCCTCTCCCGGCCTGGCGTTTGCTCCTTTGCATGGGCTCCAAATCCTGCACTTCCTCCAGTCGTTCTCTCCAGGCCCAGCTCTTCCTCCCAGCAGCCTCTGCAGGACCAGACTGTCGTCAAGTAGGCCTGTCCAGGGACAGCTCCTGCCTCCCGGCAGACTCTGCAGGCCCAAGTCGTCCTCAAGTCAGCCTCCCCAGGCCCAGCTCCGGCCTCTCGGCGGCCTCTCCAGGTGCAAAAGTTCCTCGAGTCCGTCTCTCCAGGTCCAGCTCCTCCTGTCTCCCAGTGGCCTCTTTCAGCCCAGCCCAGCTCATGCCTCCCGGCGGCCTTCCCAGGCCCCGCTTCTGACTTTCCGCGGCCTCTGCAGGCCCCGAACTTGACCTCCAGTCGGCCTCTGCAGGCCTGGCCTCCTGCCTCCCGAAAGCTTGCACAGGCCCAGCCTCTGCCTCACAGCGGACTCTCCACGCCCAGCTCGCTCTCGCCTGCGGCCTCCCGAGTCCAAAGCTCCGGCCTCTTCGCCGCTTCGGCAGGCCCAGCTCCCACCTGCCAGTGGCCTCCTCAGGCCCATGGGGCTCATTCCTCACAACGGCCTTTCCCGGCCCAGTTTTTCCCTTCCGGCGGCCTCTCCGGGCCCAGAAGCTCCTCAAGTCGGCCTCTCCAGACCCACTTGCAGCCTCCCGGCGTCCTCTCCGGGCCCAGCTCTTCCTCCCGGCTGCGTCTGCAGGCCCGACTCCTGCCTCCCAACAACGTCTTTGGACTCAGTGCCTGCCCAGCTCGTGGTGGCCTTGGTCGGCCCACAGCTTCTTCAAGCCAAGCTCCCCAGGCCCAGCTCAGGCCTCACGGTGGCCTCTCCAGGCTCAGCTCCTGCCCTCCGACGGCGTCTCCAGGCCCCAAACGGCCTCCGGTCGGTGGGCTTCTCCAGGCCCAGCTTGGGCCTCCCGGCGGCCTCTGCAGGCCCAAGTGGTCCTGAAGTCAGCCTCTCCAGGCCCAGCTCCGGCCTCCCAGCAAGCAAGCTCTTTTGGCTCAGCTCCTGCCCAGCTCCCGCCGGCTTTTGTAGACCCTGAACTTTCTCCAGCGAAGCTCCTCAGTCCCACCTCCTGCCTCCCGGTGGCCTGTACAGGCCCAGGTCTGGCTGGAGAACAGCCTCTGCAGGCCCCGCTCTTGCCTCCCAGGGGCGTCTCCAGGCCCAGCTCTCGCCTCACGGCGGCCTCCCGGGACCAAGTCCCTGCCTGCCTCCCAGCAGCCTGTGTGCGGCCCAGCTCCTCCGTCACGGTGGCCTGTTGAGGCCCAACTCATGCCTCTGGCACCCTTTCCAGAGGCGTGAGCCCCTGCCTCACATTGGCCTCTCTCACGCTGAGGGAGGTCAGCGTGAGCCCCTGCCTCACACTGGCCTCTCTCACGCTGAGGGAGGTCAGCGTGGGCCCCTGCCTCAAACTTGCCTCTCTCACGCTGAGGGAGGTCAGCGTGAGGCCGTGCCTCACACTGGCCTCTCTCACGCTGAGGGAGGTCAGCGTGAGGCCCTGCCTCACACTGGCCTCTCTCACGCTGAGGGAGGTCAGCGTGAGGCCCTTGCCTCACACTGGCCTCTCTCACGCTGAGAGAAGTCCTCCCTCACGCTGGCCTGTTGAGGCCCAGTTCATGCCTCTGTTGGCTTCTCCTGGCCCAGCCCCTGCCTGTTGGCGGCCTCTAGAGGCCCAGCCTCTACCTCAACAGTGGGCCCTCCACGCCCACCTCTTTCCTCGCCGTGGCCTCCTCGGGCCAGGCTCCCGCCTTGGGGCGGCCCCCGGAAGCCCAGCTCCTGCCTCACGGCCCTCCGGAGGCCAAGCTCATGCGTCAGGGCGGCCTCTCCCGGCCTGGCGTTTGCTCCTTTGCATGGGCTCCAGGTCCTGCACTTCCTCCAGTCGGCCTCTCCAGACCCAGCTCTTCCTCCCAGCAGCCTCTGCAGGACCAGACTGTCGTCAAGTAGGCCTGTCCAGGGACAGCTCCTGCCTCCCGGCGGCCTCTGTAGGCCCAGACTGTCTTCAAGTAGGCCTGTCCAAGGACAGCTCCTGCCTCCCGGAGACCTCTGTAGGCCCAAGTCGTCCTCAAGTCGGCCTCCCCAGGCCCAGCTCCGGCCTCTCGGCGGCCTCTCCAAGTGCAAAAGTTCCTCGAGTCAGTCTCTCCAGGCCCAGGTCCTCCTGTCTCCCAGTGGCCTCTTTCGGCCTAGCCCAGTTCATGCCTCCTGGTGGCCTTCCCAGGCCCCACTTTTGACTTTCCGCAGCCTCTGCAGATTCCGAACTTGACCTCCAGTCGGCCTCTCCAGGCCCGGCCTCCTGCCTCCCGAAGGCCTGCACAGGGCCAGTCTCTGCCTCACAGTGGGCTCTCCACCCCCAGCTAGCTCTCGCCTCACTGCAGCCTCCCAAGTCCAAATCTCCTGCCTCTTGGCCGCTTCGGCAGGCCCAGCTCCCACCTGCCAGTGGCCTCTTCAGGCCCATGGGGCTCATTCCTCACAACGGCCTTTCCAGGCCCATTTTTTCCCGTCCGACTGCCTCTCAGGACCCAGAACCTCTGGGCCCACTTGAGGAGATGCAGCCAGGAGGAACAGCTGGGCTTGCAGAGGCTGCCATGAGGGAGGCAGAGGCTGGGCCTCCTGAAGTCGGCCTCTCCAGACCCACTTGCAGCCTCCCGGCGTCCTCTCCGGGCTCAGCTCTTCCTCCCGGCTGCGTCTCCAGGCCCGACTCCGGCCTCCCAACAACCTCTTTGGACTCAGCTCCCGCCCAACTCCCGGTGGCCCTGGTTGGCCCACAACTTCCTGAAGCCAAGCTCCCCAGGCCCAGCTCAGGCCTCACGGTGGCCTCTCTAGGCTCAGCTCCTGCCCTCCGACGGTGTCTCCAGGCCCCGAACGGCCTCCAGTCGGTGGATTCCTCTATGCCCAGCTTGGGCCTCCCGGCGGCCTCTGCTGGCCCAAATCGTCCTGAAGTCGCCCTCTCCAGGCCCAGCTCCGGCCTCCCGGCGGCCTCTCCAGGCGCAACGCATCGTCAACGAGGGCCCCTCCGGGGCCAGCTCCTGCCTCTCGTCAGCCTCTAGAGACCCAGCCTCTGCCTCCCGCATGGCGGCCTCTGCAGGCCCAGACTGCCCTTGAGTCAGGCTCTCCAGGGCCAGCTCCAGCCTCCCGGCAGACTCTGCAGGCCCAAGTCATCCTCAAGTCGGCCTGGAAGTGGGCCTGGAAGAGCTGCACGTTGGCCTCCCCGGGCCCAGCTCCGTCCTCTCGGCGGCCTCTCCAGGTGCAAAACTTCCTCGAGTCAGCCTCTCCAGGTCCAGCTCCTCCTGCCTCCCAGTGGCCTCTTTCAGTCCAGCCCAGCTCGTGGCTGTAGGCAGCCTTCCCAGGCCCTGCTTTTGACTTTTGGCGGCCTCTTCAGGCCCAGAACTTGATCTCCAGTCAGCTTTTGCAGGCCCGGCATCCTGCCTCCCGAAGGCCTCTTTCAGCCCAGCCCAGCTCGTGGCTGTAGGCAGCCTTCCCAGGCCCTGCTTTTGACTTTTGGTGGCCTCTTCAGGCCCAGAACTTGATCTCCAGTCAGCTTTTGTAGGCCCGGCATCCTGCCTCCCGAAGGCCTGCACGGGCCCGGCCTCGGAATCACAGCAGACTCTCCACGCCCAGCTAGCTCTCACCTCACTGTGGCCTCCCCAGTCCAAAGCTCCTGCCTTTCGGCCGCTTCGGCAGGCCCAGCTCCCGCCTGCCAGTGGCCTCTTTAGGCCCAGCTCATTCCTCACAATGGCCTTTCCAGGCCCCATTTTTCCCTTCCGGCAGCCTCTTGGCCTCTAATTTTTTTTATCTTTTGTGTATAAATCCCAAAATATGGAATTTTGGAATATTTCCACCATTATATAAATATTTTGGTAGGTAATTTATTTGGAGTGAGTTTCTGCACCAAGCCCGAATTTTTTATTTTATTTTCCTTATTATTTGGTGTTAAACAGGTTTAATGACAGTCATGGCAACTTTTTGGCACAATAGAAAATATCGCCCATGATCAACGTGTTCTGTTCTGGGGAAGGGGGCAAAGGCAGGGTGAATCACTTTCTTAAAAAGTACAACTCAAGTTGGGAGTGCAGAGGGAATCGGGAGAAAACCCTCCCGCTGCCTGTGTCGAAGTGCAGGAGCCCCCACCCCCATACTCACCTGAGTCCAGCCCCTCTGGAGAAAGAAGGGGTGCATGAACTCCCCCTATTCCACAGGCACCTCCCTGTGGCCCAAGGCCCTCTTCACACTCCATCTTGTAGCCCCAGCAGGAGCTATTTTCCGAAAAGTGAAAAGCTCTGAAGGTCCCACACTTCATGGTATGTACAGGGGCTCAGAGGAGGGAAACTGCCCAGCTTTCCCCCGGCACAGCTGCAGGGGTAGGGGGTATATATAAGAGGAGCAGGCCTTGGCCAGGCGTGGTGGCTCACACCTGTAATCACAGCACTTTGGGAGGTGGAGGCCGGTGGATCACGATTTCAGGAGATTGAAATCAGCCTGGCCAAGATGGTGAAGCCCCGTCTGTACTAAAAATACAAAAATTAGCCGGACGTGGTAGCGTGCACCTGTAATCCCAGCTACCCAGAAGACTGAGGCAGGAGAATGGCGTGAACCCGGCAGTAAGAGGTTGCAGTGAGCCAAGATCTCACCACTGCACTCCAGCCTGGGTGACAGAGCCAGACTCCGTCTCAAAAGGAAAAAAAAAAAAAAAGCAGGCCTTATTCCTTCCCAAACTGAAAGGATTAAATGGCTTTATCCTGGAGAAGATAACCATCCTGCCCTCCATTGCTACCCCCACATAGTGTCCGTGTTCTCAGGGGGTACTGCGAGTCCTGGGATCTTCTTTGGGGTCGCCCACCTGCCTGTGGTAGTTATGGAGGGACCCAGGTGTTGAGGCAGGGCTGGGGTGTCCCCTTCCAGCCAGGCTGTCGAGGCCCCAGCTCTGGGGCAGAGGCAGTGGCAGGGCAGCCAGGGTTGCGCCAGAGCCTGAGCAGGGTGAGGTGGGGTCAGACAGGGCTGGGAGTCAGGGCAGGGGCAGCAGCAGTGGACCCACTATGCACACATCTTCTTCTCCAAGGTTTGTGTGCAGAGCATCCTGCCCATGCTGCCCCAGCAGCTTCAGTTGGCACCTGCC
Organism: Homo sapiens; assembly: GCF_000001405.40. Lineage (NCBI taxonomy): Eukaryota > Metazoa > Chordata > Mammalia > Primates > Hominidae > Homo > Homo sapiens. Next base: position 63,768,537 of record NC_000007.14, read on the forward strand.
CCAGTCCAGCCTCTGGGACCCATGCAGCGGCTCCCAGCGGCCCTGCACCCACCACCAGCATCCGTTTCACCTGCAGTTGAAGATCCGTGAGGTGCCCAGAAGATCATGCAGTCATCAGTCCCACGGAGCAGCCCGCGAGGCTGAGCCTCCTCCCACTGGACCGCCCCCCAACTGGCACCATTGCTGCCCCTGCCCCTACTCTCAGCCTCACGTGACTCTTGGGCAGAGGCAGTGGTGGGGCAGCCAGGGCAGCGTCAGAGTCTGAGCCAGGTGAGGTGGGGACAGGACCCCCTCAGGGCTGGGAGTCAGGGCAGGGGCAGAACAAACCTTGGAGGGGAAGATGTGTGCATAGTGGGCCTGGAGAGCGGCTGTGGCCTAGTGGACAGGAAGAAGCAGTGGGCCTGGAAAAGCTGCACGATCAGGGCCGGCACTGGTCCAGGGCGCGTGCAGTGAAGAGGACAGCGCCTTCTCGGTCTCCGGTTCCCTGAGCCCGTCCTTGGCTTCTCCACCTGTACAGGCAAAGGGGAAGCTGTCCCCATCACACATGGCACACTTGGGGGTGTTGGGCTTTGGGCTGCAGATGGAGCATCTTCTCATCTTGCATTTGGGTGTGGTGGGGTCGTCCAGTGCGGGATCCATGTCCGTGGGGTTCCCTCTGCCCCAACCCCCAAAGCCCAGTTTCTCCTCTTCAGGCTCTGCCCCCTGGGTGGCTCAGCCCAGCTCCTGCCTAGGAAAGCCTTAGTGTTGGGAGGGACTGCGATGACTGAGGGGCCTGGTAGCTCCAGGTCGCCCACACTTTCAGGTCTCTTGCACCAGAAGGTGGAAGGATCCATTGGGAGGAAACAGGTCACCTTGGAAGGCATCCCTGGGCCCCCATCCCCAGGGGTTGGGGCCGTAGGGGGCCCACTCTGCTGCCCTGACCAGACTCCTAGGCTTTGAAGGCTCCTGGGCCCAGTAAGAAGGAGGTGGGTGCCAAGGTTGAGGAGGAAGCATCCGAGTATGTGTAGGAGGAGGAGGGGGTGGGACCATGGACTTTGCCAAAAACTGCAGATGGATCGGGGGACCCTGGGGGCTCAGGATCCAGCAAGGGGCGGCAGGAGTAAAGGAGGAAGGAATGACAGGTGCAAATACCTTCCCACCAAAGCCCTTGTTGCCCTCTGGCTCCTCCCCAGAGCTGTCACCACTCTCAGTCGGTCACCCACTCCTTGAACTTGAGATCAGTGTCAGTGGTGCTAAAGCCGTCATCAGCAATGACATTGTCACCCCCTCCTCCTCATGGATGACCATGTGCTCCTCATCACTCACTATGTCGTCACTGGCCATGTGCTGGGAATGAGCAGCTCAGGTGGGCAGCAGCAGGGCTGCCTACTGGTCACCTCCCTCACCAGGGGCTGCAAAGTGGCCTGGAGCTCCATACTGAGTAGAAGGCTTTGGGCCAGAGTATGATGCAGTGCCAGACACCACTTCTGTCAGTTCCTGTAGTGCCTGACGGTCTATTTCCCTGCCGTCCAGGCTGTGTACACCCCTGTGGGAGAAGGCTTGGGCCAGGCTGAGCCAGGTTCCCTGTATGCAGCCGTTCTGCCCCACAGAAGCTGCTCCTTGGTATCCGAGCTCTGGAGTGTCTGGGCTGCAACTGACAGGAGTTCAGAGGACACCCCAGGGGCAGTGGCAGTGCTCGTCTCTGATATACTCTGCTCCCAGGAGCCCTTGTATACTCCTGCTAGCCCCTGGCTTGTGGGCTTGGCCTCTGAGCTGTACTTCTTTCGGTCCCTGTTGCAAGTGGGCCACCTTCACCTGGAAGGCCAGGTCGTGGTACTTCTGCATCTCATTGGGCCCCAGGGTGTACCACCGCTCGCTCAGGATCTGGCAGACGGTCCGGTTGTCCTGGTTGGGGTGACCCTGGTGCGCCCTGCCAGGGCCTGGTGCCGCTTGCTGAAGCTCATGACCACCACTTATGGGCCACGGGATGTGGTCCTTGTCCCATTTGTTGGGGCTGCATCCATCCTTCTCAGAAGATGAGTCCTGTTCCTTGCGCAGGGCACTGAGGGACTGGGCCTGACATCATCTGAGTGGTAGAGGCAACTGGGTGTCAGGAGACATGACGGAGAGGAAAGCATCATCGTGGTCATTCTCTGTCTCATTGTCCAGCAGGGACTCCTCTGAGGGGCCCAGGGCTCCTCCTCCATGGTGGGAGGTGGGCCCTTACCAGGTTCCACCACCCCCAAAGTGTGTGGGGTTCTGGGCCCTGGGCTTTCAGGGCAGGTGGCTCCAGGGGGCCACCCAGGGTCAACACTCCCTGTCCCACCTGGTGGATGCTCATGAGCAACAGCTGCCAACTTGGCAGGTTGTTTGCTCTGGTTGGAGGCCACTGAGTGACTGGCAGGTTGCTGGGCCTCGTGTGGCTCCAGGGAGGGGTCAGGAAGGGGACGGAGTACCAGGGGAACACGGCCACAGAGTGAGGTTCCACATTCCTCCACACGAACACGCTGACGCCACGGGAGGCCTCGCTGGACACAGTCCTGTGGGCCGAGTACTTGGTCTGGGCAGGGGGTTCCTGGCAGGGGCTCACACCTCCTCAGCCCCCTCCTCAGCCAAGGTGTCTTGGGCCCAGAGAAGGGGGTTTGGAGAGGAGCAGAAGGCCAGGCCTCAAGTTTTGTTTTTTGTTTTTGAAATGTAGTTTGACTCTTGTCACCCAGGTTGGAGTGCAGTGGCACAATCTCAGTGGCCTTCATACCTGGCTAATTTTTTGTATTTTTATTAGAGGTGGGGTTTCACCATGTTGGCCAGGCTGGTCTTGACCTCCTGACCTCAGGTGATCCACCCACCTCAGCCTCCCAAAATGGGATTACAGGCATGAGCCACCGCTCCCAACTTCATTCATTTTTACTTGAAAAACTCCCTTAAGCATTTTTTTAAGGTAGACCTAGTGGTCCTGGTGGCCGCCGTGATGCATGAGCTTGGCCTCCGGAGGGCCTCCGCGAGGCACGAGCTGGGTGTGTGGAGGCAGCCCCGAGGCGGGGAGCCTGGCCCGAGGACGCCATGGCGAGGCAAGAGGTGGGCCTGGAGGGCCCACTGTTGAGGTAGAGGCTTGGCGTCTAGAGGCCGCCAACAGGCAGGGGCTGGACCTGGAGAGGCCACCAGAGGCATGAGCTGGGCCTCAACAGACCAGCGTGAGGGAGGACCTCTCTCAGCATGAGAGAGGCCAGTGTGAGGCAGGGGCTCACGCCTCTGGACAGGGTGCCAGAGACACGAGTTGGGCCTAAACAGGCCACTGTGAGGGAGGAGCTGGGCCGCTCGCCGACTGCCGGGAGGCAGGCAGGGACTTGGCCCCAGGAGGCCACCGTGGGGTGAGAGCTGGGCCTGGAGAGGCCCCTGGGAGGCAAGAGCGGGGCCTGCAGAGGCTGTTCTCCAGCCAGAGCTGGGCCCGTACAGGCCACCGGGAGGCAGGAGGTAGGCCTGAAGAGCTTGGCTGGAGAAAGTTTGGGGCCTCCAAAGGCCAGCGGGAGCTGGGCAGGAGCTGAGCCAAAACAGATTGCTTGCTGGGAGGCAGGAGCTGAGCCAAAACAGATTGCTTGCTGGGAGGCAGGAGCTGGGCCGGGAGACGCAGCCAGGAGGAACAGCTGGGCCTGGAGAGGCCGCCAGGCGGGAGGCAGAGGCTGGGCCTCTAGAGGCTGATGGGAGGCAGGAGCTGGCCCTGGAGGGGCCCTCATTGAGGACGCGTTGCACCTGGAGAGGCCACCGGGAAGCCGGAGCTGGGCCTGGAGAGGCCGACTTCAGGACGACTTGGGTCTGCAGAGGCCGCTGGGAGGCCCAAGCTGGGCCTGGAGGACCCCACCGACCAGAGGCCATTTGGGGCCTGGAGATGCCATCGGAGGGCAGGAGCTGAGCCTGGAGAGGCTACCGTGAGGCCTGAGCTGGGCCTGGGGAGCTTGGCTTGAGGAAGCTGTGGGCCTACCAAGGCCTCCAGGAGCTGGGCAGCAACTGAGTCCAAAGAGGTTGTTGGGAGGCAGCAGTCGGGTCTGGAGACGCAGCTGGGAGGAACAGCTGGGCCCGGAGAGGCTGAATGGAGTAAATTCAGGGCCTGGAGAGGATGGGGCCCCACTCCTCTGACTGTGGTGGAGGAGCCTCTGCCTCCCTCCTGGCTGCCTCTCCAGGCCCAACTCTTCCTCCCGGCTATGTTTCCAGGCCCAAATTCTGCCTCACAACCAATGACCTCTTTTGGCTCAGCTCCTTCCAGCCTTTGTAGGGCCAAAACTTTCTCCAGTCAAGCTCTTTAGGCCCACCTCCTGCCTAGCGGGGGGCTGCACAGACCCAGCTCTAGCTTGAGAAGAGCCGCTGCAGGCCCCACTCCTGCCTCCCAGGGGACTGTCCAGGCCCAGCTCTCACCTCACGGCGACTTCCCAGGGCCCATTTCCTGCCTGCCTCCCGGCAGCCCTGACAGGCTGAGCTCCTCCCTCACGGTGGCCTCTTTAGGTCCAACTCATGCTTCTTGCATCCCGCCCTGGTGTCAGCTCATGCCTCACACTGGCCTCTCTAGGCCGAGGTCCTCCCTTACGCTGGCCTGTTGAGGCCCAGATCATGCCTCTCGTGGCCTCTGCAGGCCCAGCTCCTGCCTGTCGGCGGCCTCTACAGGCCCGGCCTCTACCTCATGGTGGGCACCTCCAGGCCCAGCTCCTGCCCAGCTCCTGGCGGCCTTTGTAGGCCAAAAACTTCAAGCAAAGCTCTCGAGGCCCAGCTCGGGCCTCACTGTGGCCTCTCCAGGCTCGGCTCCTGCCCTCTGGTGGCATCTCCAGGCCCCAGACTTTCTCCAGTTAGCTTCTCGAGGCCCAGCTTGGGACTCCCGGCAGCCTCTGCAGGCTCAAATCGTCCTGAAGTCCTCTCCATTTCCAGCTCCGGCCTCCCCACGGCCTCTCCAGGCGCAGCACATCCTCCAAGTGGCCCCTTCAGGGCCATCTCCTGCCTCCCATTGGTCTCTACAGGCCCAGCCTCTGCCTCCCTCATGGCTGCCTCTCCAGGCCCAGCTCTTCCTCTCAGGTCCATCTACAGGCCCAACTCCTGCCTCACAACACACCTCTTTTGACTCAGCTCCTGTCCAGCTGTCCTAAGCCTTTGTAGGCCCAAAACTTTCTCCCGCTAAGCTATTTAGGCCCACCTTCTGCCTCGCAGTGGCCTGTACAGACCCAGCTGTGGCTTGAGAACAGCCTCTGCAGGCCCTGCTCTTGCCTCTGAGGGGCCTCTCCAGCTCCAGCTCTCACCTCACTGTGGCTTCCCAGGACCTAGTTCCTGCCTGCCTCCCAGCAGCCTCGACAGGCCCAGCTCCTCCCTCAGAGTGGCCTGTTCAGGCCCAACTTATGCCTCTGGCCACCTTCCCAGAGGTGTGAGCTCCTGCCTCACGCTGGCCTCTGTAGGCCGAGGTCCTCCCTTATGCTGGCCTGTCGAGGCCCAGCTCATGCCTCTCCTGGCCTCTCCAGGGCCAGCCCCTGCCTGTTGGTGGCGTCTAGAGGCCCAGCCTCTACCTCGCAGTGGGCCCTCCTGGCCCACCTCCTTCCTCACCGTGGCCTACTCAGGGCAAGCCTCCTGCCTTTCGGCAGCCTCTGCAGACCCAGCTCCTGCCTCCCAGTGGCCTCCATACGCCAAGCTCATGCCTCACAGCAGCCTTTCCAGGCCTAGCATTTGCTCCTTTGCATCCTCTCCAGGTCCTGAACTTCCTCTAGTCGGCATCTCCAGGCCCAGCTTTTCCTTCCAGCAGCCCCTGCAGGCACAAGTCATCCTCAAGTCGCCCACCCCGGGCCCAGCTCTTGCCTCTTGGCGGCCGCTCCAGGTGCACAACTTCATCAAGTCGGCCTCTCCAAGCTCAGCTTCTCCTGCCTCCCAATGGCCTCTTTAGGCCTAGCCCAGCTCATGCCTCTCGGCAGCCTTCCCAGACCCAGCTTTTGACTTTTGTCTGCCTCTTCACGCCCAGAACTGGACTTCCTGTCGGCCTCTCCTGGCCCAGCCTCTTGCATCCTGAAGGCCCGTACAGACCCTGCCTCTGCCTCACAGCTGACTCTCCACACTGAGCTCTTGCCTCACTGTGACCTTCCCAGTCCAAATTCTTGCGTTTCAGCAAGTTCGACAGGACCAGCTCCTGCCTTCAAATGGCCTCTTTAGGCTTACCTCATTCCTCTCAACAGCCTCTCGAGGTCGAGTTTTTTCATTTTTGCAGCTTCTGTAGGCCCAGAACTTTCTCAAGTCTGCCTCTCCAGGTCCAGTTGCTGTCTCCAGGCATCCACTTCTTCCCCTTTTCTTCCTACATTTTGTGTCTAAAGGTTCAGCTTTTGCCTCACAACGTCCTCTTTGGATTAGCTCCTGTGCAGCTCCTCGCCTTTGTAGACTCAAATCTTTCTCAAGTTGAGTCCTCCGGTTTCACTGCCTTCCTGGTGGCTCCCTGAACAGGCCCAGCTTTTGCCTGACAATTGCTTCCCCAGGCTGCCTCAACAGACCCAGCTCTTGCCTCACACTGGCCTCTCTAAGCCCAGCTGCTGCCTCTCACTGTCCTCACCTGGCTCATCTCTTTCCTCACATCTGCCTCCCAAGTCCCAGCTCCTGTCTCACAGTTGTCTCAGTTATACCAGCTCCTTTCTCATGATGGCCTCTTCTGGCCCATCTTCGGCCTCATAGTGGCCAGTCGAACCCATGATGGCCTCTTCTGGCCCATCTTTGGCCTCATAGTGGCCACTGGAACCCATCATCTGCCTCATCATGGCCTCTTCTGGCTTTGCTTTTGCTTTGCAGTCACCTTTTCCAGATCCCGCTTTTTAGTCTTTAATGGTCAACAGCATCAAGGAGCCTAAAGCTTCCCTGGACTCTTATTTGTTGGTAACTTCACTGCACAGCAGAGTGCCTTAGCAAAACACCTGTCTCTTCTTTTAACCTTGACAGTGGATTTCTGACAAATTTATAATAAATTCTGCCTGTGTGGTTTCATAGTGATGTTTGTTTTATTTAGTGTCTCATAGTTTTTCTTGTCTTCTTTGGGTGGGAGTCAGAATGAGCCTCTGCTTGGGCCCTTTTTCTTTGCTCTGGACATGGTAGCTTCTCACTTCATGTTTTCTATATTTATATTTTTTTACAGTTATCTTTTTTGTTTTGTTAGGGTCTTGCTCTGTCACCCAGGCTGGAGTGTAGTCGTGTGATCATGGCTCACTGCAGCCTTGGCCGTTTGGCCTGAAGTGATTCTCCCAACTCAGCCTCTTGAGTAGCTGATGCTACAGGCACATGCCACAATGCCTGGCTAATTTCTAATTTTTTCTGAGAAGTTGGTTCTCACTTTGTTGCCCAGGCTGTTCCCAGACTTTCGGACACAAGCAATCGTTTTGCCTGAGCCTCCCAAAGTGCTGTGATCACAAGCATGAGCCACCATGCCTGGCCTGCTATTTGCTTGTCATGAACTATTAAGAATTTACTTTTTCATTAATATACTATTTCTATATAGATTTATGTATATATAGATATTTTACATTTTTCACGGATACCAATTTTTTCCCTTTTTTGAGGCAAGGTATGACTTTGTCATTAAGGATGGAGTGCAGTGGTATGACCCCGGCTCACTGCAACATCTTCTTTCTTGGCTTAAGTGATCCTCCCATCTCAGCCTCCTGAGTAACTTTAACCCCAGGTACAAGCCGCCATGCCCAGGTAATTTTTATATTTCTTGTAGAGAGGGGGTCTCACCATGTTTCCAAGGCTGGTTTCAAACTCCAAGTCTCAAGTGATCCTTCCCCCTCAGCCTCTTGCAGTGCTGGGATTACAGGTGGGAGCCACCACACCTGGCCTACCATTTTCTTTTCATGGATCATTAAGAATTTACTTTATGCCAGCACGGTGACTCATGCCTGTAATCCCAGCACTTTAGGAGGATGAGGTGGGTGGATTACGAGGTCAGGAGTTCAAGACCAGCCTGGCCAAGATGGTGAAACCCCGTCTCTACCAAAAATACAAAAATTAGCCTGGTGTGGTGGCAGGCGCCTGTAGTCCTAGCTACTCCAGAGGGTGAGGCAGGAGAATTGCTTGAACATGGGAGGCAGAGGTGGCAGTGAGCTGAGATCATGCCACTGTACTCCAGCCTGGGTGACAGAGTGAGACTCTATCTCAAAAGAAAAAAAAAGAATTTATTTTTTTATTAGTATAATGTAAATACATAAATGTGTGTATATATTCATATGTGAATATATGTGTGTATGTATCTTCACAGCATACACACACACACATACACACACACATACATTGTGAAAGATATATTTGAATACCTAGAAATTGATAAGCTTCTTCCAGGTTTTGAAACCACCCTTAGCACAAACACGAAAGAAGTACAAACTATCATTATTAATGACCATGGACCAAGATGACCATGAGTCAATAGTACTTTGTACCTCAACCACCTTCCAGCAGAGCATCTCAAAGGGCTGGATATATCTGAACATCACATGCTTTCACACAGACTAGCATGGTTTGTAATTATTACTTCTATTAAAAACTCAGTGTGATCCTTGTCAGGGTGAAATCAAACTATTTCTCAAATCATAGAGATACTGAATAACAGCTTTGGTCAGGAAATAGGTATTGCATTTGGTTTGTCATGACAAGCTCCTGGCCTAGGCAGATGGAATATAGCAGAAATGTGTGTGTGTGTGAACATTCTTGCGCACAGATGTGGGGGTGGAAGTGGGGGGATTGAATTTGATAAAACCAGCAGGGGGCAGGCTGCTGGAAAGGGGGAAATTGTTTTGGCAGTAGCTGTGTATCTCTAGAACCAGGAAATGCTTGTAATCCACATTTTTGTCTCCTGGAAAATAAAGATTATAAGGGCCAGGCGCAGTGGCGCATGCCTGTAATCCTAGCACTTTGGGAGGCCGAGGCAGGTGGATCACGAGATCAGGAGATCGAGACTATCCTGGCTAACATGGTGAAACCCAGTCTCTATTAAAAATACAAAAATTGGCCGGGCGCGGTGGCTCACGCCTGTAATCCCGGCACTTTGGGAGGCAGAGGCGGGCGGATCACGAGGTCAGGAGATCGAGACCATCCTGGCTAACACGGTGAAACCCCGTTTCTACTAAACATACAAAAAATTAGCCGGGCGTGGTGGCGGGTGCCTTTAGTCCCAGCTACTCGGGAGGCTGAGGCAGGAGAGTGGCGTGAACCTGGGAGGCAGAGCTTGCAGTGAGCCAAGATTGCACCACTGCACTCCAGCCTGGGCGATGGAGCGAGACTCTGCCTCAAAAAAAAAAAAAAAATTAGCCAGGCTTGGTGTCGGGCACCTGTAGTCCCAGCTACTCAGGAGGCTCAGGCAGGAGAATGGCCTGAACCCGGGAGGTGAAGGTTGCAGTGAGCCGAGATCATGCCACTGCACTCCAGCCTGGGTGACAGAGTGAGACTCCATCTCAAAAATAAAACAAAATAAAAAAATAAATAAAGATTATAATTCCTGCCTTGATATGTGGACTATGTGATCCGCTGTATGCAAAATATCTAGTATATAATAGGTGCTGAATTAATACTACTTTCTGTACCTCATTCTTAATCATTGCTTAATTTTAAAAAGTTTAGAGTGACTACTGCTTTTGTAAAAAATATTTTTAATTATTATATAAAATCTAAGTCCTGTAGAAAAGTACAAAGCAGGCCGTGTGCTATAGCTCACACCTGTAATCCCAGCACTTTGGGAAGGCAGGGTAGAAGGATTGCTCAAGGCCAGGAGTATGAGACCAGCATGAGGAACATAGCAAGATCCCATCTCTAAAAAATTAAAAGCCAGTTATAGTAATGTACACCTGTAGTCCCAGCTACTTGGGAGGCTGAGGCAGGTGGGTCACTAGAATCCAGGGGTTTGAGATCGCAACCTGGGTAACAGAGTGAGACCCTGTCAGAGAGGGAGAGCGAGAGAGAGAAGAGAAAGCAAAACAAGAAAAGTACAAAGAAGCAAGTAATAAATCATGAAATTTTCAACCACCAAAAAATAACTTAACATTATGTGATATGACCAGGCCTGATAGCTCATGCCTGGCTGAGGCACGATAATCTCTTAAGTCTCGGAGGCAGAGGTTGCAGTGAGCCAAGATTACACCATTCCACTCCAGCCTGGGCAACAGAGAGAGAGAGACTCTGTGTCAAAAAAAAAAAAGTGATAATTCACACCTCTTTTTGTGCAAATAGGTAGTTAAGTAAGTAGATGTATTAATGGATTAAAAATAACTTTGCCTGGTGCAGTGGCTCACGCCTGTAATCCCAGCACTTTCGGACGGTGAATTGGGCAGATCACGAGGTCAGGAGATCGAGACAATCCTGGCCAACATGGTGAAACCCTGTTTCTACTAAAAATAGAAAAATTAGCTGGGCATGGTGGCGGGTGCCTGTAATCCCGGCTACTTGGAAGGGTGAGGCAGGAGAATCACTTGAACCTGGGAGGCGTAGGTTGCAGTGAGCCAAAATTGCACCACTGCACTCCAGCCTGGCAACAGAGAGACACTGTCTCAAAAAAAAAAAAAAAACTTTACATATTTTATATGTGTTTTAGTTCAAATATATATAATATTTATTTTGCTTGATACAACAGAAGCTGAAGAAACTAAAGTAAGGTGGGAGAATTTCTGAACTTCAGATAAAAGTCTACGTGAAGGTCATATCTTTTTATTCAACATTCATTAAAATTATGAAAAAAGATACAAAAGTATCATGATTCTTTTTAACCTGCAGTTTCTATTTTCACCCACAGCTGCTGTATTTTTGGAATTGATGCATGTTTGAGAGTTTCTGTTTAATGCGTTTATACTTGAATAACTATTCTATTATTATTATTATTATTAGTTGAGACAGAGTCTTGCTCTGTCACCCAGGCTGGAGTGCAGTGGTGCTCACTGCAACTTCTGCCTCCCGGGTTCAAGTGATTCTCCTGCCTCAGCCTCCTGAGTAGCTGGGATTATAGATGCACGCTACTATGCCCAGCTGATTTTTGTATTTTTAGTAGAGACAGAATTTCACCATTTTGGCAAGGCTGGTCTCGAACTCCTGACCTCAAGTGATCCACCCTCCTTGGCCTCCCAAAGTGCTGGGATTATAGGCGTGAGCCACCACAACGGGCCTGGGAGAATATTCTTGATTCATTTTCCTTTTCTTTGTTCTTCCTTTAAGTTCTGACTTTATTGTCATCTAGCTCTATCTGGGGTTATGGGAAGCTCTGAGGCTGGCTGGAGGTTCTTCTCACATGTACTTATGTTTTCCTGCCCAAAGGCCAGTGGAGTACTTTCTTTATCATTGAAGCTCTGTAGCTTAGCCAGGGTTGGCTCGAGGCCAGTCATTCCTTACTAGATTTTCCAGACCTCAGCTCACACATCACCTTGGCAGAGAAATCCTCCCTCATCCTGTGGAGAGGGAGGATTCATTGCCTCATTCTGCCTGGTTCTCTCAAAGCAGATATCACACTCAAAAATCAGCTTGCTATTTATTGAATTGCTTGCCTACATATCCTCCTCCCAAACTCACACCAAATCAGAACAAAGGCTCCCTGCAGCAGGAGTCCCATCTTAGTCATTCTCAGAACCTAATATAGTACTTGGCACATAGTAGGTGCACACTAAATGTCATTAGAATGAATAAGTATCAAGGGCCCGGGTGCAGTGGCTCATGCCTGTAATCCCAGGACATTGGGAGGCCGAGGCAGGTGGATCACCTTTAGGTTAGGAGTTCCAGACCAGACTGGCCAACATGGTGAAACCTCGTCTCTGCTAAAAATACACAAATTACCTGGGCATGCTTGTACACACCTGTAATCCCAGCTACACGGGAGCCTGAGGCAGGAGAACCACTTGAATCTGGGAGGTGGAGGTTGTAGTGAGCCAAGATTGTGCCATCACACTCCAGCCTGGGTGACGGAGTGAGACTGCATCTCAAAAAATAAATAAAAAGAACAAAAAAAGAATGAATAAGTATCAAGGAAGGGAGATTTTGTGATTTGCCACCTTTACATGGAAATCCTGCTTAACATTGACATTTTCTATTTGATGGTATTTGTATAATAAGAAACTGAAACTGAGCTAATTAAAAGAGAATGAGGCTGGGCACAGTGATTCATGCCTCTAATCCCAGCACTTTGGGAGGCTGAAGGGGGAGGATCATTTGAGAGTAACATTTTGAGACCAGCCTGGGCAACATACAGAGATCCCTGTCTCTGCAAAAATAACATTTAAAAAAATGAACCAGGTGTGCCAGGTGCAGGGCTCATGCCTGTAATCTCAGCACTTTGGGAGGTTAAGGCAGGTGGATCACCTGAAGTCAGGAGTTCAAGACCAGTGTGGCCAACATGGTGAAACCCCATCCCTACTAAAAATACAAAAATTAGCCAGTGTGGTGGCGAATGCCTGTAGTCCCAGCTACTTGGGAGGCTGAGACAGGAGAATTGCTTGAACCTGGGAGGCAGATTTGTAGTGAGCTGAGATCAGGCCATTACACTCCAGCCTGGGTAGCAAGAGTAAACTTCATCAGATGTGGTGGCACATGCCTGTAGTCCTAGCTCCTCGGGAGGCTGAGGGGAGAGAATCTCTTGAGCCTAGGAGATAGAGGCTGCAGTGAGCCATGATTGAACCACTGCACTCCAGCTTGAGAGTCAGAGCTAGACCTGATAGCTAAAAACAAAACAAAAAAACCGGGCGCAGTGGCTCATGCCTGTAATTCCAGGACTTTGGGAGGCCTAGGCGGGTGGATCACCTGAGGTCAGGAGTTCAAGTCCAGGTTGGCCAACATGATGAAACACCGTCTCTACTAAAAAATACAAAAATTAGCCGGGCATGGTGGCAGGTGCCTGTAATCCCAGCTAATCAGGAGGCTGAGGCACAAGAATTGCTTGAACCCGGGAGGTGGAGGTTACAGTGAGCAGAGATCATGCCACTGCACTCCATCCTGGGTGACAGAGCAAGACTCAAAGAAAACAAAGCAAAACAAAACAAAAACACTAAAAAGAACATTCCAGCTGCTTGTTAAGAGACTGGACATAGATGGACAATAAAGGGAGCAGGACACCTGGTGAGGAGCTGCCATGTCAACATCTTTTGATTACTCCAGGCCACATTTTGAGCAGGGCCTCTGCTAGAATGTGGCCCAGCTTCACATGCCTCAATTCTGACACTCAGTGCTGGTAGAGGCCCTGTGATGTCACACTGTGGAGGCTTCTTGGGAAAGTGTTGGCTCTTCAAAATCAACATCTTGGTTCATTCCTTTGATGCTGGAGACAATGACTTGTCTCTCCTCATATGTCTGATCAAGACAGTTAAAAACACAGTGGAATGTCTCTTTGTCCAGGAGCTTGGGCTGCTCTGGAGTTTGCACAAACACAAATAACCATCACATGCTGTCAGGCCATGTGTCTTGGTTATGACCGTTCAGCAGTGGACGTCTACGTAGTGGAATATCCCAAACATCTCTTTAAAAAAAAAAAAGAGAGAGACAGAGAGAGACAGGGTCTCACTATGTTGCCCAGGCTGGTCTCGAACTCCTGGCCTCAAGAGATCCTCCTGCCTCAGCCTCCCCAAGTGCTGGGATTACAGGTGTGAGCCACTGAGCCTGGCCCTTTGTTGTTGTTTTTAGACAGGGTCTTTCTTTGTCATGCAGGCTGGAGTGCAGTGGCATGATTACAGCTCACTGCAGCTTCAAATTCCTGGGCTCAAGTGATCCTCCTCCCTCAGCCTCCTGAGAAGCTGGGACCACAGGCATGCACCACCAACCACATCTAGCTAAGTAAAAAAAAAATTTTTTTTCTACAGACAAGGTCTCGCTATATTGACCAGGCTGGTATTGAACTCCTGATCTAAAGCCATCCTCCTACCTCCATCTCCCTCCCACCTTGAACACCTCTTTTCCCAGGTTTGAAAATAAAATCTACTCTTTGAGAAGGAGAAAGAAATGAGTAAGACAGAAAACCAAGAAGCCAACCAGGCTTGCCTGGATAAACACTACATCCCTTAAATTGGTTTTCCTTCAATGATACAGTGATTAAGGGTTGTTTTTTTTTTTAAGTTCCTACTTGGCATGTGAATAGTTTCTTCCTCAGTAAATTTGAATCTCAAGTGTCTATTCTGTGATTGAATGAAGCAAATCTTTTACACATGGGAAACCATTATTAAATGATTTTGTTATAGAAAGGGGTGGATGGGGGCTGGGCATGGTGGCTCACGCCTGTAATCCTAGCACTTTGGGAGGCTGAGGCGGGTGGATCACCTGAGGTCAGGGGTTCGAAACCAGCCTGGCCAACATGGTGAAACCCCATCTCTACTAAAAATACAAAATTAGCTGGGTGTGGTGGTGCATGCCTGTAATCCCAGCTACTTGGGAAGCTGAGACAGGAGAATTGCTTGCACCTGGGAGGCAGAGGTTGCAGTGAGCTGAGATTGCGCCATTGCACTCCAGCGTGGGTAACAGGAGTGAAACTCCATCTCAAAAAAAAAAAAAAAGGGTGGATGGGATGGGGGCAAGACAGGGGCGGATGTCACTGTGTCTCTGTCCCTGTGCTCCCCACCCACCTTCTCTGTCCCTGCTCCCATGATGCCTGTCAAGGGGCACAGTGTGCTGAAGGAGGGGTTACCAGGTGGCATATCCAGAAGGCATAATACTTGGCTTCATGGAGTCCACTTACTTTGATCTAATTTGTTTACTCATAAAGTTCATTAAACATTCACATCAACAGCTTCTGAATATCTAAGCCAATTAAACATGGCGATGTTACTCGATTCTTAAAACAAGCTGGAGACCGGGCACAGTGGCTCACACCTGTAATCCTAACACTTTGGGAGGCTGAGGCAGGTGGATCACCTGAGGTCAGGAGTTCGAGACCAACCTGGCCAACATGGTGAAACCCCTGTCTTTACTAAAAAAAATACAAAAAAATTAGCCAGACATGGTGGTCGGCACCTGTAATCCCAGCTACTTGGGAGGCTGAGGCAGGAGAATGGCAGGAACCCTGGAGTCGGAGGTTGCAGTGAGCCAAGATCGCACCACCGCACTCCAGCCTGGGCAATAGAGCAAGACTCCATCTCAGAAAATAACAAAACAGAAACAAAATAAGCTGGAGAAGGGTTTGTTTTAGCTTCATTTTGGAAATGTGAAGACACGGAGTGAGAGGGAGTGAGTTGTCCAAATTCAGGCAGCAAGCTAAAGACCATGTGGTCCCTGGCCCTTTGCAGCCAGAGTGTGTGGGCCAACTGTGTGGTGGTATGCACTCCCCCTCCATCTGCCGGCACTACCATGTGCCGTAACTTGCCTTGTCACCTGGTGACCTGGAAGTCTTTGGTTTTCCCTGACCTTTGCCACCAGATCTGCTTACTTGCAAGTCCTGTTGGTTGTAACCTTCCCAGCCTTTCCCCGTCTTCCTCCTTTTTATCTTGTTTCATTGTTTTGTTTTCATTGTTTCAACCCAGCTATAATCATATCTGGCCAAGATTCCTCCAATAGTTCCTAGTTGGAGTCCTCCAAACTCTCTTTTTTAAACAAAGATGACTGAACAGGTAGCTCATGTCTGTAATCCAAGCACTTTGGGAGGCTGAGGCAGGAGGATCACTTGAGGCCAAGAGTTCAAGACCAGCGGGCAACAGAATGAGACCTCATCTCTACAAAAAAATTTAAAATTAGCTGGGTGAAGGAAATAATGTATACAGTGGTCCATTTCCAAGACAAAGTGGCTTAAATCAGGTTAGGCCAGCAAACTACAAAAGAAACAGTACATACTAGGTTTCTGCTTGGACACTCTATGCCTGCTTGTCACCACCCCCACCTTTTTAGTTGCCCCCACCTGAACCAAAGAAGTTTAGTCTAAGATGAAACTTTACTAGCCCACAAAATAGCTGGTTTTGTCTGTTCTTATCAGCCTGCCTAGCTACTTGGGTCATAAGTCAAATACTTGAAGAGGCTCTAAGCTAACTAGGATTGCAATGCATTGTGGGCTGCAACAAAATGCAGCAGGACAACTGTAGGAAGTAGAAAAGTTCCTCTTCAAAGCTCATCTTGGTTTAAACATAAAATAATAGACACTAGGAATAATAGCTCCTTACTCTAAAGCCTCCTATCAACTATTAGTTCTTACACTTTAGCCCATTGAGTTGCTTGGCTTACTCAGGCATGTCTGGACAGGCCCAGGCAAGTCTTAGCTCATAGTTTATGTCCCTTCCTTATTTGGAAATGTTATTACTTCCTTAAGCCTTTCATAAGCAACTTCCTCTCTTTCTTTGTTCTTCCCTGCACTTACCTATTTAGGGAAGTTTTAGGCTATTAGCAAATCGGGCATCAGTTTAAGATTGTGAGGTTCAACTCCAGCCAGTGGATGCAGGACACAGCAGTAAGGACGACCCAAATGTATAAGGGTAAATAGATCTGCTTTTCCTTTGCTCAGGTGTGCTCTTGCCATTGTTCCATCTGTGATTGAGCACCCTTTCCGCAGAAAGTAAAGATTGCCTTGCTGAGAGATCTTTTGTCTTCATGCTGACTTTTCTTCATGGCACCAATTATCTATTTCTAACAATTCTGGTATTTCTAACAACCCTAAAGAAAACACCTACAGCCCCTACCCAACAACCAATAGGCAACATCCAGGAAGATTGTGACCCCATAGTACTCAGCCTATGAGGAACCAGGGGAGGTACCTGCAGACGAAGGGATACATTGCTTGTTGAAACTGTGCTATGTGTGCCTGGTGCCAGACACCCGATCCTGCAAGACCATCATTAAAAGTCTCACTTTCTCTGTGCTCTGGGTCTCTGAGTCCATTCTTTGGGTTTGGACGGGTGCATTTGTTTCTCACACTGGGTGTGGTGGTGCGTGCGTGTAATCTCAGCTACTCAGGAGGTTGAGGCAGGCAGATGGCTGGAGCCCAGGAATCTGAGGCAGCAGTGAGCTATGATCGTGCTGTGGTGTGATCTCTGCTCACTGCAACCTCCGCCTCTCAGGCTCAAGTGATACTCCTGCCTCAGCCTCACGAGTAGCTGGGATTACAAGCACCCACCGCCATACCCCGCTAATTTTTGTATTTTTAGTAGAGACTGGATTTAACTATGTTGGTTAGGCTGGTTTCAAACTCCTGACCTCAAATAATCTGCCTGCCTCAGCATCCCCAAGTACTGGGATTACAGGCATGAGCCACTGTGCCTGGCCTCAAAAAACATTTTTTAATTAAAAAAAATATAGTCTCAGCCAGGTGTGGTGGCTCACACTTTTAATCCCAGCACTTTGGGAGGCCGGATCACCTGAGGTCAGGAGTTCGAGACCAGCCTGGGCAACATGGTAAAACCCTGTCTCTACTAAAAATACAAAAATTAGCCAGGCATGGTGGCAGGCATCTGTAATCCCAGCTACTCAGGAGGCTGAGGCAGGAGAATCACTTGAACCCAGGAGACAGAGGTTGCAGTGAGCCGAAATCATGCCACTGCACTCCAGCCTGGGTGACAGAGCAGGACTCTGTCTCAAAAAAACAAATAAAAAATTAAAATAAATAAAATGTTTAAATTATTTTAGACAAAGAACTAAGAATAGGATGGCAGGGGTGTGAGAAGTCATGGGCTTCAGGGTTCCTGCATGTACCTGAGCTCTGAGACTAAGTTTAGGTTGGCAGCCGGGGTCTTGTTTATGCCTGTCTTAAATTATTTTCAGGGTCCCAGCCCTGAGGTTCACAGAGCTTGGAGGGAGAGGACCCCAGTCGAGACACATCACAGGGGCCTTGGGATGGCAGTGTGCAGCGGAGTCTCTGCACACTTTAGGATTTAAGCCTAGATCTAGCCTGCTACAGAGCACAGGGGAGCCCCCTCTGTTTCACCTTGAGGCAAGAAGAAGGGAACACCCTAGCCCTTGATTACACTGATAAAACAGAGGAAGTGGGTTGGGAAATATTCCATTCATTATATTCTGGGAAAGAACAGATCCTCCACATCAAATTGAGTGGTGATTTATTAAAGGGAAGCCAAGGCCAGGCACGGTGGCTCATGCCTGTAATCCCAGGACTTTGGGAGGCCGAGGTGGGTGGATCATCTGAGGTCAGGAGTTCAAGACCAGTCTGGTCAACATGGTGAAACCCCATCTCTACTAAAAATACAAAAAATGGGCCCAGCGCGGTGGCTAGCGCCTGTAATCCCAGCACTTTTGGGAGGCTGAGGTGGGTGGATTGCCTGAGGTCAGGAGTTCGAGACCAGCCTGGCTAACATGGTGAAACCCTGTCTTTACTGAAAATGCAAAAATTAGCTGGGTGTGGTGGCGGGTGCCTGTAATCCCAGCTACTCAGCAGGCTGAGGTAGAAGAATTGCTTGAAAGCAGGAGATGGATGTTGCAGTGAGCCAATATTGGACCACTGCACTCTATTCTGGGCAACAGAGCAAGACTCCATCTCAAAAAAAAAAAAAAATTAGCTGGACATGGTGGCAGGCACCTGTAATCCCAGCTACTCGGGTGCCTAAGGCAGGAGAATCGCTTGAACCCAGGACATGGAGGTTGCAGTGAGCCACAGCACCATTGCACTTGAGTCTGGACAACAAGAGTGAAACTCCACCTCAAAAAAAAAAAAAAAATTAAAATAAGTACCAGGAAGCCACGTGGATGGGTGGAGAGGGAATACTAGCATCAGATGGGCTTTGGTGCTAATTGAAGCTCTACCTTTTACAGTAATTGGGCAAGTCACTCAACCCTCTCAGATTGACTTTTCTATGTAAAGTAGCTATTCCTGTGGATGGCTTAAGGGGAGTGGAAGCAAAGGTCATCAGAGTTGATGTATGACTCATCTCAGAGTTGAGGATGAAAAGTGAGGATAATAACACCTGCCTGTACCCTGGTACAGATCATAAGATGTTTATTTATTTGTGGAGACAGGGTCTCACTCTGTTGCCCAGGCTGGAGTGCAGTGGTACAATCATGGCTCACTGCAGCCTTGAACTCCCGGCCTCAAGCAATCCTCCCGCCTTGATCTACAGGGATTTACAGGCATGAGTTACTGTGCCTGGCCAGATCTCATGAAGTTTAAATATGACGTAGCATCTGGCAGGTAGACTTGCTCAGTGGAGGCCTCTTTTTTGCCTGGTGGGTCAGCAGGTCCTGTCTGTACAAATGATGTTTACTGGTCCACTCCTCCAGGTTTATAAAAATGAGCATTTTCTCTGTACTGACAATAATGAAATAAGGAAACTGAGGCTTGGAGAGGCAATATAGCCCCGCCCGAAATCACATGGGTAATAAGTCAGAGAACTAGAATTCAAACTCCAAGTCTACCTCCTGGACCCAAGCTCTTAACTTCTGTGCTATGAACTAATACCACATGGAGAATTTTGATTATTTTCTTAGCATTTACCACCATATAACTTAATATGTATTATACTTATTTATCTTGGGATGTCACTTCTGGGATTAGGTTTCAAAAAGGACTGTGAAACTGTCTCTCATTTTCTTTTTCTGTCTCTTCCTCTTTCCCCTCCCTAGCCCTGGAGTAAGCCAGCTGCTTCTTATGAAGAGGTGCAAGTGGACAAGAACTGATGTCTCCAGCCCACAGCCAGAGAGGACCTGAGGCCTGCCAGCAGCCGTCGAAGTGAGTTTCAAAGAGGATTCTGAAGCCTTGAGAGAGCTGCAGCCCTGGCTGACACCCTGATTGTATCCTCGTGAGAGCCTGAGCCAGAGGACACAGCTAACCTCACCCAGATTCCTAGCCCATGGAAACTGTGAGGAAAAAAAGTTTATTGTTTATAAAGCTGCTGAATTTGGGGCGATTTTTACCCAACAATAGATAACGAATACAAGGATATTGCTTATTACTCAACATCACTATATAAAGCCCCTGAAAAAATGGAAGCTGCAACCAGGGAAACACTGAAAATCTCCAAGAACACTGTGTTTCTTCTTAAAGACAGGGAGAAAAGCACATGCATCTGTTTTCCTTTTAGTTTTGGCCACCAGGAAGCTCAGAGCCAAATTTATGATGCAATTTTCATAATTGTGTAAGTCCCTATGGCCTGCTTATCTGTGTTCTTTTTTTTTTTTTTTTTTTTTTTGAGACGGAGTCTCGCTCTGTCGCCCAGGCTGGAGTGCAGTGGCGGGATCTCGGCTCACTGCAAGCTCCGCCTCCCGGGTTCACGCCATTCTCCTGCCTCAGCCTCCCAAGTAGCTGGGACTACAGGCGCCCGCCACTACCCCCGGCTAATTTTTTGTATTTTTAGTAGAGACGGAGTTTCACCGTTTTAGCCGGGATGGTCTCGATCTCCTGACCTCGTGATCCGCCCGCCTCGGCCTCCCAAAGTGCTGGGATTACAGGCGTGAGCCACCGCACCCGGCCCTGTGTTCTTATTCCTGGCCTTTCATTTTATTCTGACTTTTCATTTTCTTCGTCCTGATTATATTAGCTCATCTTTATATTTTTCTGTATTCTACGATTTACGACAAGCCACCTCAAATTCAGCTTACAGAGAAGCAAGGCATTCATAAAATTTTTTTTTTTTTTTTTTGAGACTGTCACTCTATTGCCCAGGCTGGAGTGCAGTGGCACGATCTCAGCTCACTGCAACCTCCGCCTCCCGGGTTCCAGCAGTTCTCATGCCTCAGTCTCCCGAGTAGCTGGGATTACAGGCGCCCACCACTACACCCGGCTAATATTTTTTTTTCGTATTTTTATTAGAGATGAGGTTTCACTATGTAGACTAGGCTGGTCTCAAACTCCTGACCTCAAGTGATCCACCTGCCTCGGCCTCCCAAAGCGTTGGGATTACAGGCGTGACCCACTGCGCCCGGCCCATAAATCATTTTTTAAAAACAGTTTTGAAATTTAAAACATAGTTTTGAACATTAAAAAAAAAAGTTTTGCACAGGTTGAACACAGAGTGCCCTTAGGTGGTAGTGGTAAGATCAAGTCATAGGAGTGTGGCTCTAAAGCTCCAAGCATTGGCCAGGGTTGATTTGGATTGGGTCAGAAATATCAAGTGATAACGACGAAAAAGGGAAAAAGGATAGCAATTGAGTGCCACGTCCAGAGGGAGGGGCCGAGGCCTCGCCCAGTCACCCACAGTGGCATCCTTGCTCCGCTCCCCGGAGTCCCTCCCCGCGCTGGCCCGCCTGGCCCCGTCCCTCCCGGCCCCGCCCCTCTCTCCCCGGGCCCCAAGCCTCGCGGGCGCCGTGGCGCGCTGCCTCAGTTTCCGCCGGCCGATCGGGCCTCCAGGGTAGTTGCGCTCTCTGTCCACTCCTTCGGCGCCTGCGCGCGCCTTCCCCGCCCCGCCCGCCTCACTCCTGTCGGGGCGGTGGGGCCGCGCGCCTGTCGGGGCGGGGCCCGGAGCAGGCGACGGAGCCAATGGGGCGGCAGCGGCGGCGGCTGAGGCGGAGGCGGAGGGAGGCAGACGGCGGCGCACGTCCTGCTGAGTGTCGGTGCCGCGGTGGGAGAAGGTGACCTGATACGCAGTGTGCGCTGCCGCCGGGATCCTGCTCTCCATCTACGCCTACCACGTGGAGCTGGAGAAGGGCGGGACGCCGAGCACCGGGCCCTCTGCGACCTGGGACCGTGGGTGAAGCGCTCCGCTGCGCTTGGCTCCAGATAGCCGGCGTGGGGGTGTGGGCCAGGGGCTGCCAAGCGGGGCGAGGGCAGAGGCTGGGGCTGGGGAGCGCGCGGTGGGAGCTCGGGCCTGGAGGCGGAGGGGACCGGGCCGCGGGGGAACTGACTGGGTCGGGGCTGGGCGGGAGGCGGCGGTCGGGCGCTCCTGCCCGGGGGCGACCCGAGCCCAGGTCGCGGGGAGGAGGTGGCGGGGCCGCGAGGTCGCCGGGGAAGAATGAGGTGGCCGAGTGCAGCCCAGAGGCTGGGGCAGATGGGGAGCGGTCGGGCGCGCTGGGGCTGGGCTGGGCAGGAGCGCGAGGGGGCTGCGGAGTGTGGGTCCCGGCGGCTTGACAGGTTTCCTCGTTCTCGGGAGGCGGGCCGGGGGTGTGGGACCCTGTCCGCAGCACCCGCGAGACCAGCGGCCGCCTCTTGTCCCCACCATCGCTGCTGCTGAGTCTTTGGGGCGGGCTCGGACCCAGGGAGGGTTATATTTCCCACTGTCTTCCTGGTGCTAGGACAGGTGTTTCCGTGATCAGGCCTCTTTGTACTCCAGCGCTAGTGAGAATTTGCAGACTTACTAGGACGGTGACATTTGCGGGCAAACACGAATTTGACCCTACTTTGGAAGAAGATAACCGGCACTTAACATATCTGATTTCTTGGATTCCCCCTCGTATATTTCGGTGTGCCAGGAGGGGGAAATGGTCTGAGTTCGAGTCTAGTTTAAGCTTCATTGGAGTAAAGGACAAGTATGTTATGTAGATGGCGGTGTTATAGGCATTGGGATGACTTTTAGACATTGTTGCTTATTAGCATAATACGATACCCACAACAGATTAAAAACACACGCTTTGCTAAACTGGAGTGATTGGTTTGTGTTACTGATCATTTTAGTTTTTTTTTAATGTTATAATTGATTTGTCTGTTACGTTTTATTTTAATGCATTGAATTTCCCTAGGCTAAAAGTTACTTTGAGAAAGGGAGAATTTACATTTTAAAAGTGGATGCGTGTTTTCTTTCTTTCTTTAATGGGGGGATTAAAAGCATAACAAAAGTCGAAGGAATGATTTCAAAATTGATAGGTTACGATTTTGATAGAGACTATGTCTGATATTTAGATGTTTGTTAACAGTAGTCACATTTGAGCGATTTCTTCCTCTCCTGTTGATTGGTAAATTTGTATGTATCAGAAATATATAGCTCACTAGTTTATTTCGACTCACATATTGTTGATTATATGAACAAGTAGCATTGGAGTTTGTCTTGTTATTGGTTACAAACTTTAGGGAGCTGATCTTTCCACTTAGCCTTTTTCATGGACCAGATACTCTATCTCATTTGCTCTTAAACAAAAATCCTGTAGCTTTTTACAGGAGAAATAATTATCACAGGGCCAAATGGAACATTTTAAAAATGCATTTAAAATGTAGGTATCAGTTTACAGGGGAAAATACATAGATGTGACAAAAAGCTCACATTTGTTGTTGGTTATTCAGAACAAAGTTAATAGGCTGATTAGACTCTCAGATACACTTTGAGAACCATTGAGTGTCTTTTATGCAAACATTTTTATGTTATTTCCACTTTTGGAAAGGACTTTTAAACTTGCAAGTACCTTTCACCCAAAGTTAGTTGAATGAATATATAAGGAATATATATAATATAATATATATAATATATATATAATATATATAATATATATAATATATATAATATATATAATATATATATAATATATATAATATATATTATATATATAATATATATATAATATATATAATATATATATAATATATATTATATATATAATATATATAATATATATATAATATATATAATTCATATATATAATGAATATATAAGGAAAACATGTAGCAGCACTTTTCAAGTATTTAAGAAACAAGAAGAACTAAAAATAACTTTTGATCCTAGTTTAATATGGAATTTAAGCAGAATTATTACCAGTTTTAGATTTTTATTTGAAACAAGTAGTCTATAATAGATGGACCTTTTAACATTGGGGCATGGAAAGAGTACTTTACTATATGCTTAAGTTGTTTTATTTTTTGAGATGGAGTCTTGCTTTTGTCACCCAGGCTGGAGAGCAATGGCGCGATCTTGGCTCGCTGCAACCTCTGCCTTCAGGATTCAAGTGATTCTCCTGCCTCAGCCTCCGGAGTAGCTGGGATTACAGACTCCCACCATCAAGCCCGACTAATTTTTGTATTTTTAGTAGAGACGGGGTTTCTGCATGTTGGCCAGGCTGGTCTCAAACTCCTGACCTCGGTTGATCTGCCTGCCTCGGCCTCCCAAAGTGCTGGGATTACAGCCGTGAACCACTGAGCCCGGCCTGCTTAAGTTCTTAAAATGGACTTTTCTTGGCTGGGCGCGGTGGCTCACACCGCAATCCCAGCACTTTGGGAGGCTGAGGCGGGCAGATCAACCGAGGTCAGGAGTTCGAGACCAGCCTTGCCAACATGGTGAAACCCATCTCTACTAAAAATACAAAAATTAGCCGGGCGTGGTGGCGCATGCCTGTAGCCCCAGCTACTCGGGAGGCTGAGGCAGGAGAATTGCTTGAACCCAGGAGGCAGAGGTTGCAGTGAGCCGAGATTGCACCATTGCACTCCAGCCTAGGTGACAAGAGTGAGACTCCATCTCAAAAAATAAAAAAAAAATGGACTTTTCTTTTAAAAAGAGAGTTTTGAACCATTTAATAAGCATACACTCTAAATATTTTCATAGTTAATGCATCCTGCAAGAGCTGTGTGTTTTTGCACCATAAAACATCAAGTAGTATATTAAAAATATATATAAGTACATGTAAGACTAAAGGTAACTGGATCTCTTTATAGTTTTAAATGTGAATTTAATATGTTGTGACTGAAAGTGATGTTTCATTGTGTAGCTGTGGACATAAAATAGTTTAACTTAGAAGCTTGCAAAAGGAGGGTGGGTAAAAATAAGATATGCCAATAAGAGTAAATAATTTATTTGCTATCTATACAGTGAAATTAAGAAATTTGTTCAGTTTGATCAGCCTGTTTATAAACTGCTTGCAAAAATCAAGTACTTTATAAACTACTCATTTAATAAATGAATTTACAAATCAGCTTGTTTTGCAAGTAGTTTATAAACAGGCTGATCAAAATCACATATGTACGTATACATATATAATCACATATATATGTACGGATATAGACTAATTTTCTTTTGGAAGTGGTAGACACAACATCATTGAAAGTTTTTATTTTGTCAAGCTGAAAGAGACTTTAAATGAAAGCTGATTATTGGATGCCTCAAGTTAGTTTATTCTGATAGTGATTGCCATGTAGCAGTAATACTCAAAGATGTGACTGTTTTAGGAAAAGAAAGTTTGAGCCCAGAGGAAAGTTAACACATGAAAAAGATTCTGAAGAAAGCAATCTTTGAGGACCCAGAGTCAGCATGTGGTTTTGGATTGCTTAAATTCACTTTATTCTCATTTCACAATCCCTAAATGTCTTAATCCAAACAGAATAAGGTAGAGATTAATGAGAGAATCTTGAGGGGCATGTGTAATCTGTGTGTAAAGTCCTCTATTATTCTGGGGAGGCATAATGATGGAAAGTTCCAGACTTTTAGGTTTCTAAAGAAATATTTCCCCCCAGTTAGGAGGCTACAATAGAAATGCTGATTTTTTACTTCTACCAGGTACAGCCAATAAAAACAGTAACACACCACTATCTCCTATCACCATCATTTCATTTAACAAAAGGATATTTCCATTCAAACAATTTGAAAGAACAGAATCTCTCAGAATAAAAGATCTTTAAATGGAATCAATTAGCTATATGGAAAAGTTTACTTTCAGACCAGCCTGGCCAACATGCTGAAACCCCGTCTCTAGTAAAAATACAAAATTAGCTGGGTGTGGTGGCATACACCTGTAATCCCAGCTACTCTGGAGGCTGAGGCAGGAGAATCGCTTGAACCCCGGAGGTGGAGGTTGCATTAAGCTCGCACCATTGCACGCCAGCCTGGGTAACAGAGCGAGACTCCGTCTCAAAAAAAAAAAAAACAAAAAGTTTACTTTCATGTTCTTACTATTCCCCATTTTCCCATAAATCAGTGAAAACTCTGCTGCAAACCTGCACCAGCCTGCCAGCTAACATTAAGTTAGCACTCCCTGTCCCCTTGGTTTGGTACACTGAACTCAAATCTAAGGAATCTGTGTGGGCTTCCAGCCCTCTGAGTTCTTAGCTTGTGGCCTTATCTTCGTGATGCCTCAGTTTCTTATGTTAAATAGGGATTTTAACACCTACTTGGAGCCTGGTGCAGTGGCTCACACCTGTAATCTCAGCACTTTGGGAGGCTGACACCTGGCAGATCTCTTGAGCTTAGGTTTCAGACTAGCCTGGGCAACAGGGCAAAACCCTGTCTCTACAAAAAATACAAAAGTTAACTGGGCATGGTGGTGCCTGCCTGTATTTCCAGGTTCTTGGGAGGCTGAGGTGTGAGGATCACTTAAGCCTCGGAGGCTGAGGTCCACAGTGAGCCATGATGGTGCCACTGCCCTCCAGCCTGGGTGGTAGAGAGAGACCCTGTCTCAAAAAACAAACAAATAAACCAAAAAACCCTACTTTGCTAGATGAGTGTTAAGATGAAAAGTGATACATGTATGTTCCAGAAATAAAGTCTGTCCTCAGTTATAGCTGTTACCATTGATTGGAGATGTTCTTATTTTTTTCAGTGTTTGATAACAAGTGCCTTTAAGTATAAGTTTCTTGTATATACTTGTGTATATATTTGAATATTGTTTTAATGTAGTTTATTGCTGACCTAAAGACGTGTTCATTTAAAACAACTTTGAAGTTGTGCAAGATAAACTAATATGCAGAATTTTTTTTTTTTTTTTTTTTTTTTTTTTTTTTGAGATGGAGTCTTGCTCTGTCACCCAGGGTAGAGTGCAGTGGCACGATCACAGCTCACTGCAACCTCCGCCTCCTGGGTTCAAACGATTCTCCTACCTCATCCTCCTGAATAGCTGGGTTTACAGGTGCACGCCACCATGCCTGGTTAACTTCTGTATTTTTAGTAGAGACAGGGTCTCGCCATGTTGGCCAGGCTGGTCTTGAACTCCCGACCTCAGGTGATTTTGCCCGCCTCAGCCTCCCAAAGTGCTGAGATTATAGGCATCAGCCACTGTGCCCAGCCCTAACATGCAGAATATTCTATGTAAGTATTTTCTATATATTAGACCCCCTCTAAGAAGGGTTTCTATGTAAGAATAGTACAAATGGTCTGGAAAGGCTAATAGGCTTGACAAATCTATGTTTCTTAAAACTGTAAAAATAGTCTGGTTGTCTTATGGTATATGTATAGGACATATGTATAGGACATATACCATAGGGGATTTGTTCCAGGACCCCTATTTCTACCAAAATCCTGGCATAGTCAAGTCCCCACCGTGGGCCCTGCAGAACCTGGATATATGAAAAGTTGGGCCTCCATATATGCAGGTTTCGGTCTGCATTTGGTTGAAAAAGATCCACATATAAGTGAGCCCACGCAGCTTAAACCCGTGTTGTTCAAGGGTCCACTGCATTTGAAAATCAAGTCCACGGTCGGGCACGGTGGCTCACACCTGCAATCCCAGCACTTTGGGAGTCCGAGGCGGGCGGATTACCTGAGGTCAGGAGATCGAGACCATCCTGGCTAACATGACAAAACCCCATCTCTACTAAAAAAAAAGAAATACAAAAAAATTAGCCAGGCGTGGTGGCGGGTGCCTGTAGTCCCAGCTACTAGGGAGGCTGAGGCAGGAGAATGGCGTGAAACCAGGAGGCGAAGCTTGCAGTGAGCTGGGATCGCACCACTGCACTCCAGCCTGGGCGACAGAGTGAGACTCCGTCTCAAAAAAAAAAAAAGAAGAAAATCAAGTCCACAAAAAAGTTGCCGTGTTTTACAAAATGTTGGATTACTACCTCCCCCATATCAAAATGTTGGATTACTACCTCCCCCATATCTTAAAAAAAAGTACAATCTATTTACTACCCCTATGAGATAATGAAACTTTTAGAATTAGAATAGAACCTAGGACCGGACATGGTGGTTCACGCCTGTAATCCCAGCACTTTGGGAGGCTGAGGTGGGTGGATCACTTCAGTTCAGGAGTTCCAGACCAGCCTGGCCAACATGGTGAAACCCCCTCGCTACTAAAAATGCAAAAAATTAGCTGGGTGTGTTGGTGAGTGCCTGTAATCCCAGCTACTCGGGAGGCTGAAGCAGGAGAATCACTTGAACCCAGGACACAGAGGTTGCAGTGAGCTGAGATCACCCACTACACTCTAGCCTGGGCAACAAGAGCAAAACTCTGTCTTCAAAAAAAAATAAAAATAAAATTGCCGGGTATGGTGGCAGGCACCTGTAATCCCAGCTACTCGGGAAGCTGAGGCAGGAAGATCACTTGAACACGGGAGGCAGAGGCAGCAGTTAGCCGAGATTGCGCCATTGGGCTCCAGCCTGGACAACAAGAGAAAACTTGTCTCCAAAAAAAAAAAAAAAAAAAAAGAACCTAGAAGTATTTATTGCTCCTTGCTTTGTCTGAGATTCAGAGGTTAAGTGACTTGCCCAAGGTAACACAGCTAGTAGTAAACTGAAACTTGACACCTGGCTTCCAGAGTACTTATTTAGAGTCCCTTTTTGCAGCCCCATTTTAAAAATTGAATTCTTGGCTGGACGCAGTGGCTCACGCCTGTAATCTCAGCACTTTGGGAGGCCAAGGCTGGCGGATCATGAGGTCGGGAGATCAAGACCATCCTGGCTAACATGGTGAAACACCTCTACTAAAAATACAAAAAAAGTTAGCTGGGTGTGGTGGCACATGCCTGTAGTCCCAGCTACTCAGGAGGTTGAGGCAGGAGAATCGCTTGATCCCGGGAGGCAGAGGTTGCTGTGAGCCGAGATCGCGCAACTGCACTCTAGCCTGGGTGACAGACTGAGACTCCATCTCAAAAAAAAAAAAAAAAAAAAAAATTTAAATTCTTGTCTAGATAACACATTTGCTGCTTCAGATTTGAAAGATAACAAAGCATGTACAGTGAAGTTTCCTTCATATCCCTTCCACCAGACAGTTCTCCCTCTCAGTAGACCGGTTTGAAACTTTTCAGAGCCATTTGACGCATAGACAAACATCCATGTGACCATATGATTCCTCCCTTTTTTTTAACATGAGAGTATCACATATGCATCCTGATTGATAGCCTGCTTTTTGCTTGGCATTTGTTCCATTACTCCCATAATTTAAATGCTTGTATTCATATTTAGTGAAATGTTAATAACTGCTAGTACGTAAAAGAGAGTTTCTTCTAGTAATTTTCACTAACCAAGATGAATTTCAGAAATAAAATTCTTAACATTATCATTGTTTCTTGGTATGGAAATTTCAGAAGCAGGTTGAACTGAAAAAAGTCCAAGAGGAATAGAGAAATATCACAAGGAAGTGAATCTGGACTGTAGTAGAGATAAATATTAATACTTACAGATAATGCTTACTATGTGCTAGGCAGTGTTCTAAATGTTTTACATATATTATTGAAGTCTCACAACAGTCCCATGAGGCAGGTAGCTTTTATCACCATTTTACACATGAGAAAACTGAGCAACGCAGACTAACACTTGATCCAGGTAGTACAGTGGCAGAGGCCTGATTCTAACCCAGGCAGTCTGGCTCAAGAGTCCAAGCTCTTTACCACCACTCTTTCTGTCTTCCTTTCTTGTCTTCTTTTTTCTTTCTTTCCCTCCCTCCCTCCTTTCTTCCCTTCCTTTCTTTTCCTTCCCTCCCTCCCTCCCTCCTTTCTTTTTTTCTTTTCTTTCTCCTTCTTTTCCTTTTCTTTCTTTTCATTTTTTTGAGACATTGGCTCACTCTGTCTCCCCAGGCTGATTGCAGTGGTGCAGTCACGGCTCACTGCAGCCTCAACCTCCCTGGGTCAAGTGATCCTCCCACCTCAGCTTCCTGAGTAGCTGGGTCTACAGGTGCACACCACCATGCCTGGCTAATTTTTTCTATTTTTCATAGTGACAAGGTCTCACTTTGTTGTCTGGGCTGGTCTCAAACTCCTGACCTCAAGCAATCCTCCCACCTTCACCCACCAAAGCACTGAGATTATAGGTGTGAGCCACCACACCCAGCCTTTTACCACTGCTTTAAATTCCATTTAGATCTAATATTGATAGAATGATAACCATATCAACCAGATTTTTAAAATATGCAAACAATGGTGCCATTTTTTGTATCTGTACGACAAAAATATATAGAGTTTGTATTATAGCTTTTATCTGTTTAGAGCACTCTTGGGAAAGGCAGGGAAATTACTGTGAAGGTATTGGTATTCGAGAAGTAAGTTCCTGGAGTGTTTGCCTTCTAAGCCTGAAGGTGTGAGGACATGGTTTGTCACACCCAGTTAACAAACAGATAGGCAGTGGAGTGAGCTATCCAGAGACTTAGCAGATTAGCCTAGGGAGAAAGAAGAAAGGGGATCTGGGCACCTGAAGGGAGGGGGAGGGAAAAGAGTTTGTTTGAATCTGTCCCAGGTTAGGGTAGCTCTTTCTGAGGGAGGCCTTTTCATATGGACCTGCTGCATATAGAGACGGGAGAATCGGGCCTGAGGTGTGGTGCTAGCTAAAGCGCCACACAGATCTGGGAATTTAAGCGGAGTTTATTTCCTCAATCATTAGAAAGAACTTGAAAGGGTAGCAAACTGTGGTCATTTGAGAAGAATAGCAAGTGGTCTATTTGAATGTAACATACTCAACTGGGTTGGGAAAGAACCAGAATCTAGAGGTTGGCCATAAAAAGTGCAAAACCAGGTGTTCCTGTAAACCATGTAGTCTTGTAAACACTGATAAGACACAGCACTGAGTCCTGGGCTTTTCTTCTGTAAAGTACTTGTACAGGCTGAGGATCTGAAAATGCAAAATCTGAAATGCCCCAGTGAGCATTTCTGTTGAGTGTCATGTTGGCACTCAAAGTTTTGGATTTTGGAACATTTTGGATTTTGGACTTTCAGATTTGGGATGCTCAACTGGTATATAAAGCACATATTCCCAAATCTGAAAAATCCCAAATCCAAAGTATTTCAGCTCCAAAGTGTTTCAGATAAAGAATACTCAACCTGTACTACATTGTACTAGACTTGCATTAGATTACCAGTTTTCAAAATTTGTACCTCAGAATCCTTGTTCTGTGTCAATGAAACAGGGATATCATACACCTTTGATTCACATTTTAATGTTTTAAACTTTAAAATATTATAAATATTTATACACACTCAAATGCATCTCATGCTACTTTTTAATGTATTAGACACAACTGGTTTGTACTACCCAGTTATCTCAAGAGAGTTATACTGAGTGAAAACCAGTGAGAACCCTAAAAGGTTACATACTATTTGATTGCATTCATGTAACATTATTGAAATAACAAACCTGCAGAGATGGAGAACAGACTTAGTGGTTGCTAGGAGTTAGGGATGGGAGGTGAGGGGTGGTGTGGTTATAAAGTGGTAGCATGAGGGAGCTGTGTAGGGATGGAACAGTTCTGTATCTCAGGTGTGATTATACAAAGCTGCCAATGTGATAAAAATTTCATACAACCACACACACACATACTGCATATAAATCCTAGCATACTCAAGTCCCCCTTTGCTTACAAAACTGGTGAAACCTGAATAAACTTGGGATTGTACCAAGGTCAATTTCCTGATGGTGACCATGTACTAGAGTTACATCAATAACATTGGAGGAATTTGGGCGAGGGTACTTGGGACCTCCCTGTGTACTTTTTTGCAAATTCCTGTGATTTATAATTACAGTAATTTTAAAATAAAAAGTTGGCCAGGTGCAGTGGCTCACACCTGTAATCCCAGCACTTTGGGAGGCCAAGGCAGATGGATGACCTGAGGTTAGGAGTTCAAGACCAGCCTGGCAACATGGTGAACCACCATCTCTACTAAAAATACAAAAATTAGCCAGGCGTGGTGGTGGGTGCCTGTAGTCTCAATTACCTGGGAAGCTGAGGCATGAGAGTCACTTGAACCTGGGAGGCAGAGGTTGCAGTAAGCTGAGATCACGCCACTGCACTCCAGCCTGGGCAACAGAGCAAAATTCCATCCAAAAAAAAAAAAAAAATAGCAATGCATTTAGAATATTTGAGAGAAAAGAGAAAATAAGCGAAAGGAAGAAAATGTAAATTATCTATAATGCCCACACCCAGGACAACAATCCTTGGAACAGTGTCTCACTTTGTGTATAGACTTGAAACTTTTAAAATGGTATTTTATTTTTTAATTAAAAATTTCTCTTTTCTTTTTTTTCCCTTCTCAGAGTTAGAAAGGATAAAATGTTATTGATCAGTGAGACTGTAGCTTTATGTTGATATTTTGAAATTTTAGGCTAGTGCTTGTTTTTTCATGTAACATTATGTAAGCACAGTTAGTACTATTAGAACTAATTGCATTAGGCAATAATGTGACTGCCTTATGCATATATCAAGATTAGTACATATTGTAAAGTTGTTATTTTTTACCAAAAAGTTTATGACTACCAAGTATTCATTCCTTAACACTATTACAGAATTAATTTAGAAATGTTCTACTTTTAAAACTTCTGGACAGATGTACTTAAATCCTTAGATAGTGTTAATGTACTACTTAAAAAACACACAAAACATTATCATTTGTAAAATATGCTTTATCATCTATTCATGTTTGTGAATCAGGTTTTTCTTGATATCATGCAATCAAAACAAATTTAACATAAGACTGCCCAATCATCCATAATTTAAAGTTTGTGTTCATCAGAATAATTTTATTGTTCTCCTTATACATGTTGTACATTTGAGTTTGTTTGTTTTTTTTTTAAGATAGAGTCTCCCTCTGTCGCCCAGGCTAGAATGCAGTGGTGCAATCTCAGCTCACTGCAACCTCCATCTCCCAGCTTCAAGCGATTCTCCTGTCTCAGCCTCCCAAGTAGCTGGAACTACAGGCGTGTGCCACCATTCCCGGCTAATTTTTGTGTTTGTGTGTATTTTTAGTAGAGATGGGGTTTCACCATGTTGGTCAGGCTGGTCTTGAACTCCTGACCTCAAATGATCCACCCACCTTGGCCTCCCAAAGTGCTGAGATTACAGGGGTGACCCACTGCACCTGGTCCCATTTGAGCTTCAAAATACATTGATATAATACTGCTTTAATCTGTTTCTTTTTGAGACTGAGTTTCACTCTTTCACCCAGGCTGGAGTGCGGTGGCCGGATCTCGGCTCACTGCAACCTCTGCCTTCCGGTTTCAAGCGATTCTCCTGCCTCAGTCTCCCAGGTAGCTGGGATTACAGGCGCACACCACCATGACCGGCTAATTTTTGATTTTTAGTAGAGATGGGGTTTCACCATGTTGGCCAAGCTGGTCTCGAACTCCTGACCTCGTGCTCTGCCCGCCTCGGCCTCCCAAAGTGCTGGGATTACAGGCGTGAGCCACCACGCCCTTATCTGTTTCTTATGTTATAGATCCACATAAAATTTCATTGAGAAAAATGTTCCTGTGCTAAAATATTTAAAGCAATTGGATTATGATTTATAAGTTTTATTTTGTAGTTAACATCTCTAGGAAAATTTCAGGGACACTGTTGCTGTCTTGTGATTATTGATCCTTTTAAAAATTCATTGTATTTGAGAAGTAAAGTAGTAGAAAATCTATGACAAAATAGGGAATTAAAGTAGGCAGTATACTCAACTCCACTGTGTTTAAAGAGTTTGATTAATTCCTGTACATTGTGTTAGTGGTTAAGGTCTGGGACTGTAGAGTCAACCTGAGTTGAAATCTTGGCTCCATCACTTGATCTTTTGTTGTCTCAGTTTCTTCCTCCATAAAATGAGGGTAATAATAGTGTTAACTCATAGGATTATTGTGACTATGAAGTGGGCCAGTACATGTAAACGGACCTGGTGCCTGGTATAAAGGTACTCATAAAACATAGTTATTATTATTTTAGAACATGGATGAGATCTTAATGTATGTTTAATATGTCTTTTCCTCACTTAACATATCACGGCTGAGTGCGGTGGCCATAATCCCCGCACTTTGGGAGGCTGAGGCAGGTGGATCATCTGAGGTCAGGAGTTTGAGACCACCTTGGCCAACATGATGAAACCCTGTCTCTACTCAAAATACAAAAGTTAGCCAGGCGTGATGATGCACACCCATAGTCCCAGCTACTTGGGAGGCTGAGGCAGGAGAATTGCTTGAGCTGGGGAGGTGGAGGTTGCAGTGAGCCAAGATCATACCATTGTACTCCTGCCTGGGTGACAGAGTGAGACTGTCTCAAAAAAAAAAAAAAAACCAAAAACCAAAAACATATCACAACTGTTTTCCCATGTTATTAAAAATTCCACCAGTAATGGAAGAGAATATTGGGTTCCCTGTGCCCATGCCAATATTGGGCATTCTCATTTTTTAGATATTTGCCAATATGATATATGAAAACTGTCATGTTATTGTTTTGATTTGCATTTTCCCCAAGCATCAGCAAGATTTAATGGTTTTCACATTTAAAAAATTCATTTTTTAATTTATAATCACCTTGTTTGATAATGAGGTTTTCATGTTTTTATTAACTGCATTTCTTTTCCTGCCTAGATGAATCTTAGAATATTTCACATTGGTTTAGACAAATGCTAGTACCAAGGTTTTTTTTTTAAGTCTGTGACAATTTTAATGATTTTTCTTGGTAATTTTTTCTGTAGATTCAAGTTCAGATGGGCATTTCCCATTCTGATATCGTGTAAATATGTGCAGTTTGTTCGTTTTGAAAAACATGACTTCTTTAATCCCCTAGAATGTAGTATACTAGGTGTTACATGAGTCTACAATATAATTTTTGTACAGACAAAAATTTTGCATTTCTTCTGGATATTGCCTGTTCGTACCTTTGCCCATTTTTTCCCCTTCTGGGTTGTTTACCTTTTCTTCTTCTTGCTTTATAGGAGTTTTTTAGATATCACAATGGTTAATCTTTTGTTATATGTGTTACACATATTTTTCTCCTCATTTGTTACTTGTCTTTTAATTTTGTTTATAGTGTCTTTACATAGAGGTTTTAATTTACATGGTCAGATCTTTCACATAAAAAAATTCTTCATCTCAAGATTATCTTTTAAAAATTTTCATATATTTTATGTGAAAATTTTTTTTTCACACTGAGCTCTGTAGGTTTGTTTGGAATTTCCTTTTGTGTCTAGTGTAAGGGTAGGGATCTAAATTTTTCCTAAATGCATAGACTTTTGCCTCTCTCAGTTCACTCACTTGTTCATATTTCAAATGCCACAAGGCTTTCCTGCATACATGAGGCCTTTTCCTGTATTCTCCGTTCTGTTCCAGTGACAGGTCTGTCTGTGTTTATTCTATTACCTCCTCTCCCCATGGCTTTTTATAGAAGTTTGATATCTGGTAGGGCAAATATGCTCATTTTCAAATTTTTCTTAGCTATTCTCATGAATTTACTGTTTCTGGTGAATTTTAGAATTATTCTAATGAGTTCTAAGACACATCCCATTGAGATTTTGATAACAATTGTGCTAAATTTATAGATGAATATGAGAAAGTCAGTTCTCACTAGCAGGTCTTTCCATCAAGGAGCATATTGTATCTGCTTATTCTGGAGTTGCCTCTCTGATAACAGTTTTAACCTAGATGCTCATTGTGGCATTGTTTTGTTCTAAACACATGTATTACAAAGATAGTATTAGAGTAAATTAGTTGAGGGAAAAGCCTTACATCATCTATCCCTGTTTTCATTTCTCTTTTCATCTTTAATTTTGGTCTAAGGAGACTTCTCACCACAGAAGACAGCACATAAAAACTTGCAGCCATTCTCAGAAGTATTGGTTTTCTGTTGGGTTGTTGCTTGTGTCAAGTCAGCCAGAAAGAGGTGGAGTAAAACCTGGCCGGCTGAGTAGTACACATAATTCATGTCCTTCCCCCTTAACTACGCATCAACCTGCAGAGAGTGACTTCTTACTCTTGAGATGCTCTTTCCTCTTGCTTAATGGTTCATGACAATTCTTTATTTTCCTCCTATTACTCTCAGTTTTTATTTATTTATTTATTTATTATTATTATTTTTTTTTACTGGCTTATTCTCCTGTATCTGGCCATTAAATATTGATGTTCCACCAATCAGCCCTAGGGCCTTCTGTCATTATTCTTTCCCTAAACAGTCACAGCCATGTCCATGGCCTCACTCATGGGTGAATCCAACATGTATCTCTACCCCAACTTCTGCTGTTGAGTACTCCATCTGCTAATATCTAATTGCCTACTGGACGTCTCTACTTGGATGTCTCAAAAGTATTCTAAATTCAGCATTTCCAAGATTTATTTCATACTCTTCCTCCAAAAATGCTGTTTGCTATCTCAGTGAAAGGCATCACCACCCAAGCAGTTGTGCAAGTCAGAAACCTGGGACTTGTCCATGATTCTTTCTCTCTTCTCCCCTCCCCCACCAAATTCAATCAACTACCAGGTACCATTGTTTGTTTTTAACCTTCTTTTATTGTGAGCTATAACATACACACAGAAAAATCATTTAGCGGTGCATCTTTTTGTTGTTGTAATCCACAAAGCATAACCCTTTCACGAACATTCAGGTCATTAAATAGACCAATGCCAGCACTCCAGAAAGCCCGCCCTTAACTTCCCCCAATCAACTATATGCATCCTCCTTCTCAAAAGTGACATCTGTCCTGACTTTTATGAGAATCATTTTCTTACTTTTCTAACATCGCACCCAAACTTGGTAGTTTAGTTTTGCTATTTGAACTTTGTATAAATGGAACCATTTAGTTTGTTTTCTTTACTCAGCTGCTTTCACTCAGTGTCATTTTGTGAGATTCACCTGTGTTTTGTTTTTTGTTTTTTGTTTTTTGTTTTTTGTTTTTTTGAGACAGGCTGGAGTGCAGTGGCACAATCTCGGCTCACTGCAAGCTCTACCTCCCGGGTTCACGCCATTCTCCTGCCTCAGCCTCCCAAGTAGCTGGGACCATAGGTACCTGCCACCATGCCCGGCTAAGTTTTTGTATTTTTAGTAGAGATAGGTTTCACCGTGTTAGCCAGGATGGTCTCGATCTCCTGACCTTGTGATCCACCCGCCTCGGCCTCCCAAAGTGCTGGGATTACAGGTGTGAGCCACTGTGCCTGGTCTCACCTGTGTTTTATGGAGCTATAGTTTGTACATTAGTCATTGCTGAATGATACTCTATTATGAATATAACACAATTGATGTATTCACTCTCTTTTTTTTGGAGACTGAGTTTCACTATTGTCACCCAGGCTGGAGTGCAATGGCGTGATCTCAGTTCACTGCAACCTCCGCCTCCCAGGTTCAAGTGATTCTCCTGCCTCAGCCTCCCAAGTAGCTGGGACTACAGGTGCGCACCACCATGTCCAGCTAATTACTGTATTTTTAGTGGAGACGGGGTTTCACCATGTTGGCCAGGCTGGTCTCAAACTCCTCACTTCAGGTGATCCACCTGCCTCAGCCTCCCAAAGTGCTGGGATTACAGAAGTGAGCCATCACGCCCAGCCTTCATTTTCTTTTTGATGGATATTTGTCTCCAGTTTGCAGCAATTATGAATACTGCTGCTATAAACATTTTTGTGTATCTTCAGTTTTATTCAGTAATGCCAGATTATTTTCCAAAGTGGTTGCACTAGTTTAAATTCCTACCAACAATATGTGAGCATTCCTGTTTATCCACCTCTTTGCCAAGGCTTAGAATTGTCAATCAGTTAAATTTTATTAACCATTGTGGTAGGTACATAATGGGTTTTTGGGTGTAATTGAGGTAGGTGTCATACACAATAAAATGTAAAAATGTATAGCCTGAAAAATATTTTACATATAAATATCTAATCACTACCCAGATGAAGATATAGAATATTTCCATCACTCCAGAAAGTTCTCTCATGTTCCTTTCCAGAAAGAAGCTGCTATTCTAACCACACTGTTTTGACTTCGGCCACTATACATGCATTTTGCCTGTTTTTGAACTTCATATAATTGGGCTCAGACAGTATGGACTCTCCTGTGTCTGGCTTCTTTTGCCCAGCATAATTTTTTTTTTTTTTTGCACTTTATCCAAATTGTTGGCTGTATCAGTTACTCTTTTTTTCTTGCTGAGTTCTGTTGTATGATTATATTACTCTTTGTTTATTCATTTTGTTTCTGATTGTTTCTAGGTTTTGGCTATTGTGAATTAAGCTGCTATGAACATTCTCATATATACTCATTTCTCTTGGGTATATATCTAGGAGTGGATTTTTGGGTCTTGGGGTAGGTGAGTGTTTATTAGAAATGACAACAGTTTCCCAAAGTGGTTGTACTAGTTGTACACTCCACTTTGGTTTTAAGCATTTCCCTGGTTACTAATGAGGTTGAGCAGCCTTTTATATGTTTTTTGGCCATTTGGATGTCTTCTGTATGAAGAGCTCATTTAAGTCTTTTGGCTAATTTTCTGGTAGGTGTTCTTTGTTTTATTGGTTTGTATAAGGGATAAATATATTGATCCCCTCCCTTCCCTGCCACATATCTGTGTTGCAGATACCTATTACTAGCTAGTGGCTAGCCTTTCCTTTTTATTCTCTTAGAGGTATCTCTTCACTAACAGAAAAATTTTTAAAATTTTTATTTGTAATTATTATGGTTACACAATAGACATACATATTTATGGGGTAGATGTGATTTTGATGCAAGCATACAATGCATAATTATCAGATTAGGGTAGATCACCCCACCACCTGAAGCATTTATCTTTTTTTTTTTTTTTTTTTTTTGAGATGGAGTTTCGCTCTTGTTGCCCAGGCTGGAGTGCAATGGTGCAATCTTGGCTCACCACAACCTCCGCCTCCCAGGTTCAAGCTATTTTCCTGCCTCAGCCTCCCAAGTAGCTGGGATTACAAGCGTGCACCACCACGCCTGGCTAATATTGTATTTTTAGTAGAGATGGGGTTTCTCCATGTTGGTCAGACTGGTCTCGAACATCCGACCTCAGGTGATCTGCTTGCCTCAGCCTCTTAAAGTGCCGGGATTACAGACATGAGCCACCGTGCCCAGCCAGCATTTATCATTTCTTCATATTAGGGATATTCTAATTCTAGTCTTTTAGTCATTTTGAAATATAAAATTATTGTTAACTATAGTTGCCCTATTGTGCTGCTGAACACTAGACTTACTCATTTTTTTAAACTATATTTTTGTACCCATTCACCAATCACTCTTTGTTTCCCACTTCTCTTCCCACTTCCTTTCCTGTCCTCTATCTACATGGGTTCAATTTTTTTTCTTTAGCTTCCACATATGGGTGAGAACATGCAATGTTTGTCTTTCTGTGTCTGGCTTATTTCACTTAACATAATGTCCTCCAGTTTTATCCATGTTGTTGCAAATGACAGGACTGCATTCATTTTGATGGTTGAATAGTACTGCATTGTGTGTAAGTGCCACATTTTCTTTATCCATTCATCTGTTGATGGACACTTAGGTTAATTCCATATTTTGGCTATTGTGAATAGTGCTGCAATAAACATAGGAGTGCAGAAATCTCTGTGATACACTGATTTCCTTTCTTTTTGGTGTGTACCCAGCAGTGGGATTGCTGGATCACATGGTAGTTCTATTTTTAGTTTTCTTGAGGACCCTCCACATAGTGATTGTACTAATTTACATTCCCAACAACAGTGTACGAGGGTTCCCCTTTTTCCACATCCTTGCCGTCATCTGTCATTACCTGTCTTTTTGTTTGTTTGCTTGTTTGTTTTTGAGATGGGGTCTTGCTCTGTCACCAGGCTGGAGTGCAGTGGCGCGATCTCGGCTTACTGCAACCTTCCTCTCCTGGGTTCAAGCGATTCTCCTGCCTCAGCCTCCCAAGGAGCTGGGACTACAGGCACCCACCACCATGCTCAGCTAATTTTTGTACTTTTAGTAGAGACGGGGTTTCACCATTTTGGCCAGGATGGTCTCGATCTCTTGACCTCGTGATCCACCCGCCTCAGCCTCCCAAGGAACTGGGACTACAGGCGCCCACCACCACACTCAGCTAATTTTTATACTTTAATAGAGATGGGGTTTCACTATTTTGGCCAGGATGGTCTCGCTCTCTTGACCTCGTGATCCACCCGTCTCAGCCTCCCAAAGTGCATTACCTGTCTTTTTGATAAAAGCCATTTAAACTGGAGTGAGATGATATCTCATTGTAGTTTTGGTTTGCATTTCTCTGATTAACAGAAATTCTTAATTTTAATGTAGTTGAATGTTTCTGTCTTTTACTTTGTAATTAGATGTTTTTGTATCCTGGTGTGAAGATAATCTATATTATTTTCTGTTACTGTTTTGCCTTTCACATTTAGATCAACAATCTCTGGAATTTTTGTGTGTGTTGTGAGATGGGGTCCATTTGTTTTCCTAGATGACACGATGGTGATGATGTTTAGTTCCATTTATTGAAAAGGCCGTCTCCTCCTGCTCAATAGAGCTACCTTGGTCATAAATCAGGTGATTGTGTATACAAGGATTTGCCTGTATTTGCCTGTATCTTCTATTCCTGTCTTCTATTTGTCTGTCCTTTGCCAGTGACCCATTGTCTTAAGTACTGTATTTTAGCAGTTCTCAAAGTGTGGTCACAGGACTATGGGGATTTCCTGAGACCCTCTCAGAGTGGGGTCTTGGCCAGGTCAAAACTATTTTTATAGTAACACTTGGTTGTTTTTTGCCTCACACTCATTCTCTCACAGGTGTACGATTTTTCCAGAGGCCACATGAAATGCAGTGTTGCAACAGATTGAATATAGAAGTAGATAAGAGAACCCAGCTGTCTCCCATCAAGCCAGACATTAAGGAGATTTCCAAAAATGTCAAACAGTGCTACTCTTCTCACTCATTTTTTAAATTTGTTTTGCAAAACAGTTATTTTTCATTAAAGTGTTATGTTAGCATATAATAGATTTCTTGTTATTTTTAAATGAATGAATGAATATTTAAAACTTTCCTGTTTTGGCCGGGCACAGTGGCTCACACCTGTAATCCCAGCACTTTGGGAGGCTGAGGCAGGTGGATCACCTGAGGTCAGGAGTTCGAGACCAGCCTGGGCAACGTAGTGAAACCCCGTCTCTACTAAAAATACAAAATTAGCCAAATGTGGTGGCGCATGCCTGTAATCCCAGCTACTTGGGAGGCTGAGGCAGGATAATCACTTGAAACTGGGAGGCAGAGGTTGCAGTCAGCTGAGATCATGCCACTGCACTCCAGCCTGGGTGACAGAGGGAGACTCTATCTCAAAAAATAAATAAATAATTCCTGTTTTAATTTCTCATGTAATAAATATAATAGCTATTACCCATGTTAACAAAAGCATTTTAGAGTCTCAGTATTTTCCAGGAATGTCAAACCAAAAAGTTTGAGAATCACTCATCTAGTTTTATGTCTTGATATCCTGGGCCCTGTCCATTTCCACATATATTTTAGAATCAGCTGTGATGTTCCACAAGAATACCTGTTAGGATTTTGATTAGAATTGTGTTGAATCGGTCTGGGAAGAATTGATTTTTTTTTTTTTTTTTTTTTGCTACACCTACTATAATGGGAATTTGAAATCTTTATACCATTGAATCCTCTGATTATAAACATTATTTCTCCATGTGTTTTGGTCTTTAATTTTTTTCTCAATATTGTTATATAATTTTCTGTATAAATTATATTTGCATATTTTCCAAACAGAATTTTTGAAGGAAAAAATTCTACTTAGAAGTAAACTGGTCAGGCACAGTGGCTCATGCCTGTAATCCCAGCACATTGGGAGGCCAAGGCAGGAGGATCACTTGAGCCCTGGAGTTTGAGACCAGCTTGGGCAACATGGTGAGACCCTATCTCTACAAAGAAAAAGTAAGAGAAACTTAAGAATTAGCAAGAAAATGAAAGATATTCCTGAAAAATATTGCAAAACTTCACTGAAGCTCATAAAAGAATTTAAAAAATGCTAAAACATATTTTGTTCTTCAGTAGGATAAAACTCACATTTATAAGATGTCAGTATTCCCTCAAAGTTGCTGTATTTTATATTGTTAGAAAGACACTTTTTTTTAATCTTTTACGATTTCTAAAGGTAAGTATGCCTTAAAACTGATGACATCTTCTTGGTACTTCTGGCCATGTGGTAATTATGAAGTTAGATTAGGAGCATCTTAACCAATTTATTTTACATAACTTTCATTATGAGCGCAAGTCAGATGTGATATGAAAACAGAAGCATTTAAGTTTTAAGCTCTTTCAATTGGCCTAAAATATCTGTGCATCTTACATTGAAAATGTCTTAAATTTAGTGAAACAGGCCAGGGAGAGTGGCTCATGCCTATAATTCAGCACTTTGGGAGGCCAAGGTGGGAGGATCACTTGAGGCCAGGAGTTGGAGACCAGCCTGGGCAATATAGTGAGAAGCCATCTCTGAAAAAAAAAAAATATATACACACACACACACACACACACACACACACAATTTGTGAATTTAAAGTAATCCCAATTAATATCTCAATAGGCTTTTCAAAACTTGATTCTTAAGTTTATATGAAAGAGCAAAAATGAAATTTTTCACCAAAATGATGAAAATCTGTTCATGAAGGGGGTATTAGTGCTGTCAAATATTAAAGTGTATGTTGAAGGCAAACCAATTTGAGCCTCGGATCACTGACACAGAATTGAGAGCACTGAAGTAGCCTCATCTATAGAAATGTTTTGTGTGGTAAACAGTGTTATATGTGATGAAAATAGGGAATTCTTCAGTAAACAGTATTGGATGAACTCTGTGGCTATTCAGGAAAATGGGAAAAAAGAGAACCAGCTTGCTATCTCACTTCTTCTTTTTTTTTTATTTTTTGAGATGGAGTCTCCCTCTGTCACCCAGGCTGGAGTACAATGGCATGACCTTGGCTCACTGCAACCTCTCCCTCCCGGGTTCCATGATTCTCCTGTCAGCCTCTCAAGTAGCTGGGATTACAGGTGCCTGCCACCAAGCTCGGCTAATTTTGTTTTGTTTGTTTTTCTTTTTAGTAGATACGAGGGTTTCACCATGTTGGCCAGGCGGGTTTTGAACTACTGACCTCAAGTGATCCGCCCACCTCGGCCTGCTAAAGTGCTAGGATTACAGACGTGAGCCACCGCACCCAGTCACTATCTCACTTCTTTTGCTTAACATGTCTATGAGATTTATTTATGTTGTATATTGCAATTCTTTTTTATTGTGTAGGATTATGTTGTGTTAATTTATCACATTTTATCTGTTTTACTGTTGATGGAAATTTTGGTTGTTTCTGTATTTTGGCTAAAATGAATAAAACTGCTAAAAACATTTTGTACATGTTTGGTGGACCTACTCATTTTCTGTTGGAATTGAGTGGAACTGCTGGGTCATAGGATGTATATTTGTTTTGTTTTGGTATATATTGCATTTTCCGGAATGATTGTAACAGCTTACACTCCTATCAGCAGTATAATAGGTTCCTCTCCTATCTTCCTTCCTTCCTCCCTCCCTCCCTCTCTCCCTCTCTCTCATGATTCTTCATCATTCAACTTGAGCCCTTGCATACAGAAAAAATGTTGATGAATTTGCATAAAAACCGACAAGCTGCTGGGCTTGGTGGCTCACGCCTGTAATCCCAGCACTTTGAGAGGCTGAGGCAGGTGGATCACTTGAGGCCAGGAGTTCGAGACCAGCCTGGCCAACATGGTGAAACTCCATGTCTACTAAAAATACCAGAATTAGCTGGGTGTGGTGGTACATGCCTGTAATCCCA
This sequence comes from Homo sapiens, assembly GCF_000001405.40. Classification (NCBI taxonomy): domain Eukaryota; kingdom Metazoa; phylum Chordata; class Mammalia; order Primates; family Hominidae; genus Homo; species Homo sapiens. The sequence goes on from NC_000007.14 coordinate 63,811,973, forward strand.
GCTACTTAGGAGGCTGAGGCAGGAGAATCGCTTGAACCTGGGAGGCAGAGGTTGCAGTGAGCCGAGATCATGCCACTGCACTGCACTGCACTAAAGCCTGGGTGACAGAGTGAGACTTCTCGTCTCAAAAAAACAAAAACAAAAACAAAAACATAAACCAGACAACCTAGACTTGGCAAAAACTAGTATAAACAAAATTGGGACTCCAGTGACAAACTGGGAAAAAACAGTTGCCATGCAGCATGTTCAAAGGGCTAATTTCCTTTAAAAAGCAGGATCACTTGCTGATAGAAAAGACCAACAACTCAGTAGACAAGTGGGCACATTCAGAGACAGTTTAAAGGAATGACAGGTGGCTCCTAAATGTATGAAATGGTTCTCTTTCAGTCGGTATAAGAGAAAAGCAAATTGAAACTATACTGAAAGCATTTAAAAAATATCCAATTAACCAAGATGAAGAAGTTTGATTAGCTGTTGGCTAAGGTGTAGGAAAATAGCTACTTCCCTATATTAATGGTAAGATTCTAAACTCTATGGAGAGCAATTGGATAATATCCATTAAAATTTAATAATGCACATATTTTGTGTAGTATAGATAAGTTTAGATAAGATGTGATGTATTTACACAATGGGATATTATAGAGCAATAGGAATGAATGAATTCCAATTCACCTAATATGAATGACTCACAAACATAATGTTGGGTGAAAGAGCCATGCACAAAAATATAAGTATAAAAACAGACAAAATTGTGATGTTAGAAGTCAGGGTAGTATTACTCTTGGGGAGCTCACACTGGATTGAGACAAGGGGCTTTTGGAGGCTTATAATCTTGTGTGTTTTTTTTTTTTTAAATCTGTGTGTTAGGTAGGATTATATTGGGAAAATTCATCAAGCTATGAACTTTAGAATTATGTACTGTTCTGAATGTATGCTATACGTCAATACACATTTTTATGTAAATAAAAATAGTGTACATACATGCAGTCACACATAAAGAATGCACTTAACACGTATATATATACATATATATATACACACACACTCTTGTCTATGTGGGGGTTAAAAATAGCACAAAGGTATTCATCACTGTGTTTATAAGCACAAAAGTTCATACAAAACCTAATTACCCATAAGTAGGGAACTGGTAAAATAATCGATATAGTCATACAGTGAGTTAGTAGCAGCTCTTAAAACGAGTAAGGCAGTTGTATATGAAGTAATTTAGAAAAGGCTCTAAGATATATTAAATGAAAAGACCAAAGTGCATGAACAGTACGTGTAGTATGTCACTATTTGTGTATGGGTGTGTTTTATCTCAAAAGGCATATATTTACAAGCATATATATGCCTTTTGAGATAAAGTTAGAATATATTAGATACAGTTAGAATATATTTGGAAAGGTGGGAAGATATACTAACACTGGCTGTCTCTGAGGAGTGGAACTGAGTGGCCAGAAGGCAGAATTGGGTGACACTTTCTATACTAATTTGTGACTTAAAATTTTTTAAAAGTTTAAATTGTGATAAAATACTTACCGTCTTAAACATATTTAAGGGTACAGTTCAGTAGTGTTAAGTATATTCATATTGTTGTACAAACAGCCTCCAAAACTTTTTCATAGACATTAGACAAGTACTTAATACCTCCCCTACCCTTGGTGGTCACCATTCTACTTTCTGTTTCTATGAATTTGACTACTCTGGATAGCTAATGCAAGTGGAATCATATAGTGTTTGTCCTTTTGTAACTGGTGTGTTTCATTTAGCACAATGTTCTCAAGATCCATACTATTTTGTGACTTTTGAATTCTGTTCTTTCTTTGTTTTTTACCCTTTTTCTTTTTTTTTTTCTTGTTTCATGATTTTATAATTTAACAGGCTTATAAATATTTTTTATTACTTTTTTAAAATTTTATTATTATTATACTTTTTTAGGGTACATGTGCACAACATGCCGATTTGTTACATATGTATACTAAAGAGCATTAAAGTAAAAAAAAGACCTTATTCCAAGTTGGTTAATTACATGGTAAAAAGTTGAAGGCTGGCGTGTCTTATTCATTTCAACCAATATTAAATGCCAGTTTGGGCAGCAAAACAACTTTCTGCCAAAGCGCCATTTGAAGCCTGGTTTATGACATGTTTCTCCTTTTGTCATCTTTGGGTGCCACCCAAAATGCAGGCTCAAGTCCCCAGCCTCTTGACTCTGCTCCACAGTTTTCCCCCTTGGCTTATTGTCCAACTTTGGCCTACTCTTCCAAATCCACCTCTTTATCCCAGGAATAAGCTGCTTCTATGCCAAGGGCATGGCTTCCTCTTTGCAGAGTGTCCTCACATCTCTGACCTGGAAAAATGGGGGTTTTTCATTCTCCTAGCTTTTTAGTGCTGCTTTGAGATTATTATTCTAGAGCCTTCTGCAGTAATGTTGTTTCTCATGGATTGAAATTCATTGTTTCCAGTAGGCTTTTTGACAAGATGTGGGAACAGAAGAAAAAGGTGAAATGACTCTGAAGCTTATGGGAGGACTGGGTATCATTAACTGGCACAGAGGGAGAAAGGCAGGCTCTAGGTGGAAGATATGTGACTTGCTTTGAAAATAATTGAGATTCTGGCCTGTGAAAACAGCTGGAGTTATGAGCTAGAAATGGGGACTTAAAAAATAGCTTCGTGTGTGTGTGTGTGTGTGTGTGTGTGTGTGTCTGTGTGTGTGTATTGAAAATACAGGAAAGTGTTACCCATAAAATAGATCATCATTCTTAACATTTTAAGTGAATTAACTTTTGTTTTTTCCTCTGGTTGTATGTGTATAAAAGTACATATATAGCTGGGTGTGTTGGCTCACGCCTGTTATCCCAGCACTTTGGGAGGCTGAGGCTGGCAGATCACTTAAGGTGAGGAGCTTGAGACCAGCCTGGCCAACAGGTGAAACCCCTTCTCCACTAAAAATACAAAAATTAGAGCTGGGCGTGGTGGTACATGCCTGTAGTCCCAGCTACTCAGGAGGCTGAGGCACAAGAATCGCTTGAACTCCGGAGGCAGAGGTTGCAGTGAGCCAAGATTGTGCCACTGAACTCCGGCCTGGGTGACAGAGCAAGACTCTGCTAAAAAAAAAAAAAAAAAGTACATTTATAAACTTTAAAATGTGGTAGAAATTATATTTGGTATTCACCTTTTTTCCTTCTGTGAATGAAGAAGTCCAGTGCCAGTTACATAGTACTTCTGTTAAGAGTTAGCAGCAAAAGAGGTCATGAATGAATTTGTGGGACTTGTTGAGATTATACAGGGTGAGATCCTACACAGATGGAGAAGAAAATGTGGCAAGAATAAGATTTTGGAAACTTGCCTAAACTTGCCTAGAGCTTTCAGGATTCAAGAATCAGAAATCATAATCAAAGAGGTAGGAAAATTAAGAGTTTAGTGTCAAACTAAGAAGAGCAAATTCTAAGAAAAAAGGAAGAAAAATATTGTCTGCTATTATAAAGAGGTAGAGCTGAATGAAGACTAAGCCTTTAGATACTAAATTGAGGGCGTAGTGGCTGGCAAATGCCTGTAATCTCAGCGCTTTGGGAGGCCTATGTGGGAGGATGCCTTGAGCCCAGGAGTTTGAGGCTGCAGTGAGGTATGAGCCACTGCACTCCAGCCTGGGCGAGAGTGAGACCCTGTCTCAAAACAGCGATAACAATAAGATACAAAATTGAGAAACTGTTACTTGATTTACAGTATATATTCTGTCCAGCAGTGATGGAATAACAAGGACTGGATTTACCTTGCTATTTTAAGCAACTAGAAAACTGGACAATATACGAAATACCAATTTGTAGGAATTAGGTAACAGGCAATGCAAGACTGTGGTCACTGAAAGGTGGGAAACAAACTTACTGAGCTCTGCGGTTTCCCCAATTTATTATCTGGAGCTGCTTTTCAGGCTACAGAGCGGGGATGGGGAAGCCAAATAGAGCCTGGTATCTTAGAATTGAGAGGACAAGGTGGGGGTTGGCGGGGAGGGAAGGTCACCATCATTTGTGGCGCAGAGTACCAGAGAGGCAGGAGTTGTACACAGAACTCCAGAGATAGGTGGTGGAGTCTCCCAAAGTCTGGTTGAGTCCTGATGTACACATGCATGAGAGGAGAGCACCTGAGGCCAGAGAAAGAACCCTCAGCCTTACTTTTAGATATCTAAAGAGCCCAGTCTGCCCTAAATAAAAACTTCCTTATTTTTTATTCCAGATATTGATGAATTGAATGTAATTCAAATAGCTACCTTCCTTGCTACCAGCTCAGGATGGATGGATCCAGGGGTGCCACTCATACATTGCTTCTTCCCTGCTACTTTCTGTCCTTTTTCTCTACTTTTTTTTTTTTTTTTTTTTTTTGGAGACAGAGTCTCACTCTGTCACCCAGGTCGAAGTGCAGTGGTGCGATCTTGGCTCACTGCAGCCTCCGCCTCCCAGGATCAAGTGATCCTCCTGCCTCAGCTGCCCAACTAGCTGGGATTACAGGTGCCCACGACCACACCTGGCTACTTTTTATATTTTCAGTAGAGACAATTTCGCCATGTTTGCCAGGCTGGTCTCAAACTGCTGACCTTGAACGATCTGCCCCACTCAGCCTCCCAAAGTGCTGAGATTACAGACATGAGCTACTGTGCCCAGCCCTGTCTCTACTTTTTAAGAAGCATAGCTCTTCCAGGGTTGCAGAGGGGAGTGTATTAGTTCCCTGTGGCTGCTGTAACAAGTGACCACAAACTTAGTAGCTTAAAACAACAGAAATGAATTTTCTAACAGTTCTAGAGTCTAGAAGTCTGAATTCGGTAGCACTCGGCAGAAATCAATGGGTCAGCAGGGCTGAGCTCCTTCCGGTGCTCTGGAGATTATCCATTCCTGGCCTCTTCCAGCTTCTGTGGGTGCAGGCTTTCCTTGGCTTGTGGCTGCATCACTCAATCTCTGCTCCTGTTGGTCACACTGACTCTGTCTCTTCTGTGTGTAATTGTCCCTCTGTTTTCTTCTGATAAGGATACTCGTGATTGCATTTAGGCCATACCTGGCTAACCCAGGACAATCTCCTTATCTCAAACAACCTTAAATTAATCATATCTGCAAAGACTTTTTTTTTTCTTTTTGTCTGAGACAGTGTCTCTCTTTGTCACCCAGGCTGGAGTCCAATGGCATGATCAGAGCTCATGGCAGCCTCAAACTTCCAGGCTCAAGTCACCCTTCCACCTCAGCCTCCCAAGTAGCTGGGACTACAGGCATGCACTATCACGTCCAGCTAATACATACATACATACATACATACATATATATATATATATAAAATATAATACATATACATAATACATATGTATTTATATATAATACATGTATTTATATATAATACATGTATTATATATGTATTATATCATATATGTATTTATATATAATATATGTATTATATCATATGTGTATTTATATATAATATATGTATCATATGTGTATTTATATATAATATATGTATCATATATGTATTTATATATAATATATGTATTATATATGTACTTATATATAATGTATGTATTATATATGTACTTATATATAATGTATGTATTATATATGTACTTATATATAATATATGTATTATATGTACTTATATATGTATCATATATGTATTTATATATAATATATGTATTATATCATATATGTATTTATATATAATATATGTATTATATCATATATGTATTTATCTATTATATGTATTATATCATATATGTATTTATATATAATATATGTATTATATATGTATATATATGTGTGTGTATATATATGTATTTTTTTTTTGTAGACGAGGTCTCACTATGTTGCCCAGGCTGGTCTTGAAACCCTGGGCTCAAGCAGTCCTCCCACTTCAGCCTCTCAAAGTGCTGGGATTACAGCTGTGTGCCACCATGACCAGCCACACTTTTTTCAAATAAGATAACATTTGCAGGCTGGACACGGTGGCTCACTCCTGTAATCCCAACACTTTGGGAGGCTGAGGTGGGCAGATCACTTGAGGTCAGGAGATCGAGACTGTCCTGGCCAACATGGTGAAACCCTGTCTTTACTAAAAATACAAAAATTAGCTGAGTGCGGTGGTGCACGCCTGTAGTCCCAACTACTTGAGGGGCTGAGACATGAGAATCACTTTAACCCAGAGGCGGAGGTTGCAGTGAGCCAAGATCGTGCCACTGCACTCCAGCCTGGGTGACAGAGTGAGATTCCATCTCGAAAAATAAATAAATAAATAAATAAATAAATAAATAAATAAATAAATAAATAACATTTGCAAGTTCCAGGGAACAGGACCCAGATCTTTTTGAGAGGTGAGAGATATTTTTCAGACTACCATGGAGAGGAAGAAGAAAGAATAGTTCTGATGTTTCTGCTATTGTGCTCTTCAGAGAGCAGATGCCTAGACTCCAGTTCTTCCTCAGTGAGATTAGGGTTGAGATGGGAGTTTATTAGAGAAATTCCAGCATTGAACCCTCATCTGATGTGGGCCATGCTCTCTAGGGCATTCTGTTCATCTCTTAGGCTCCTGCTCTCATGAGGCACTCACACAGCCTCTCTCTGATGTGGCTCCACTTCCTCTACCAGGCAGACTTCCTGGGATACTCAGAATGTCTAGTATGTCTTTTTTTTTTTTTTTTTTGAGGTGGAGTTTTGCTCTTGTTTCCCAGGCTGGAGTGCAATGGCACAATCTCACCTCACTGCAACCTCTGCCTCCCGGGTTCAAGCAATTCTCCTGCCTCAGGCTCCCGAGTAGCTGGAATTACAGGCATGCGCCACCACATCCGGCTAATTTTGTATTTTTAGTAGACATGGGGTTTCTCCATGTTGGTCAGGCTGGTCTTGAACTCCCAACCTCAGGTGATCTGCCCACTTTGGCTAAGTGCTGGCATTACAGGTGTAAGCCATCATGCCCGGCTTAGTATGAGTATGTCTTAAGGCTCCCCTAGGTAATTCTATTATATAGCCGGGGTTGATAGATACTGGATTCAACAAGTAAGAGGTGATGATCTTGCCTAGAGATCTTTAGGGAGCAATGGAACAATGAGTCTTGGGTATTTCAGATGGACTGATGGGAGTAGGGCACATAGACGGCTCTGTCAAGTGATGGGCTGAGAGGCCATGTGCCATTTCTCATTGTGGGTGTTGTCAGTCCTCAGAGCAGTTGTTCACTCTCTGCTCTGAGCACCCCCATATCTCCTCTACAGCACTCAACATTTTATTTTAGTTTTGCTATCTATATAGATATGTGTCTGTCTATCTCCTGACCATCTCGCTATCTCTCCATCTGTCTATCATCTCTGTATCTCTCCTATTGATTTTGTTTCACTGGACAACCCTGATAATACACAGCCAATCCATAAACTGAGACAAAGAAAGCTCGGGCTGGATGCCATAGCTTGAGCCTGTAATTCCAGCATTTTTGGGAGGCTGAGGTGAGAGGATCACTTGAGGCCAGGAGTTTGAGACCAGTCTGGACAACATAGCAAGAAATAAAATATCTCCAAGAAAATAAAAATAAAAATTAGCCAAGCCCGGTAGTGCATGCCTGTAGTCCCAGCTACTCAGAAGGCTGAGGTGGGAAGATTGCTGGTGTCCAGGAGTTTGAGGTTGCAGTGAGCTGTGATTGCACTACAGCTCTCCAGCCTAGGTGACAGAGAAAGACCCAATCTCTAAAAAATAAAATTACAAAGAAAGGTTTGTTCACACCTCTAACATAATCTTGTAAAGATTTATATGCTCTTTGTTCTCCTCACTTAATAAAGTACAGGTTACCCTCCCACCCTCTCTATTCAAACTTAACAAAACCCATTTTTTTAAATAAAACTTTTATGATATTAGTCTTGACATGGAGTAGGCGTGCAGATTGGGATATAGAACAAAGAGGGGGATAAAAATAAAATAAGCCAATGTTTCCATTCTCAAAGAGTTAGTGGGAAAAATGGTTATGTTTTCAAATATCTATATGGCAGATTGTATTTTTCAAAAATAGCAGCAACAGTATTTCCTTTCCCATATGTTCTCCTGTAATGTGACTTTATCATTTTCTCAACAAGAAGTGGAGTTTAATTTTCCTTCCTATAAATCTGGTTGACCTTAGTTACTTGCTTAACCAATGCAATTCAGTGAATGTGACACTCTGGGCCTTCCAAAAATAGGTCAAAATAAACCTTGCAGATTCTGCTGGGGTCTCTTTGAAAGCTTGCTTGTAGGTTGTTCACTTTGGGAACCCAGCTGCAATGCTGTGAGAAGCCCAAGCCATGTGGAAAGGCAATATGTAAGCACACTGGGCAGTGGCTCTTGTTGAATTCTCAACCAATGGCCAGTGTCAATTGCCAGCCATGTGAGTGTGCCATCTTGGATGTCCACCTCAGCTCAGATGACTACAGCCCCAGCACATGAGAAAACTAAGTGAGAGTCCCCATTTGAGCCCTGTCAACCCAGAGAACCATGAACAATCAATAAATTGTTTTGTTTTGTTTTTTGAGACGGAGTCTCCCTGTGTCACCCAGGCTGGAGTGCAATGGTGCGATCTCAGCTTACTGCAACCTCCGCCTCCCGGGTTCAAGTGATTCTCCTGTCTCAGCCTCCCGAGTAGCTGGGATTACACATGCCCGCCACCACTCCCAGCTAATTTTTGTATTTTCAGTAGAAATAGGGTTTCACCACGTTGTTCAGGCTGGTCTCGATCTCCTGACCTTGTGATCTGCCTACCTCAGCCTCCCAAAGTGCTGGGATTACAGGTGTAAGCCACTGCGCTCGGCCAATAATTTTTTTTTTTTTTTAAGACAGAGTCTTGCTCTGTCACCAGGCTGGAGTGCAGTGGCACAATCTCGGCTAACTGTAGCCTACACCCCCCAGGTTCAAGTGATTCTCCTGCCTCAGCCTCCCAAGTAGCTGGGACTACAGGCATGTGCCACCAACCCAGCTAATTTTTGTATTTTTAGTAGAGACGGGGTTTTACCATACTGTCCAGAATGGTCTTGATCTCTTAACCTCGTGATCCACCCGCCTCGGCCTCCCAAAGTGCTGGGATAACTGGCATGAGCCACTGTGCCTGGCCAAATTGTTGTTTTAAACCACGTATTTTGGGGGTGATGTTTTTAGGTTTTTAGACTGTGATAGAGAATCAGAGCAATGTATAAAGAAGGCAGAAAATGGCAAGTATACAATAATTTCTAATTTTATAGGGACCTTAATTAAGACATAGAATGAGTTACCAGGATGTCAGGGGTGGGAGTTAGCTGCTCTGTCTTATTTTACCAAGCAGAGCCTGACCCTGGCAGGTGAATGGTTCTAAAAGGCGAACAGTGGCAGCACCGGAGGAGACACTGGGCTTCCTGATCCCAGTGCAGAGCTCTTATACTGACGCACACAGAGGAAAGTGAGCCAATAGCAGCCATCCACTCACTGAATTTAGCCCATATCTCCTTCAACCCTTCTGACAAGCAGATACCTCCTGCTGTATTAGTCTGTTTTCATGCTGCTAATAAAGACATACCCAAGACTGGGTAATTTACAAAGGAAAGAGGTTTAATGAACTCAGTTCTACGTGGCTGGGGAGGCTTCACAATCATGGCAGAAGACAAAGGACGAGCAAGGGTACGTCTTACATGGTGGCAGACAAGAGAGAGCGTGTGTGGGGGAACTCCCATTTGTAAAACTATCAGATCTCATGACACTTATTCAGTACCATGAGAACAGTATGGGGGAAACCACCCCCATGATTCAATTATCTCCACATGGCCCCACCCTTGACACCTGGGGATTATTACAATTCAAGATGAGATTTGGGTGGAGACACAGGGAAGCCATATCACCTACCATCCATCCCTTCCTCTCCAGTTTCATTATGCCACTGCCTCAGTTCAGGTTATTGCCATTTCTTGCATGGACTATTGCAGTAGCTTCCTAATCTGTCTGCCTGATTCCAATCTGCATTTCTTCCAACTCAACTTTCAACTTACCAGGCAGCCAGGTTGAAGGCTCTAAAATGGAAATCAGGTCACATTTCTCTCCTAATAACAGTTGTCAAAGCCTCCTCTTATAGGAAAGTGTTCAAATCTCCTAAATTAGCACCAAGATCTTCCTGTGGTCTAGCAGCTGCCTTCTTCCCAGCCTCAGTTCCCACTCCAGCCATAGCGGGACACTACATCCCAGGCTTCCCTTTCAGAATGCCTTTTCCCACTTCATCTTATTCTCTTCTAATGATACCTCAAAACTCCTCTCCATCATCTCCTTCCTGGGGAAATTTGATTTTATATTTGTTTTGAAAACAAATGCCTTGGCTGGGCTCAGTGGCTCATGCCTGTAATTCCAGCATTTTGGGATGCCAAGGCGAGTGGATCACCTGAGGTTGGGAGTTCGAGGTCAGCTGGCCAACATGGTGAAACCCCATCTCTACTAAAAACACAAAAATATGCCAGGCATGGTCGTGGGCACCTGTATTCCCAGCTACTTGGGAGGGTGAGGCAGGAGAATCACTTGAGCCCAGGAGGTGGAGGTTGCAGTGAGCCGAGATTGAGATTGTGCCACTGCACTCCAGCCTGGGCGACAGGAGTGAAACTCCATCTCAAAAAACAAGCAAATAAACAAAAACTGTCTTTACTTTCTGACATTTTTTCCTCTTTAAAATAAAGCAATGAGAGAACATGACTAATTCTGTGGTTGAATTTGTAAAATATGCAGTTCATCTGAAGGATGTTTCCCTAAATGTAAAGTTATATGGTTGGAATGCACTTATGCGAAAAATATATGCAATTCTAATGTTAAGAACATCATATTTCTTCATCATGAGCAGGAGGCTTTGGTGAAGCTTTCTGCCCTGCTGTTTAGGAACATGCTCGCACTTCTGGCTTAATTTGATGCAGAGTCATTGTGAGACAGTTTGGTAAGAAAATGCAACACCAATTAGCCCTTTCTCACATTTCAAGGTCTGAAATAAAGTTAATTAGATTTGCTCACAAATCTAAGAGTCCACAACAGTGTTTCCCAAAGGCCATTTGATAGAACACTGGTTTTAAGAGAAATAAGTGTCAAGAGTTCTATGATATAAATTGAGGAAGTATAGAGTTATGCAAGATTAAGTGATTTTTTTTTCCCTTGCAGAAAAATCTCAGAGGCTTTACTCTGCTATTATGCGTTGACTATCTCCTACAGGGCACTATGGTATGCAGAGTATCTGTACTTACTTGACCACCAGTGCCTTCTATTAGAGACCACCTTGCATCTCTCATGGTCTGTGGAATGTATTTTCAGAAAAACATGTTGTCTACTGAGATGGAAGGGATTGCTGCAAATACTGTGGTTATGACCTCACCCTTAAGGAAAAATAGATTTAGCTTCTATAAATGGGGAGGAAACACATACCCTCTTCGTTACCGTTTGCCACAAATTCTGACTTTTCAGAGAGCTACAGTGGCTGAAATCCTACGGGATGGCTGAACATAATTTACTGTGCATCATGTCTGTCTCTGAGTCAGGATACTTTATTCCAAGGAAGTATGTGGTGGGGATGTGCTCACAGGCTCTTGCTGTCTTTTGCTGGAACATTTTACTGGAGAGGTGACAAGAGAAGCATGAATGCCATGTAGGTACTTTGTGTATAGATGTGAGTGTATTCAGTGGGCCAGAAACAGAGGTGTGGGCTGATGGATGCCTGGACACGGCCCATGGTGTATGACAAAACCACATCTGAAATGCCTGACCTAGATACACTGGCTGACCAAAAAAGCCCAGAAAATCCTAAGGTCAAACACTTGGAATAAAAATTTTTTGGCTGGGTGCGGCGGCTCACACTTGTAATCCCACCACTTTGGGAGGCCAAGGTGGGTGGATCACGAGGTCAGGAGTTCAAGACCAGCCTAGCCAAGATGGTGAAACCCCGTCTCTACTAAATATACAAAAAATTAGCTGGGTGTGGTGGCTGGCACCTGTAATCTCAGCTACTCAGGGGGCTGAGGCCCAAGAATCGCTTGAACTGGGATGTGGGATGTGGAGGTTGCATTGAGCCGAGATTGCACCATTGCACTCCAGCCCTGGTGACACAGGAGTCTTGCTGCCTCAGCCTCCAGAGTAGCTGGGACTACAGGTGTACGCCACCACATCCAGCTAATTTTTGTATTTTTAGTAGACATGAGGTTTCACCATGTTGGCCAGGCTGGTCTTGAACTCCTAGCCTCAGGTGATCCTCCTAGCCTCAGCCTCCCAAAGTGCTGGGATCACAGGCATGAGCCACCGCACCCAGCCATAAAATTTTAAAACAAAAAGAAGGTAGCATTTCTCCCCTTTAATGTTCCCTCAACCTTACTCTTGACTATGTCTGTAAAGTAGAAGCTTTCCTTAAAGTGATAAAGAGGAGGGGGAAAACCCCCACATACATTCATACTACAGAGTTTGTATGTATATTTTCTCTTTTTCCTAAGATTTTAAAAAAATAGAATGCCTAGGGGAAAATATTTGAGCTAAGACTATTTTTGTCATACGCTTGACATTGGCATATGCAGTTATAAGGCTCCTGGGAAGTCACCCAGCAAACTCTGGGGAACAATGTCAAAGCAGAGGAACCTGGCTGTTCCATTAAGTAGGGGCCATCCCCTACTGAGTTTTTTATACTTTGACATTTTAAACTCACACAATAAAGCCAAAACAAGCATTACAGAACAATGTAACATAAACATAGGATGTAAGTTTTGCCCTTAATCTTGAGTGCGCACATGTGTCCTTGTCAGTTTATGAGCTTGCCTTGGCCAGAAAAATACCAAATATAGGGATCCTCCTCCTTCAGCGAAGACATTTGTTTTAGGAAACCTTGAATGTTTATTAATGCGAGCACCTTTTTATATTCAGATAATGTTTTGTAGTTGACAAAGTGCTTTCAACATGTCATCTCATTTCCTTCTGACCACAATACCATGAGGCTTAAGGAAACCACTAATATACATTAGTATATTCATTATAGCATTCTTAGAAAAGAATGGCTTTAAAGAGTACTTATTTGATAATATAACACATATTTGTTGGCAGTCATAATATGAATGAGCCCTGTACCAAGCTCTTGGTACTTCATAGCATAGAAGTTACACACATTTACAAGACTGAAGGAGAAAAAAAAAAGATAAATATGTAAAATATATGTTTTACATAGTGATAATAGGGAAGCAATAAAAATTGTGTAATGGCTGGAGAAAGATGGTGATAAAGTGGGAGCAACCTTAGATGGGTGTGTCAGTGAAGACTTCTCTAAAGAGAGTGGAGACTGAGCATGGTGACTCACATTTGTAATCCCAGCACTTTGGGACACTGAGGCAAGAGGATCGGTTGAGCCCAGGAGTTCAAGACTAGCCTGAGCAACACAGAGAGACCCCACCTCTACAAAAGATTAAAACAATTAGCAAGGCATGGTGGCACGTGCCAGTAGTCCCAGCTACTCAGGAGGCTGAGATGAGAGGATCACTTGAGCCCAGGAATTGGAGGATGTAGTGAGGTATGATCATGCCGTTGCACTCCAGCCTGGGTGACAGAGTAGGGCCCTGTCTCATAAATAAAAAATATAAAAATTTATAAGAGAGCTGAGACCAAAATAATGAGAGAAAACTAACCATCCTTTGGGTGGTAGCTGGAGGGAGATTTGTGTCAAGGGACATCTATTTGAACAAGGACATATTTACATGTCAATGGCTTGTACCCTTGTCCTGCAATGGTAGCAGTAGAGGTGGTGGGAAGAGGTCAGAACTGGAATATATTTTGAAGGTAGATGTGACAAGATTTACTGATGTGGGGTGTGAGAAATAAAGAAGCCAAAGATGATGTCAAGGATTTTAGGCTAAGCATCAGACGATCGAGTTGCCACTTACTGAAATATGGAAAATTAGGAGTTTGACCTGAGATGTCCATGAGAGACTTAAGTGAAGATATTGCAAAGGTAGATATGTGCAGCTGAAATTCCAGGGAGAGGCCCAGGATGCAGATGGGCCTCTGCATACTGCATATAGATCAGTATGCAGATTGTATGTAAGCCACATGGCTGGATAAATTCACCAAGGGAATGAATGAAGATCATTGGAGAAGGAGAGAGGCCCATTGAGCCCCGGGCCCTCCATGGTTTAGAGGTTTTCCTAAACCTTGGAATGGTGTTTCAAGGAGGAAAGAGGAATCGATTTTGTCAATGCTGCCCATCATCAAGTCAGAATAAGACTGAAAATTGGTCCATGCATTTAGCAACGTGGAGGTCAGTAATGATATTGACACAAATAGCATTTGTGGAAGAGTGGGAATGAAAATATGATGGAGCAGTGGGATGTATTAGTCTGCTCTCACACTGCTGATAAAGACATACCTAAGACTGGGTAATTTATATATATATAAAAAAAGAAGTTTAATGGACTCACAGTTGCACGTGGCTGGAGAGACCTCACAATCATGGAGGAAGGTGAAAGGCACATCTTACATGGCAGCAGGCAAAGAAGGAATGAAAGAGCCAAGCAAAAGGGGAAATCCCTTATAAAATCATCAGCTCTTGTGAGACTTGTTCACTACCATGAGAACAGTGTAAGAGAAACCACCCCCACAATTCAATTATCTCCCACTGGGTCCCTCCCACAAAACGTGGGAAATATGGGAGCTGCAATTGAAGATGAAATTTGGGTGGGAACACAGCCAAACCTTAACCATGGGGTTGAGATGAAAAAAAATCAGAGACTATAAGTAAAGACCCCTCTTTTCAGGAGTTTTGTTATAAAAAAGAAAAAACACTGGTATATTTATTTCTTCAATAACTGTTGGGTGAGGAATGAGTGGTGAAGTCACCTTTTGGCCAGATTTCAGGCACCACAGAGAAGGCCCTGGGTGGACTGCTTTTATGACAAGACTGGTTGGCCTTAGAGGGAAGTTCCCTTAGAGGGAAGTCACAGGGAGATGAGGTTACATTAGAAACCAAGAAATATACATAGAATTAAGGGAACAACAAGGTCTATTGTTGCACTGGGGAAGTAGCAGCAGTGGGAAGCCACCATCCCCGGCAGCCTGAGAGAGAAAGAGAGGAAGCCCAGTGAGAGTTGGAGACAGGAATCAGAAAAGAAAATCCTCTACAAATATACTGAAAGGCATCTAATGAAGTAATTATTTATAGAGTAGTAAGGAGGGTTACAAGAACCAATAAGAGGTGCTAAGGCATCCTAGGGCTACCTTATTTATTGAGTTGGTGCCCAATAAACCATTAAGAGAATTTCTGGAACACTGTACTGAAACCTGTCATTTTGGATCAAGGTCCAAGCAGGGTCTCTCCTAGCCCCTTTATCCCAATTCTAACCATAGCAGGTGTGTGAGAGTAAGGGATTGGAATGACCTCTGTTGAGGACTGGCTTGGAGCTTATAAAGGCCGTACGCTTGCACTAACTTTGAATCTGGCTTCATGGGAGAACAGAGGGAACAGAGAAATTGAACCCAAGAAAGAAGAGCCCAGAACCCAGAAAGGTTGATGATGGAGTTGACTGGAGAGGAAGAGGCAAGCCCAGACATCACTTTTATTGTCTGTTATTTTGCAAACGGCAATTTTGTCAGAGGCATTCGAACCAGAGTGACTTCATCTTGAGTGAGGGTTAGAAAAAAATGCGACTGGGACTTGCTGGACTGCATTCCCAGAAAGTTAGGTATTCCTGGCCAGGCATGTGGGTCATGCCTGTAATCCCAGCACTTTGGGAGGCCGAGGTGGGCAGATTACAAGGTCAGGAGTTGGAGACCAGCCTGGCCAACATGGAGAAACTCTGTCTCTACTAAAAATACAAAAATTAGCCGGGCGTTGTGGCAGGTTCCTGTAGTCCCAGCTGCTCGGGAGGCTGAGGAAGGAGAACTGCTTGAACCCAGGAGGCGGAGGTTGCAGTGAGCCAAGACTGCACCACTACACTCCAGCCTGGGTGACAGAGCGAGACTCCGTCTCTGAAAAACAAAAACAACAACAAAAAGTTAAGCATTCCTAGCCTCTAGATGTTCATGGTTAAGGGAACAGATTGATAATGTTTACTAAACAGACCCAGACATAAGGGTGTCCTGATATCCCGCTGTCTTGAGAACAGAAGCATTCCTAATTTTGCTTTAAAGATAATAATATCGATTCTTGCAAAATATAGTCATTAAGAAAATCCATTACCACAAACCCTTGTAGCAGAGCACATCTCCCCATAATCTTTAAAAATTTTTTTTTATCCTGTGTATAAGCAAGTATTGTACCTAGGGTGGATGTGTTCCTCCTCTTACTTTCGGGAACGTCCTACTCTGTATATGGAGTAGCCATTCTTTTATTTCTTTACTTCCTTAATAAACTTGCTTTCATTTTACTCTATGGACTCGTCCTGAATTCTTTGTGTGTGAAATCCAAGAATGCTTTCTTGGGGTATGGATCCGGACCCCTTTCCGGAAACAATTTTGCCTTCTAAACATGACCCAATTAGAGTTCTGGAACTTTGCCTAGGGCTTAGAGTTAAATAGGATTTCACTATTCACTTAAATTTACATAACATATTAGCATTTTAAAGAGACTTGAACTTAAGTGATTATATTTGATGACCCACATAACTCTGTACTAGTGAGAGAGGGATCTGTCATCCCATTTAACATATGAGGATTTATTCCTTTCCTCAATAGATTGCCATAGAGTACCTATTAAGAGCCTTGGCTGGGCGCTGTGGCTCAAGCCTGTAATCCCAGCACTTTGGGAGGCCAGGGTGGGCAGATCACCTGAAGTCAGGAGTTTGAGAACAACCTGGCCAACATGGTGAAACCCTGTCTCTACAAAAAATAAAAAAATTAGCCAGGGGTGAGGGCAGGTGCCTGTAATCTTAGCTACTTAGGAGGCTGAGGCAGGAGAATCACTGGAACCCACGAGGCGGAGGTTGCAGTGAGCCGAGATCACACCAGTGCACTCCACCCTGGACGATAGAATGAGACTTCTAAAAAAAAAAAAAACGCCTCACACGGTTTTAGGTGCTATTAATACAGTAAGAAACAAATAAACAAAGCTCATTGCCCTTGATGGACTTTAAAAAATGATCCAAGTATATGCTGTCTGTAAAAGATACACCCTAGACTCAAAGACACAAATAAGCAAATCAAAGGATGAAAAAGATACACTATATGAACACTAGCCAAAGAGGTCTGGAATGGCTACACTAATAGCAGACAAAACAGACTTTAAGGCTGGGGTCAGTGGCTCGCGCTTGTAATCCCAGCATGTTGGGAGCCCGAGGCAGGCGGGTCACCTGAGGTCATCAGGAGTTCAAGACCAGCCTGGCCAACATGGTGAAACCCCGTCTCTACTAAAAATACAAAAAAAAATTAGCCAGGTGTGGTGGCATGCACCTGTAATCCCAGCTACTCAGGAGGCTGAGGCAGGAGAATCGCTTGAACCTGGGAGTCAGATGTTGCAGTGAGCTGAGATCGTGCCACTGCACTCCAGCCCAGGTAACAGAGCAAGACTCCATCTCAAAAAAAAAAAAAAAAAAAAAAGACTTTAAGACAAAAGTAGTTACTAGGGCAAATAAGGACATTTTACGATGATAAAAGGATCAATTCATCAAGAAGATATGGCAATTATAAACACTTAGGCACCTAATAACAGAGTTCTGAAATACCTGAGGCAAAAAACTGAGAAAATATAGGACAAAAATAGATTTACCAATAAAAGTGGGAGATGTGATTACCCACTTTCAATAATGAATAGAACAACCAGGCAGAAGATCAAAGAAGCAAAGAAATAGGAACTGGAAGAGCTTTGCAAACCACCTAAAACTCTCTACCCAACAATACCAGAACACACATTCTTCTCAAGTACACATTCTCAGGAGAGGCCATACATTAACACATAAAGAAGTCTCCATAATTTTTAAAAGATTAAAATGCACAGTATGTTATCCAACCACATGGAGGTCAAGGCTACAGTGAGCCCTGATTGCACCATTGCACTCTGGTCTGGGTGACAGAGCAAGACCTTGTCTCAGAGAAAGAAAAAAAAATGAAAAGGTGGCCACATAATAGAAAAATATAATTGCAAATTATATATCTGGTAAGGGACTTGTATCCAGTATGTATAAAGAATTCTTATAACTTCACAATAAAAGACAATCCATTTAAAACATAGGTAGAGGACTTGAATAGAGATTTCTCCGAAGAAGACATACAAATGGCTAATAAGCACATGAGAAGATACTCAGCTAGTCTGGCCAACATGGTGAAACCCTATCTCTATTAAAAATACAAAAGAGCCCAGGTGCAGTTGCTCTTGCCACGAATCCCAGCACTTTGGGAGACTGAGGCGGGCAGATCCCCTGAGGTCGGGAGTTCAAGACCATCCTGACCAACATGGAGAAACTCCGCCTCTACTCAAAATACAAAATTAGCTGGGCATGGTGGCACATGCCTGTAATTCCAGCTACTTGGGAGGCTGAGGCAGGAGAATTGCTTGAACCCGGGAGGTGGAGGTTGCAGTGAGCCAAGATTGCACCATTGCACTCCAGCCTGGGCTACAAGAGCAAAACTCTGTCTCAAAAAAATAATAATAATAAAAATAAAACCATAAAAATACAAAAAAAAATTAGCCGGGCATGGTTATGATGCCTGTAATCCCAGCTACTCCGGAGGCTGAGGCAGGAGAATTGCTTGAATGCAGGAGACAGAGGTTCAAAACCAGCCTGGCCAACGTAGTGAAACTCGGTCTCTACTAAAAATACAAAAATTAGCTGGGTGTCGTGGCAGGTGCCTGTAATCCCAGCAACTCAGGAGGCTGAGGCAGGAGAATCTCTTGAACCTGGAAGGCAGAGGTTGCAGTGAGCTGGGATCGTGCCATTGCACTCCAGCCTGGGCAACAAGAGAGAAACTCCATCTCAAAAAAAAAAAAAAGTAAAAAAAGAAAAGTTTGACAGCCCTTCAAATACTGCCAGGTTCCATGATGGCCCTGGATCCTGCATTGAAGAAACCATATGGGCAGATCCCAAGCCATCACAAACAACATATAATGCACAAGAAGGAAAACTCTGTTGCTGTAAGCCAATGAGATTTCAGGGTTGTTGCTGCAACATAACCTGGTGAAAGCTGACCAACAGCCCAGAGAAAGATGCTCAATCCATTTCAAGGCATAGAGAAGTTCCTGGATCATAATAAGGGTTCAACAGTGTTTATCACTGCAAATATACTCTGACTTTCAACATATTAGGTTGGTGCAAAAGTAATTTCAGCGTATTAGGTTGGTGCATTAAAAGCAATGGCAAAAACCGCAATTACTTTTGCACCAACCTAATAACTTCTCAATTTGCACTCACTCAATTTAAATGAAAAGCCTTTTCCTTGGATCCTTGAAAACATTCTGTCCTAGAACATCATCAGGCTAAGGATCGGAAGGCACGTGTTTCTGCCCTAGCTCTGCCCCATGACTCTGGTCACAAGGCTTGCTTTTTCTGGGGCTCTGTTTCCTCGTAGACAATTACCAAGGTTCCTTCCAGCTCAAAGAAGCTTCTGAGTCTACAGACAAACAACTACTAGAATCTTCCATGTCAGTCAACAAATGTTAGCACCATCAGTCATGAAGCTGGGTGATTTGGGGACCTCAGCTTCTTCATCCTTTTTTCCCTTTACAGGATTTATGTCAGGCTTTACCCACTGTCCATTTTCAAGGCAATGTCATTTTTTTAATAGGTTCCTACAGCAAAGCACAGTGTTTTTATTTTTGTTTTTCTAAAATTAAGTTGGGTCACAAAACTGTTAGAGGAAAAAAAAGTGGTTTCCTAGAGAAGGGAGAATGCTTTATGGGGGTTATAAAAAATCTTTGGCAGCTTGGCACGGTGGCTCAGTCTTTCCCAGCACTTTGGGAGGCCGAGGTGGGCAGATCACCTGAGGTCGGTGGTTCGAGACCAGCCTGACCAACATGGAGAAACCCCGTCTCTACTAAAAATACAAAATTAGCGGCCGGGCGCGGTGGCTCACGCCTGTAATCCCAGCACTTTGGGAGGCCAAGGCGGGCGAATAACGAGGTCGGGAGATGGAGACCATCCTGGCTAACACAGTGAAACCCCGCCTCTACTAAAAATACAAAAAATTAGCCGGGCATGGTGGCGGGCGCCTGTAGTCCCAGCAACTCGGGAGGCTGAGGCAGGAGAATGGCATGAACCCAGGAGGCGGAGCTTGCAGTGAGCCGAGATCACACTACTGCACTCCAGCCTGGGCGACAGAGCAAGACCCCGTCTCAAAAAAAAAAAAAATTAGCTGGGCATGATGGCACATGCCTGTAATCCCAGCTATTCGGGAGGCTGAGGCAGGAGAATCACTTGAACCTGGGAGGCGGAGGTTGTGGTGAGCCAAGATCACACCATTGCACTCCAGCCTGGGGAACAAGAGTGAAACTTCGTCTCAAAAAAAAAAAAGAAAAAAATTGGCTAACCAAGTATGTCTTTAACTTATAGGACTAAATAAAAAACCAGGGCATCATCGAAGTAGAAATCTGAAATGCTGTGGTTGGCAGAGCTCTGGACTGAGAACTAAAGTCCTGGATTCCA
The DNA here is from genome assembly GCF_000001405.40 of Homo sapiens. Taxonomy (NCBI): domain Eukaryota; kingdom Metazoa; phylum Chordata; class Mammalia; order Primates; family Hominidae; genus Homo; species Homo sapiens. Next base: position 63,832,539 of record NC_000007.14, read on the forward strand.
GCTCAGTTTTTTTGTCATTAGTCAGCCAGGTGACCTTGGGCAATCACTCGATTTCTCTAGGTTTCGATTTCCCTGTGTGGGAGCAATAAAGGATCTCCAAAGTCCAGTCAATCAATCAAACCATCAAATTAGATAGTGGTGATGATAACATGACTCTGTTATGATACTCAAAGCTGTGGAATTGTGTACTGTGAGAGGGTAAATATTATGGTATGTAAATTATATCTCAATAAAGTTGTTCATACAAAACCATCATGTCAAAGAGCTTACAGTCATGTGAGCATGGAAGAAACTATGCTAAACAAGTCAGTAAGGCCACGTGCAGTGGCTCACGCCTGTAATCCCAGCACTCTGGGAGGCTGAGGCAGGCGGATTACAAGGTCAGGAGTTTGAGACCAGCCTGACCAACATGGTGAAACCCTGTCTCTACTAATAATACAAATATTAGCCAGGCGTGATGGTGTACACCTGTAATCTCAGCTACTCAGGAGGCTGAGGCAGGAGACTTGCTTGAACCCAGGTGGCGGAGGTTGCAGTGAGCTGAGATCATGCCATTGCACTCCAGCCTGTGTGACAGAGTGAGACTCCATCTCAGAAGGAAAAAAAAAAGGGTCAGTAAATTACTCAGCATATTAGGTGGCAATAAGTGCTTTCTGGGGAAAAGTGGAGCAAGGAATGGGGACATGGAATGACAGCTAAGTGGGAGACAGTTATTAAAAGATGGTGGTCAGGGAAGTCCTCACTGAAGTGACATTTGGGTAAAGACTGGAAGGAGATGAGGGAGTGAGTCAGGAATATGCAGGGAACAGCATTCCAAGCAGAGGGAACAGCAAATGAAAAGACGGAGGCAGGAGAGAGCCTGGAGTCCTTAATGAGGAACAAGAATGTGTGGCTGCATAGAGTGAAATATGGGAAAGGAGTAGAAGATGAGATTGGAGGATGACGTGGGGTAGAAGGAAGAGTGGGAGGACCATGTGGGAAGTTGCAGGAACTAACTTCAGCTTTATTCTCAGTGGAAAGCAGCAGTGGGTTTTGACCTGAGAGCCAATTTGATCAGAGGTTTTTATTTTTTGTTTTTTTTTTTATTTTTAGTTTTTTTTTTTAGAGTTGGGGTCTTGCTCTGTCACCCAGGATGGAGTGCAGTGGTGCAATTATAGCTCATTGCAGCCTCCAACTTCTGGCCTCTAGTGATCATCCCACTTCAGCCTCCCAAGTAGCTGGGAATACAGGTGTGCACCATGACACCCAGATACTTTTATTTTCATTTTTAGATTCGTAGAGATGGGGTCTCACTATGTTGTCCAGACTGGTCTCGAATTTCTGGCCTCAAGCAATCCTCCTGTCTTAGCCTTCCAAAGTGCTAGGATTACAGGTGTGAGACACCACACCTGATCCTGACCTGTGTTTTATGGGATCTTTCTGGCTGCAGAAGAGAATGGACTGAAGAGGGGCAAAAGTAGAATAGGGAGAGCAAATAGGAGACTATTGCAATTGCCCAAGCTCAAAAAGATGAAGTGATTTACCCAAAACGTCCAGAAGGAGTGTGGGGCAGCTGGCCTCTAGCAATGGGCCCGGTGAACCATAGTCACACCCTTGTGGAGTCTCCTCCCATAGTGAATTGATGCTGGCCTCTGACTTGCTTTAAACAGTAGAAGGAAGTCATGCTCTGTGATACCTGAGCACAGGCATCTACCATTTTTGCAATTGTGGGGGTGCTCTGAGCTGCCATGTTGAAGTCCAGCTATCCTGGGAGAGGGACCATGAGGGAGAGGCCCCATGGATAGGAGAGGTTATCCTAATGGGGCTTCCAGGTGACTTCAGGCCCAATGACCAACGAGGTGGCTGCAGTCACCCAAAAGCCAGACCCACAGAACTGCCTGGATAACCCACATAATTAAAAAGTAACAAGTGGTGGTCTTTGCTTTAAGCCTCTGAAGTTTTTTGTTTGCAGCAATAAGCAATCGAAACAGAAAGCTAACTGCATAACATCAAATAATTGACTTTATTAATATTGCTAATAAATTGGCCTAGCAGGTGTCACATACAAGCACTCACAAGGCTCCTTATTTTATGATAAGGGACTAGAGATTTGCAGTGCTTTTACTTGGTAATTTTCCCAGATTTTTGATTCCGGAATGACTATAAACATTATTTGCCCCTTATGCACTGTTTAAAAAACTGGTTCTACCCACGATTTATGGGCAAACTTCCTTTTTCATCTTGTATACAATATTTTCTGCCTTATGCTTGGTGTTCATTAAACAGATGCCCTGTTCTATATAAAGGGTAAAATGAACTAGGCTTAAAAGCCATTTTAAAGGGGCTTATTATGTTTTGTTGTGTTGTTTTGAATCTGTGGGCACTTGGGCACTGAGTTCGTAATGTGGAAAAACAAACCAGGGACTGCTGGGGGAAAAAAATGGTACATTGAACACATATGTGTAATTTTGCTCTATTTTGAAACTCCTTAATCCATAATTTATAGTCTGAATTGTATTAATCCCATAATCCATATGTTGAAGACTTAATCCCCAGTATCTCAGAATGTAACCATATTTGGAGGTGCTTTTAAAGAGTTAAAGTGGGCAGGGCATGGTGGCTTATGCCTGTAATCCCAGCACTTTGGGAGGCTGAGGCGGGCAGGTCACTCTAGGCCAGGAGTTCGAGACCAGCCTGACCAACATGGTAAAACCTTGTCTGTACTAAAAATACAAAAATTAGCTGGGTGTGGTTGCACATGCCTGTAATCCCAGCTCCTCAGGAGGCTGAGGCATGAGAGTCACTTGAACCAGCTAGGTGGAGGTTGCAATGAGCCAAGATCATGCCCCTACACTACAGCCTGGGTGACAGAGAGAGACCCTATGTCAAAAGAATAAGAATTTTAAAAATCAATAAACAATAAAGAGTTAAAATGATTAAGATGAGGCTGTTAGGATGGGCCTTAATACAATCTGACTGTTGTCCTTGTAAGAAGAGGAAATTTGGGCTCACAAAGGGATACTGGGGATGTGTGAAAACAGAAGAGAGACCATGTGAAGACATAGAGTGAACATGACCATCTGTAAAGCCAAGAAGAGGGGCCCTAGAATCAAATCAACCCTGCCAGTGCCTTAACATGGAACTTTCAGCCTCCAAAACTGTGAGATAATTAATTGATATTGTTTAAGCCACCCAGTTCATGGTATTTTGTTAGGGCAGCAGCCATAGCATATTAATACACAGAAAAGGAATTTTTATTTATTTATTTATTTTTGAAATGGACTCTTGTTCTGTTGCCCAGGCGGAGTGCTATCTTGGCCCACTGCAACTTCCACCTCCCAGGTTCCAGCGATTCTCTTGCCTCAGCCTTCTGAGTAGCTGGGACTTCAGGTGCATGCCACCACGCCTGGCTAATTTTTTGTATTTTTTAGTAAAGACGGGGTTTGACCGTGTTAGCCAGGATGGTCTTGATCTCCTGATCTTGTGATCCGCCCACCTCGGCCTCCCAAAAGTGCTGGGATTACAGGTGTGAGCCACTGCACCCGGCTGAAAAGGAATTTTTTAAAGGGCCCTGTTTTGGTTATCTCTTGCAGTGCAACAAACTACCCAAAACTTACTAACTTAATTTTATTTTGCTAATGATTTGTGATCAGGAAATCAGGAATAACTCAGCTGAACAGCTTGATATTTTTTTCATATTGTATCAGCTGGAGTTGCCTAAGTAGACATAGAGATTTTATTTCTATGGGAGCTCCCTCACATGGCTGAGGTCTTCTGGGAGTTCAGCCTTGGCCTGTTGGAAAAAGCTCTTTATCTACCTCCACATGAGCCTCCTCATGGCTGCTTGGGCTTCCTCACAGTGTGGATTTCAAGAATGAGTGTCCCAAGGGAGAGGAGGCAGAACTGTAAGCTGCCTTAAGTCTCTTAAGGCCTGGTTTTAGAAAATGGTCAATTGTCCTTTCTGCTGTATTCTATTGGATGAGCAAGCACTAAGGCCAGTTCAGATTAGGAGAAGGGGATTAGACCCCACCTCAAAATTGGAGGAATAGCAAAGAATTACTGGGCAGCTTTACTATTACTATAATGTTAATTTTAGATTCAGGGTTACATATGCAGGTTTGTTATGTGGGTATATTTCCTGATGCTGAGGGTTGGGCTTCTATTGATCCTGTCACCCAAATAGTGAACATTGTACCCAATACAAAAGTTTTCAATCCTTGGCCCCTTCCTTCCCTGCTTTTGGAGTCTTCAGTGTCTCTTCTTCCCATGTTTATGTTCCTATGTACCCAGTGTTTAGTTCCTGCTGATAAGTGAGAGCATGTGGTATTTGGTTTTCTGTTTCTGCATAAATTCACTTTAGATAATGGCTTCCAGCTGCATCCATGTTGCTACAAAGGACATGATTTTGTTCTTTTTTATGTTTGCATCATATTCCATGGTGTGTATGTACCACATTTTGTCCATCCAATCCACTGTTGATGGGCGCCTCGGTTGATTCCATGTCTTTGCTACTGTGAATAGTGCTGCAATGAACATATGGGTACAGGTTTCTTTTTGGTAGAATGATTTATTTTCCTCTGGATATATACCCAGTATTGGGATTGCTGAGTGGCATGGAAATTCTATTTTTACTCCTGAGAAACCTCCAAACTACTTTCCTGAGGCTAAACTAATTTACATTCTGCAGACAGCTTTGATACTATGGGGATAATTTCACAAAGATGGGGCAAACAGAGGAGGAAACAGCAAAAATAAAATTTTGGAAGAGAGCTAAGAAACAAACTCATTTAGAAGACCCAAGAAAGCCAAATCTTAAATTGTTAGAGAGGAAAAGAGTAGAGTTAAGTCAATATACATCACAGTATCTTCAAAATGCTCAGGAATGGAGCCTCCAAGTGCTCCTGGAACTGAAAGTGCAATACTAAAATAAAAAATGGGTTGTCAGCTGTTTAAGGAACACCCCATCCCCAGTCCAGCTGCCGAAAGTCTATCTCAACACTCTACCCTCTAAACAGCAACGGGGATATTGAGCCTCTGAAGATCCAAGCTTCAGTCTCCGTAATGGAATGCATCAGCTGTAGACAGGAATGACTTACTCTAATAGCTACGTTAGTATTAAGTGACCACATATATCAATTGAATGATGAAACACCACCACCCCACCTTCTTTTCCCTGTACCCCCTATTTCTTTTTGTAGAGAGGTGGCAACTAGGTCTTTGTAACCTCTAGGAATAAGTTCTACCAAGTCTTTTCTGGGAGGCTGACCAGTCATGGTCAGCTAAGAGCTAAGTTATGAGAATACTGACGTAAGACATGCACTTCACTGGCAGGGATGCACAAAGTGAGTGGGTTCCTCTTAGGCTCAGAGGGTCCCACATCAGGTTTTTTTTTGTTTTTTTTTGTTTTTTTTTGACACAGAAGTTTGATCTTGTTGCCCAGGCTGGAGTACAATGGTGCGATGTCGGCTCACTGCAACCTCCGTCTGCTGGTTTCAAGTGATTCTCCTGTCTCAGCCTCCCAAGTAGCTGGGATTACAGGCACGTGCCACCACACCTGGTAAATTTTTTGAATTTTTAGTAGAGACGAGGTTTCACCATGTTGGGCAGGCTGGTCTTGAACTCCTGACCTCAGGTGATCCGCTGCCTTGGCCTCCCAAAGTGCTGGGATTACAGGCGTGAGCCACCACGCCAGGCCAACACACTGGCTTTTTTGTTCCCTTCACTTCAAATATGCAGAGCACTAAAGATAATCAAACACTTGAGGAAGATGTCTAATATGAAAGATATAATATTTTTTATTTTTTATTTATTCATTTTATTTTATTTATTTATTTTTTCTGAGACAGAGTCTCACTCTGTTGCCCAGGCTGGAGTGCAGTGGCGAGATCTTGGCTCACTGCAAGCTCCACCTCCTGGGTTCACGCCATTCTCCTGCCTCAGCCTCCTGAGTAGCTGGGACTACAGGCGCCCACCACCACGCTCAGCTAATTTTTTTTTTTTTGTATTTTTAGCAGAGACAGGGTTTCACCGTGTTAGCCAGGATGGTCTTGATCTCCTGACCTTGTGATCCAGCCGCCTCAGCCTCCCAAAGTGCTGGGATTACAGATGTGAGCCACCACACCTGGCCATGAAAGATATAATAAACCCATGCATAGAAAAATAGAAATTGGAGGAAACAGGAGCTATATAGGAAGAAGATAACTTAAAAACAAATCAGTAACAACGACAACAAAATCAACTATCATTTCAACTGGCCAAAACCAAAACAATTTAAGCAACAAAATAAAAAGCTTTTATACCTTGATTTACAATCCAAGGTGTAAAATAAGTAGCTATGTGTCCGTAATGATAAAAATAAGTGATTGTGGCCAGGAGCAGTGGCTCACACCTGTAATCCCAGCACTTTGGGAGGCTGAGGCAGGCGGATCACGAGGTCAGGATTTCGAGACCAGCCTGGCCAATATGGTGAAACTCCATTTCTACTAAAAATACAAAAATCAGCCAGGCGTGGTGGCATGTGCCTGTAATCCCAGCTACTCAGGAGGCTGAGGCAGAAGAATCACTTGAACCCAGGAGGTGGAGGTTGCAGTGAGCTGAGATCATGCCACTGCACTCCAGCCTGGGCAACAGAGTGAGACTCCATCTCAAAAAAAGAAAAAAGTGGTGGTAGGGTGGATGGGGACCGTGGGGCCTGTAACTTACTAGGAGAGAGGACAGGTTGCTTTCATATGGCCATACTTATATTCTTTTTGAAACACATTTTAAAAGGAGAACCACATCATAAATGAATCACATTTATTCATGATCTTGATTTGCATGGCTTAGTGATACTCAAATTTAGTACCATTGCCTAGAACATACTAAATGCTCAATAAGTACCCCTTGCTGAAAAACACTATTATTAACATTCACACAGTCAATGTTTTTTGAGCACATACTAAATGCTGGAGCTGCTATGGTAAATAAGACCAGTGTGGGCTAGGCACCATGGTGCATGCCTGTGATCCTAGCACTTAGGGAGGCCAAGGTGGGAAGATGGCTTGAGCTCAGGAGTTTGATACCACCCTGGCCAATATGGTGAAATCCTGTCTCTACAAAAATTAGCCGGGCATGATGGCTTGTGCCTATAGTCCCAGCTACTTGGGAGGCTGAAGTGGGAGGACTCTTGAGCCTAGGAAGTCGAGTCTGCAGTGAGCAGTGATTGAGACCATGTCTCCAACAACGACAACGAAAAAGATCAATGTGAGACCTCAAGGAGATTAAATGCTGCTGAGAGAAACAGGCAAAAAAATAAAGACAAATGAATAAATGACAGATTGCAGTTATGTGCTTTAAAGGAAATAAGCAAAAATTGCTGAGGTGATGAAGGAAAACATCTAGGGAAAGTTTCTTAATATGAGAACTGTTCCCTTCATTTATAAATTGTTTTTTATCGAATCTATTTATTTATTTATTTGAGACAGAGTCTCACTCTGTTGCTCAGGCTGGAGTGCAGTGGCACAATCTTGGCTCACTGAAACCGCCACACCTGGGTTCAAATGATTCTCATGCCTCAGCCTACTGAGTAATTGGGATTACACACATGTGCCACCATGCCCAGCTAACTTTTTTGTATTTTTAGTAGAGACGAGGTTTTGCCATGCTGGCCAGGCTGGTATCAAACTCCTGGCCTCAAGTGATCCACCCACCTCAGCCTCCCCAAATGTTGGGATTACAGGCGTGAGCCACCATGCCCAGCCTATAAATTATTTTTATATATACTAGACCAGTGCTGGTTTAAAGGACTAAATCATACTCTGGTTATGTTTGTTTGTTGTTTGTTTGTTGAATTTAGGTCTTGCTGTGCTGCCTAGGCTGGTTTTCAATTCCAGGGCTCAAACTACTGTCCTTTCTCATTATCCTGAGCAGCTGGGATTACAGCCACCCTCTCCTGCCAAAATTACTAAATTAGATACAATTGAGTTATCTGTTTATTTTAAAATCCATTAAGCTATAAATAGGCTAGGTGTGGTGGCTCACGTCTGTAATCCCAGCACTTTGAGAGGCAGAGACGAGAGGATCACTTGAGGTCAGGAGTTCAAGACCAGCGTGGCCAAGATGGTGAAACCCCGTCTCTACTAAAAATACAAATAGTAGCGAGGTGTGGTGGCAGGTGGTGTAATCGCAGCTACTTGGGAGGAGGCTGAGGCAGGAAAATTGCTTGAACCTGGGAGGCAGACGTGGCAGTGAGCTGAGATTGGGTCACTGCTCTCCAGCCTTGGTGACACAGGGAGACTCCCTTTCAAACAAACAAAAAAACCTATAAATGAAAGATGACATAGTTGCTAAAATTTTCTTCTGCTTATTTATCTATAATTTTGTTTCAGTTAGTAAGATAAATCATTGGTAATTTCTTTAAAGTTTTTAAACAGATGGTTATAATGCAACATTCCATTACTTGTAGCAACATGTTGCAAATGTAAGTACTAGATCAAATACTAAGCTTGACCATCCTTCAGGAAAAAAAAAAAAAAGCCATGCAATTTTGATAGTTCCTGTATAATCCCAGGCAACAAATCCCAGACTTCTGGATTTAATGGGCCAGTGAGGAAAAAATTCAGAGTGGGAGTTGAAAGTATTCACAAAGGGATACCAGCTTGAATTTTTTAAAATGGGAAGAAGATAATATCAGAACACAGGAAGGTCATATAAATTCAATAATTTAGTTTTATGACAGCACATGGTCTTTATTGAACTCATTTTGTCATAAACTGGTAAAAACTGTTAAGGACGTGTGCACATCCATCAGTGTTTATTCATACAATCAAAGACACATGTGGGCTTCTGGTTTGTATACCCAGAAACTGTAATACAGCATTTTGCCTGGAGATGATCAGACTGGATTTCAGGGCTGAGTTCTCACTAAGCCAGCTCATACGCAGGCATTCGTTTATCACTGGAGCATGTATATTTCCAGTGAGTCAAGACTCATATCCATTCTGTGATTTCTAGGAATGATCCCAAACAGAGAATCAGAGTGAATAAAAGCCAAATGGAGTTGGAGGGGTTTAAGGAAAATTTCATTCAAGCTATTAAAAAAAAAAAGTCTTGAATTTTTCCTAGTCCACAAAAGAACATATGCCTTGTATCTTGAATACTTAGGCTCATCTGATACGGTGTTTGTGTTTTGACAGTGCCAGATTCATACCGTTTCTGAGTTGTACTTTCCTTACTGTGTAGCTCCCCATTTACTGACTAGAATATATTCTCATGAGCCAGATAAAAAGAGACAACTAATAACTTTATTTAATTTTTGTTTGGATCTTAATTCTTTTTTTTTTTTTTGAGACAGGTCTCACTCTGTCCCCAAGGCTGGTGTACAGTGGCACAATCTCGGCTCATTGCAACCTTTGCCTCCTGGGTTCAAGCGATTCCACAGCCTCAGCCTCCCAAGTAGCAGAGATCACAGGCACATGCTATCACGCCCAGCTAATTTTTGTATTTTTTGTAGAGATGGGGTTTCGCTCGCCATGTTGGCCAGGCTGGTCTAGAACCCCTGAGCTCAAAGTGACCCATTCTTCTCAGCCTCCCAAAGAACAGGCATAAGCTGCTGCACCTGGCCTTCTTAATTCATTTTTAAGTGATAATGATTTTAATAATGGAATGTCTTTCAATATCCAAAATATATGTGTGTATACACACACACACACACACACACACACACACACACACACATATATGTAAAAGATTGGATGGTAAGATTTACCAGCCAAAATGGCCTATGGAAGAGAATGTGGGTAACAGAGGTAACAGTGGCCTATTTATTTATTTATTTATTTACTTATTTATTTACTTTTGAGGCAGAGTCTTACTTTGTCACCCAGGCAGTAGTGCAGTGGTGCGATCTCAGCTCACTGTGACTTCTGCCTCCTGGGTTCAAGTGATTCTCCTGCCTCAGCCTCCCGAGTAGCTGGGACTACAGGTGCATGCCACCATGCCCAGCTAATTTTTTGTAGTTTTAGTAGAGACAGGGTTTCACCATGTTGGCCAGGCTGGTTACCAACTCTTGACCTCAGGTGATCCGCCTACCTCAGCCTCCCAAAGTGTTGGGATTACAGGCACGAGCCACCGTGCCCGGCCATATTTATTTTTTAATTTAAAAAATTTGTTTTTTAATATAAAGGAGGGGTCTTGAAATGTTTCCCAGGGTGGTTTCCACCTCCTGGGTTCAAGTGATCCTCCTGCCTCGGCCTCCAAAACTGTTGGGATTGCAGGCATGAGCAACCATTCCTGGTCTGTAGTTTTGTTTCTTTGTTTGTTTATATTTTTTTGTGACAGGGTCTCACTCTCTCACCCAGGCTGGAGTGCAGCAGCTGCTCACTGCAGCCAAAACCTACTGGGCTCATGTGATCCTCCCACCTCAGTCTCCTGAGTGCCACCAATTGTGTGCCACCAAGCCTAATTTTAAAATTTTTTTGAAGAGACCAGGTTTCACTATGTTGCTAAGGGTGATCTTGAACTTCTGGGCTCAAGCAATCTTCCTGCCTTAGCCTCCTCAAATGTTGGCCCATAGTTTTAAGTAGTAAATCCTTTTCTGTACTTCTGAAGTTTTTATCATCGTATGTAAAATTTAGTGATGTCACATCAATTTGCTTAAAGTATAGATTATTTTCATAATTCTAGGAAACCAGATATTAAACAATAAACTTATTCTAGGAGTTTAGTTATTTTATATGTATATATATATATGACAAAGCCCCATCTCTATATATTTATAAAACATAAAGGCCATGGGTGGGGAATGGATGGCAGGCACCATGTCTGGCAGCAAAGGTGGCAAGAAGAAGGCCCTGAAACAGCCCAAGAAGCAGGCCAAGGAGAAGGACGAGGAAGATAAGGCTTTCAAGCAGAAATAAAAAGAGGAGCAGAAGAAACTCGAGGAGCTAAACATGAAGGCCGTGGGGAAGTGGCCCCTGGCCACAGGTGGAATTAAGAAATTGGCCAAAAAGTGAGCTGTTGCTTGTGCCTGAGGAAATGGTAACCCTTTATTTCATCCATATTGAAACATCTGTATTAACTGCCATAACACCTTTTGCCACCTATAGCTGGAATTAAGTGTTGTCTTGGAGCTGTTGTACATTTAAGAATAAACTTTTGTAAAATAAATAAATAAATAAATGCCAGGCGCAGTGGCTCATGCCTGTATTCTCAGTACTTTGGGATGCGGAGGTGGTGGATCACTTGAGATCAGGAGTTCAACCAGCCTGGCCAACATGGTGAAACCCCATCTGTCCTAAAAAAAAAAAAATACAAAAATTAGCTGGGCGTGATGGTGGTCACCTGTACTTCCAGCTACTCAGGAGGCTGAGGTGGGAGAATTGCTTGAACCCAGGGGGCGGAGGTTGCAGTGAGCCGAGATGCCCACTGTGCTCCAGCCTCGGTGACTCCTTCTCAAAAAATAAAAAACACAAAAGTGGCCAGGCGCGGTGGCTCACGCCTGTAATCCCTGCACTTTGGGAGGCCGAGGCGGGCGGATCACGAGGTCAGGAGATCGAGACCATCCCGGCTAACATGGTGAAACCCTGTCTCTACTGAAAATACAAAAAAATTAGCCAGGCGTGGTGGTGGGCGCCTGTAGTCCCAGCTACTTGGGAGGCTGAGGCACGAGAATGGTGAGAACCTGGGAGGCAGAGCTTGCAGTGAGCCGAGATTGTGCCACTGCACTCCAGCCTGGGTGACAGTGAGACTCTGTCTCAAAAAACAAACAAAAAACAACAACAACAAAAATAAACCCCTACAAAAGTAAAAAATATGTTGGGCCGAGTGCAGTGGCTCATACCTGTAATCCCAGCACTTTGGGAGGCTGAGGCAGGTGGATCATGAGGTGAGGAGATCAAGGCCAACCTGGCCAACATGGTGAAACCCTGTCTCTACTAAAAATACAAAAATTAGCTGGGCATGGTGGTGCACGCCTGTAGTCCCAGCTACTCGGGAGGCTGAGGCAGGAGAATTGCTTGAACCCGGGAGACGGAGGTTGCAGTGAGCTGAGATCACACCACCACACTCCAGCCTGTGCAACAGAGCAAGACTCTGTCTCAAAAAAAAAGAAAAAAAAAGAAATGTTAACTGTTTAGAACAGCTTGGCATACTGTGTCTTGTTTGTTTTTACTTTTTTTTTTTTTTCTTTGAGACAAGGTCTCGCTTGGTCACCCAGGCTGGAGTGTACTGGTGTGATCATGGCTCACTACAGCCTTGACCTCCCGGATCAATTGATCTTTTACCTCAGCCCCCCAAATAGCTGGGACCACAGGTGTGCACCTCCAAACCTGCCTAATTTTTATATTTTTGGTAGAGATGAGATGTCGCCGTGTTACTCAGGCTGGTGTCAAACTCCTGAGCTCAAGCAAACCCAAAGTACTGGCACTACAGGCATGAGCTCCCTGCCTGTCTAGTAATTTTTGTTTGGTTGGGTTTTTTTTTTTTTTTTTTTTTTTTTGAGGCAGAGCCTCACCCTGTCGCCCAGGCTGGAGTGCAATGGTGCGATCTCGGCTCACTGCAACCTCTGTCTGCCAGGTTCAAACGATTCTCCTGCCTCAGCCTCCTGAGTAGCTGGGATTACAGGTGCCTGCCACCATGCCCAGCTAATTTCTGTATTTTTAGTACAGACAGGGTTTCAACATGTTGGCCAGGCTGGGCTTGAACTCCTGACGTTGTGATCCGCCCACCTTGGCCTCCCAAAGTGCTGAGGTGTGAGCCACTGCACCCAGCCCTGGCTAGTAATTTTTTAATAGTGATTATAATTACAAGCAAAGGTGTAATATATGTTTGTAAAAGTATTAAGTGAACTAGGCTGGGCATGGTGGTTCACGCCTGTAATCCCAGCACTTTGGGAGGCTGAGGTGGGCGTATCACGAGGTCAGGAGTTTGAGACCAGCCTGGCCAGCATGGTGAAACCCCGTCTCTACTAAAAATACACAAATTAGCCAGGCATTGTGGTGCGTGCCTGTAATCCCAGCTACTTAGGAGGCTAAAGTAGGAGGTGGAGGTTGCGGTGAGCCGAGATCGTGCCACTGCACTGCAGCCTAGTCGACAGAATGAGACTCCTTCTCAAAAATATATATACATTTATTAAGTGAACTTTCCAAAAAAGTGGACTTCAGCCAAGTGCAGTAGCACACTCATGTAGTCCTAGCTACTAAGAAGGCTAAAACCTTCACTTGATAGCCTTATTGAGAAATATAAGCCTATATTCAAAAGAGACTTTTCATTCCTTTTAAAAATGTCACTTCTGTTTTTATTAACTTGTGATGAGGCATATGTTGTTGTTGTTTTCTTTGTTTTATTTATTTATTTTTTGAGACAGAGTCTCACTCTCTCACTTTGTTGCCCAGGCTAAAGTGCAGTGGCACAATCTTGGCTCACTGCAAACTCTGGCTCCCAGGTTCAAGTGATTTTCCTGTCTCAGTCTCCCGACTAGCTGGGACGACAGGCGCACACCACCACGCCCGGCTAAGTTTTGTATTTTTGGTATAGATGAGATTTCACCATGTTGGCCAGGCTGGTCTTGAACTCCTGAGCTCAGGTGATCCACATGCCTCAGCCTCCCAAAGTGGTGGGATTACAGGTGTGAGCCACTATACCTGGCCTTGATGAAGCATATCTTAAATAAAAGGTGTGGAGTGTTTTTTTTGTCGTTGTTTTTTTTTAGAGACAGGGTCTCACTCTGTGGCCCAGGCTGGAATGCGGTGGCATGATAAAGCTCACTGCAGCCTCAAACTCCTGGGCTTAAGCAATCTTCCCACCTTAACCTCCTGAGCAGCTAGGTACAGGCACATGCCACTGTACCTGGCTCACTTTTAAATTTTGTAGAAACCAGGTCTTGCTCTATTTCCCAGGCTAGTTTCGAAATCATAGCCTCAAGCATTCCTCCTGCTTCGGCCTCCCAAACTACTGAGATTACAGGTGTGAACCACCATGCTCAGCCTTAAATAAGATTTTAAATCTTGAAAATAACAAAATTTCTCTCTTTCCTCTTTCATGTATAAAGTACATCATTTCTAGAATTAAGGATTTTGTTATAAAGACCAGAATATCATCAATATGAAAAATAATTTCCCAGTTGATAGTTCATTTGAATTGTAGAACTCAGTTGCAAAGATAAAGGTAGACAGGGCAGCTGGGTGCGGTGGCTCACGCCTGTAATCCCAGCCGTTTGGGAGGCCAAGGTGGGCGAATTACCTGAGTGGTGTTTGAGACCAGCCTGACCAACATGGAGAAACCCTGTGTCTACTAAAAATACAAAAAAATTAGCTGGGTGTATTGGGGCATGCCTGTAATTCCAGCTATTCAGGAGGCTGATGCAGGAGAATCACTTGAACCTGGGAGGTGGAGGTTGTAGTGAGCCGAGATCGCACCATTGGACTCCAGCCTGGGAAACAAGAGTGACTCTGTCTCAAAAAAAAAAAAAAAAAAGGGTAGATAGGGGTGAACACATATTTGAAACTGGATATGTTTAATGGTGATGTTGCAAGTTATGTATCTTCAGAATGATTTCTTTCAGATAAAAAACACATAAGATTTTACTAGGTTATAAAAATCTTAAATACCTGGGCTTTTTTTTCTTTGTATTTTTGAAAGAAGGAACATTTTTTACCTGATAATTTTTATTTATTTAATTTTAATTTTAATTTTTTTTTTTGACAGAGTTTCGCATTTGTTGCCCAGGCTGGAGTGCAATGGTTTGATGTCGGCTCACCACAACCTCCGCCTCCCGAATTCAAGCAGTTCTCCTGCCTCAGCCTCCCTAGTAGCTGGGATTACAGGCATGCGCCACCATGCCTGGCTAATTTTTGTATTTTTAGTAGAGACAGGGTTTCTTCCTGTTGGTCAGGCTTTTCCGGAACTCTTGACCTCAGGTGATCCACCTGCCTCGGCCTCCCAAAGTGCTGGGATTACAGGCATGAGCCACTGCACTGTGCCTTTATTTAAAAATTTTAACTGTTTCTCCTTGTGGTGTTAGCATCACCAGTGGAAGCAGCATGACCTTTAATGTCACACAGTCCTAGGTTTAAGCTCTGCTCCTTCCATTTACTCACTGTGACCTCAGGAAATTTAGTTGAACTCTCTGAGAATTATTTTCATAATTTGTAAAATGGGAACAATAACCCAAAGTTTGTTTGATAGATTACACAATTTATAATTGACTGAATTTATCCCACATATAGTGGATGTTCAATAAATGGTAGCTATAATTGTTATTGTTTTGGTTATGATTATAAATCCACCAGCCTGGAAAACATGGTGAAACCCCATCTCTACAAAAAAATACAAAGCTTAGCCAGGTGTGGTGGCGTGTGCCTGTAGTCCTAGCTACTCAGGAGGCTGAGGTGGGAGAATGGATTGAGTCCT
The DNA here is from genome assembly GCF_000001405.40 of Homo sapiens. Lineage (NCBI taxonomy): Eukaryota > Metazoa > Chordata > Mammalia > Primates > Hominidae > Homo > Homo sapiens. The sequence goes on from NC_000007.14 coordinate 63,847,905, forward strand.
GGAGTTCAAAGCTGCAGTGAGTCACGATTATACCACTGCACTGCAGCCTGCTTGACAGAGAAAAGATCCTGCCTCAAAAAATAGTAATAAAATTAAATGAAAAACTGACTGTATGTGGTGGCTCACACCTATAATCCCATTAGTTTGGGAGGCTAAGGTTGGAGAATCCGTTGATCCCTGGAGTTTGAGACCAGCATGGGCAACATGGTGAGATCCTGTGTCAAAACTAAAAAATAAAATAAAGTCCTTTATAGCCTGTTAATTTGGTTAGGTTTTTAGTTGCATTTATTATTCTATGTGTGTGTGTTTTTTGTTTTTTTTTGTTTATGAGACAGAGTCTGACTTTGTCACTCAGGCTGGAGTGCAGTGGCGTGATCTCGGCTCACTGCAGCCTCACTTCCCAGGCTCAAGTGATCCTCCCACCTCAGTCTCCCAAGTAGCTGGGACTACAGGTGCACACCACCATGCCCAGCTAATTTTTATATTTTTCACAGAGACAGGGTTTCTCCATGTTGCCCAGGCTGGTCCCAAACTCTTGAGCTCAACTGATCTGCCCACCTTAGACCAGAATTTAGGCATGACCCACCACTCCCGGCTGCTTTTATTACTTGTTACAGATCATTTAAGGGTAGAGTAATATTCACCTTTTTGTTCTCCATAGTGTCTAACAGAGTATTTTGTGTTTACAACTCAATACATTTATCTATTTAATGAATAATTGAATTCATACACATTATAGCTTAACTTTAGTTAAGTCAGAACTACAAAATTTGTGTGATGACATCTTGGTATAAAGGAAAAACTACTTTCTCAAATTATTGGGCCAGCCTTGATGTTCTCTGTAATTAATTGCTATGGCAAATCAAGATACATATTTAATACATTTATTTTAATTTGATTAATTTTTCTCTGATATTTTACACTTAAAAGAACCCAAACCTACAGAAAAGTTATCTTTCTTTTTGATGATGATTGCATAGACTACTTGTTCCATTTTTTAATAAAATGTTTTGATTTGAAGGTCAATTGATTTGGGTAACTGACACTAAATTTCAGTAAGTTTCAAGTAGGATGTCCAATCTATGTTTAACTGTTGGAGTCTTTGTTGGAGACTGTCCAAAGCTCCGAACTGGAGGAGATGAGCAGATTGGAAAAAATATTGTAGTTGGGTAAACTCAGAGGTTAAATTGATCTGCTGCATCCACCCCAGGTGGTATCAGGGAATGAAAGAAAAAAGAATGCCTTAATCATTGGCTCACTGCAAAAACAACATAGAAAAAAAAAAGTGGTATAATAGAGCAATGGGGAAGCATTCAAAAAACATTACTGGGTTGAAGTATTTTGGTGAACCTTATTTGAAGGTTATTTGCTGATTAAGATAAGCAAAAGCTATTTCAAAATGTTAATTTTTTCCCTCCACCCATGAAATCTGGTTTATGCTCTCACTTAAAGGATAGTGTAAAATAGCTGAACTGAAGATTCGAACATTTCACCAGAAATTTAAGCCACCTGTCCAGGGTTTATTTAAAGCCTCTGATATTTGATCACTTCACTAAAACAACTTAGGACCATGCTGACCATGCTGATTTAGTTGGGCCACATTTTCTAAGATGCTATACATGATCACAAATGATATCATTATACTACAATGTCTAACAGCTCATTTCTGCTCAATAGAATTTCTAGGGGGAAATACTGAAGATTAATTTATGTGGTATTCATGGTCAGAAATAAAAGATAGTATAAATACTGTGTTTTCCTTCAAAAGTGGAGAAAGGAAAAAATTTATTTCTGTCCTGACTTTTCGGAAAACTCAGTCAAATTCACTGCCCAAGAAATGTGATTTGCTGAATTCTGAAATGAAAAAGCATCCTGTCTTCTCACTTCTTTGTTTTTTGAGACAAGAACCTTGCTCTGTCACCCAGGGTGGAGTGCAGTGTCATGATCTCAGCTCACAGCAACGTAACCTTCAACTCCTAGGTTCAAGCGATTCTTGTGCCTCAGCCGCCTGAGTAGCTGGGACCACAGGTGTGCTCACTGCATTCTCCACCTCCCAGGTTCAAGCAATTCTCATGTCTGAGCCTCCCGAGTAGCTGGGATTACAGGCGCGTGCCACCACACCTGGCTAATTTTTGTATATTTTGTAGAGACAGGGTTTTGTCATGTTTCCCAGGCTGGTCTTGAACTCCTGAGCTCAAAAATCCACCCACCTTGGCCTCCTAAACTCTTGGGCTTACAGGCGTGAGCCATTGCACCCAACCATTCTCACTTTTTTCTTGTGTGTTTCATAAACGTGTCAAAGTGTAGTCAAAATTAATTTGTTACAAAGGAAAATGCAAATTAATCAGAATGATTTAAAAAAAAATCTGGACCCGGCCTGGTAGCTTGTGGTGTAATCTCAGCACTTTCGGAGATTGAGCTGGGAGGATCACTTGAGCTCAGGATTTCAAGGCTGTAATAAGCTGTGATTTTGCTACTTCACTCCAGCTTGGGTGACAGAGCTAGACCCTGTCTCTTAAAAAGCAAATAAATAATAAGTAAATGGAAATTCAATGAATTTATTTAAAAATAGTTATAGGGCTGGGCACAGTGGCTTATACCTGTAATCCCAGCACTTTGGGAGGCCGAGGTGGGTGGATCACCTGAGGTCAGGAGTCCGAGACCAGCCTGGCCAACATGGTGAAACCCCGTCTCTACTAAAAATACAAAAAATTAGCCGGGCATGGTGGCAGGCGCCTGTAATCCCAGCTACTCAGGAGGCTGTGGCAGGAGAATCACTTGAATCAAGGAGGCAGAGGTTGCAGTGAGCCGAGATCATGCCACTGCACTCCATCCTGGGTGCGACAGAGTGAGACTCCGTCTCAAAAATAAATAAATAAAAATAAAAATAGTTATAAATTGGCCAGCGCAGTGGCTCATGCCTGTAATCCCAGAACTTTGGGAGGCAAAGGTGGGCAGATCATGAGGTCAGGAGATTGAAACCATCCTGGCCAACATGGTGAAACCCCGCCTCTACTAAAAATACAAAAATTAGCCGGGCATGGTGGTGCATGCCCATAATCCCAGCTACTTGGGAGGCGAGGCATGAGAATCACTTGAACCCAGGAGGTGGAGGTTGCAGTGAACTGAGATCATGCCACTGCACTCCAGCCTGGTGACAGAGTGAGACTCCATCTCAAAAAAAAACAAGTTATAAATTGTGAAAGACAACACTGTTGAAAGAAATTAAGGGTATAAAGAAAAAGGAAATGTTCCCCTGTATACCTTTTCCTCCCTTCTTTCAATCTTAGTTTCATATATCAGAGGTGCATAGTCTTGATAGTTCTCTGGGTATGCTTCTAAGTATAGTCTATGTAAATGCAAGTATCTCTATAGTTACATACGTATAGTATGTACACATGTTTCCATCCCTTTCGTTTTTCTCTTTTTTTGAGCCAGAGTCTCACTCTGTCACCCAGGCTGGAGTGCAGTGGTACAAGCTCAGCTCACTGTACCCTTTGCCTCCTGGGCTCAAGTGATCCTCCCACCTCAGCCTCCCAAGTAGCTGGGAACACAGATGCTCGCCACCACGCCCGGCTAATTTTTTACAGTTTTTCTAGAGACAGGGGTTCTCACTTTTTTGCCCAGGCTGGCCTCAAACTCCTGAGTTCAAGTGATCTGCCCACCTTGGCCTCCCAAAATGCTGGGGTTACAGGTGTGAGCCACTGCACCCAACCATACTCATTCATTATGAATGGCAGAATTATTTTTAAAGTTTATTTTTATTGTAAATTGACAAACAATATTTGCCTATATTTATGGGGTACAAAACAACATTGCATTTTCATCAATACAATGTGGAAAATTAGTCTAATTTGCATATTTCTCACCTCAAATAACTTTTGTGGTGAGAGCACTTGAAATTTACTCTCTCAGCAAGTTTGCAGTGCACAATACACTATTATTAGCTATATTTACCACGCTGTGCAGGTGACATTATTATTATTATTATTTTTGGAGACCTGGTCTCACTCTGTCATGCAGGCTGGAGTGCAATGGCACCATGACGGCTCACTGAAACCTTGGTCTCCTGGGTTCAAGCAATTCTCCTGCCTCAGCCTCCCAAGTAGCTGGGATTACAGGCGCCCACTACCATGACTGGCTAATTTTTATATTTTTAGTAGAGATGGGGTTTCACCATGTTGGCCAGGCTGGTCTCAAACTCCTGACCTCAGGTGATCCGCCCACCTCAGCCTCCCAAAGTGCTGGGATTACAGGCATGAGCCACCACACTTGGCCACGTGGCATTAGTTTTTGAAGTGTATTTTACACATTGTGAAGTACTCAGATCACAATTATATTCAACAATGAGTTTTGATGACTGGCTCCCCCAGTCTCATTGAGATATGATTTGTTTACTATACAATTCACTCTTTTTTTTGTTTTGTTTTGGAGATGGAGTCTTGCTTTGTCACCCAGCCTGGAGTGCAGTGGCCCATGATCTCAGCTCACTGCAACCTCCACCTCCCGGGTTCAAGCGATTCTCTTGCCTCAGCCTCCCGAGTAGCTGGGATTACAGGCATGTGCCACTATGCCTGGCTAATTTTGTATTTTTAGTAGAGATGGGGTTTCTCCATGTTTGTCAGGCTGGTCTCGAACTCCCGACCTCGGGTGATCCGCCTGCCTCGGCCTCACAAAATGCTGGGATTACAGGCGTGAGCCAACATGCCCGGCCTCCCATGGGAATATTTTTCTTGAGGAAACTGTTAATGAATAAACTTTACCCACCAATGGATAGCAAAGGGAACTTCAGCAAAGGGACAAGCAGGAGCATTAAGTGTATATAATTGCAAAACTAAGACTAAACAACCCAGGTTTTGGGGAGAAAAACAGAATGTAAATATTATCTACTCTGACACTATAGAAATGATGCAATAGAAAAACTAGGAGGACAAAGATTACGGAAGAAGTGAAGTAGGGTGAGTTTTTGTGGGCTGTTTCATCTCTAATAACTGAGTTAAAATATATTATTTAAATCTTATTTTCCAAAGGGCCAATGAAGTTTTTACATTATCCTTGGCAAAAATCATGTCAACAAAAAGAGGAACAGACACTGGGAGCACATCTGGTAGCTGGGGTTTGAGAAGAGAGGAATTCAGTTGACTGTGAAGCAACTGATATTTAAAACTGATATTTAAGTTATACATACATTGATTTGAGGTCAGAGAAAACACCTCAAATCAATGTATGTATACATATATAACTTAAATATCAGTTTTAGTGAAGTGAACTTTTTCCTATAGAGCTCTTAATTTTTGTAAAATCAGGTTTCAGCCAGGTAAATAGCAAACATTCCTGTTTCTTGGCTTTTCCAGTCTAAAATTTACATCAAGAGGGAGTTCTGGAGATGGGGCATATTTGTTTACCGGAGGTCTAGGGTAATCACTATTTAAAGTAGTTTGTCTCTGAAATGTTTTAGTAAACACTTTCCTTTGTTTCTGAGTATATGTTTTCATTTAGCTTAGGAGAGAAGGCTAACCAAACAGAACAAAGAGTTGCTATTGCACTCTAAATATAAACCCAAATTTTAAATCAAAAGTATACCTGAATAAGTGACTGGAAACCAACAGAAATAAACACGCATGAGACCAAACCCAAAAAGTATTTTATGGCTTTAACCAGGGTCTCTAAAGAGAGCAGAAAGTTTTTGCTCATTCATAATCAAAACCTCTCCCAAGGACAGCTTACTACAAGTAGGGTGCAATCATGTCTGCAGGCCCTATATTCTAGAGTCTTTGCTTCTCTGCTGACCACAGAGGCCAGACAGAAGACTAAAAGAGACAGTAAAATAGGAAAACAAGGCTGGGCACAGTGGCTCACGCCTGTAATCCCAGCTCTTTGAGAGGCTGAGGCGGGCAGATCACAAGGTCAAGAGATTGAGACCATCCTGGCCAACATGGTGAAACCCTGTCTCTACTAAAAATACAAAAATTAGCTGGGTATAGTGGCATGTGCCCATAGTCCCAGCTACTCCTGCTGAGGCAGGAGAATTGCTTGAACCCAGGAGGGGGAAGTTGCAGTGAGCAGAGATCGCACGACTGCACTCCAGCCTGATGACAGTGAGAGAATCCGTCTCAAAAAAAAAAAAAAAGGAAAACAAACACTGTCCATGGGGTTAGAGAAGATCACAAATGAGTACTCCAAAGATGTGGTAAGTCTCCAAGGAATATATTATAAATTTTGCTGCAACGTCAGAGTGTTTGAGTTTAAGGGTTTTCTTGAGGGAGTGAAAGAAGAGCTGTCTTAAAAAATCAAATCTCTTATGACAATCCAGAAGTGGCTGGGTGCGATGATGCCTGTGATCCTAGCACTTTGGGAGGCCGAGGCGGGTGGATCACCTGAGGTCAGGAGTTCAAGACCAGTTTGGCCAACATGGCGAAACCCCTTCTCTACTAAAAATGCAAAAATGAGCCAGGTATGGTGGTGGGCACCTGTAACCCCAGCTACTCAGGAGGCTGAGGTAGGAGAATCGCTTGTACTCAGTAGACAGAGGCTGCAGTGAGCCGAGATCGCTCCACTGCACACTCCAGCCTGGGCAACTCAGCAAGACTGTCTAAAAAAAAAAAAAAAAAATCAAGCCAGAAAAAACAAAGTGGAAAGTGGCGCTTTCATTAAATTTTTTTTAAAACCTGGTTCCAATTATGCATGCAAATGCATTAGTAATTTAGAAATTTCAGAAGATCTCCATTTTGGCCATTGTATTTGGGGTTATCTGAAGCCATGTGGGCCCATTTAGCTAGACATTTGCAAAATGGAGTCCTGTAGGTATTATACATAACTCCAGCTACTGTTTCCAAGGGGAGCTGCCCCAGAAGGGAGGGCTCAGTTTTGATGAGCAGCTTCTCATAATTTAGGAACTTTTCAAAAGTGATCAGAGCCAGAACAGTGTACCAGGTCAAAATGTGCAGTTTATAAGCATCATTCCTCAAGCTGTCACCCAAGAGTTGTGAATCATGGGCCAACCCTTGAGTGCACCTTCCAGTTGAGCTAAAAGTCCCCACAGGTGAGAGGAGTGGGGACTTCTTGTGGGGAGGCCCTATGAGACTTGTATACCTTATTGAGAAATGGTATGCATCATTGAAAAGTGTCCCAGCACCTCTGCTAAATCTTTAGTTGCCTAGGGCACCCAAATGGGTCAGACGGAGCAATTGCCTCTTCTAGTTGGAGTGAGAGAGTTCACCCTCATGCACCTTTTGGTTTGAAACTAACAGGAATTGGTCACAAATGAGAAAACAAGTTCAAATTACAAGGACTAGGAAGCAGCTGCAATTTTAAAAGCATGTTATGTGATTTTAGTCCAAAAAAATGAAATTAGGCGAGGTGTGTTGGCTCACGCCTGTAATCCCAACACTCTGGGAGGCTGAGGTGGGTGGATCATCTAAGGCCAGGATTTCGAGACCAGCCTGGCCAACATGGCGAAACCCCATCTCTACTAAAAATACGAAAGTTAGCTGGGCATGGTGGCAGGTGCCTGTAATCCCAGCTACTCAGGAGGCTGAGGCAGGAGAATCGCCTGAACCTGGGAGATGGAGGTTGCGGTGAGCTGAGATCATGCCACTGCACTCCAGCCTGGGTGACAGAGTGAGACTCCATCTCAAAAAAAAAGTGAAACCAGCAGTGTTAGACTGGCAGTATCATACCCTAGACCTCCTATCATGAGGCAGAGAAAGAAGTTTTCTTTTCTTTCATTCTTTTTTATTTTTTTAAATTTTGAAACCCAAACTTCTGCCTGTGGCTGGAGATGGAAATGTGTTTTCTAGAAAGGGAGGGTTGAAAAGAACAGCTCAAGTAAAGTCTAGGTCTCACCAACCAATAAGGAGGTCTAAATTCAGGAGGACTCACCCCTTACACTCAACAGTACACTTGGAGCCAGAGGAATGAACACAAGATGTTCTGGTCAGCCAGGCACCGAGTCCCAGAGTGTTGGTTGGTTGTGGGGAGGAAAGAGAGTCTTGAATCCTGCAGTCCTGCTCACCGCACCAGAAAAGTTGACGTAACAAAAAAAGCTAAGGTAAAAAATGTAATTTTTTAAATTTTTGAGATGGAGTTTTCCTCTTGTTGCCCAGGCTGGAGTGCAGTGGCATGATCTCAGCTTACTGCATGCAACCTCTGCCTCCAGGGTTCGAGAGTTTCTCCTGCCTCAGCCTCCTGAGTACCTGGGATTACAGGTGCTCACCACCATGCCCAGCTAATTTTTGTATTTTTAGTAAAGATGGGGTTTCATCATGTTGGCCAGGCTGGTCTTGAACTCCTGGCCTCAGGTGATCTGCCCGCCTAGGCCTCCCAAAGTGCTGGGGTTACAGGCGTGAGCCACCGGTCCCAGCCACAAAATATAATTTTAAAGAATTTGCTTCAGGCCAAGGTGAGGATGACTACTTGGGGGACTCAGACTCAAATAACCTCAAATAGGAACCACATTTGGCCTTTGTTACAAGGTTTATAAAGATAAAAGAATAGGAAGTGGGCTGATACAGTGTTGTCAGGAATTTGCACTGGTTTACATATGTATTGGTACACAAAAGGCTTGGCCCATGATTCACAGCTCTAGGGTGACTCCTTGCGGAATGATGCTCATGAACTGCACAAAAAAAAACACTGATAGTGATTGAATATACATTGTTGAACTATAGGGTAGGGGTTTTGTTGTCCAGCATGTGGAATTTTAGGTTAATTTATAGCCACTTGTTGCATCAGTCAGCCCAGATTCCACAGAGCAAGCAGCTTCACAAAGTGATTACATAGCTCAAGGGAGGAAGTGAGACATAACTGTTGCCTAATTTCTGTGCCTGCATGGGCCTAATCATTTAGAAGTAGTTCACATTCATCAGATTAAAAAATTTCTGCCTGGTGCAGTGGCTCATGCCTGTAATCCCAGCACTTTGGAAGGCCGAGGCGGGTGGATCACCTGAGGTCAGGAGTTCAAGACCAGCCTGGCCAATATGGTGAAACCCCATCTCTACTAAAAATACAAAAAAATTAGCTGGGCATGGTGGCAGTTGCCTGTAATCCCAGCTACTCAGGAGGCTGAGGCAGGAGAATTGCTTGAACCTGGAAGGCAGAGGTTGCACTCCAGCCTGGGCAACAAGAATGAAACTCTGCCTCAAAAAAAAAAAAAAATTCTATTCTTTCTCATTGTTAACTGATTTTTTTGTCCCCAGTACAGAAGTGCGGGTGTAGGGGGAGAACACTGTCCTGGAATGCCCACCTGGGCATAAATACTCCAACTATGAGCTGCCAGGCTCAGTGGAGGAGGCAGATGACAACAGGGGTCAGCATGGGTGGCGACTCATTCAGGAAATAGCTATTTTGGAGCTGGTTTCTGCTTGCAAAGAAGGTTATGCCTGGGCACAACGTGGATGCTTGCGCAGCCTTCCCTCCACACACACCAGTATCATGAAGCACACCTCGGTTTCTGGTTGCTTTATGCTCTGAGAGGAAAACTCTTCTTGAGGTTTGTCTTCAGTCGAAGAGTAGGATAATGTTGCCTAGAACCTCAGGAACTGAGATTGCAGATTGGGTTAAGAGTGAGCCCTTTTATTAAGGATGGCATGCGTGGAAAAGTCATGGAGCCATTTCAGAAGGATACAAAAATGTGTCCCTCATGGTTATTTGGGGAAGTGAGACTACAGTGGGGAAGATTTTCATTTGTTTGCCTTTTTAAAAATAGTTATTTTATTTTACCACAGAATGCACTATTGGCTGGGCATGGTGACTCACACCTGTAATCCCAGCACTTTGGGAGGCCGAGGTGGGCAGATCATCTGAGGTCAAAAGTTCAAGACCAGCCTGGCCAACACGGTGGAACCCCATCTCTACTAAAAGTACAAAAATTAGCCGGGTGTGGTGGTGCACACCTGAAATCCAGCTACTCGGGGGGCTGAGGCAGGAGAATCGCTTGAACCCAGGAGGTGGAGGTTGTAGTGAGCCGAGGGTTGAGTGTCTCCAGTGAATATCAGGGGAGTCAAGGACATATGTGTGCCTGTGAATCACCCAGCATGGGTCACGCAGGTCCTGGGCTGGAAGGAGACTTCAGGTGTCTTGAAGAATTGAGGCTCTGTTCTGCACACAGGCTGTCACATTGTAAATTGTCCTGTGAATCTCATGTCTGTCCCAGGGTCAGTGGCAAGTGGAGACACAGAGGGAATGGGTTCTGAGGGCACATCCCTCCCCCATTCAGATGTCACCATATAATTCTGCCCACTTGTACACATGCACATATAGGTAATGATGTGGCCATGTAACCAGACCCAGGTTCAGCTGCTCACCACTTGAAAGCCAGAACACAAGAGGTGAGGGTTGACAGGAGGAAAAGGGGGTTTAATTGGAGAGCCAGACAACCAAGAAGATGGTGAGCTAGTGTTATAAATTACCATCGTACATTTTAAAATTCACTATAGGAGTTTTAAAGGGAAGCTTGATGTGAGAGGCATGTGGGCGTGGTGCAGGGTGCAGTGTGCATGTCTGTGGATCTTCTTCCGGTGACTCTTCTGGGGATTTGCCCTTCTGGAAGTCTGGTTGTTGATTACCTGACTTTGGGCTGATGATGGTGAACTAATTGTGCCCAACACCCCCTCAAGTGGGAAAATTCCACAGGGGCTCCCTGCCTGGTTTTTTCAAGATTTGTCTCTGGATTTTTTTTTTCTTTTTTTTAGACAGGATCTCATTCTGTTGCCCAGGCTGGAATGCAGTGGTGCAATCATGGCTTGCTGAAGCCTCGACCTCCTGGTCTGAAGCAATCCTCCTGCCTCAGCCTCCTGAGTAGCTGGGATCACAAGTATGTGCCACCATGCCCGGCTAATTTTTTAATTTTTTTGTAGAGATGAAGTCTCCCTATGTTGCCCAGGCTGGTCTTGAACTCCTGGGCTCATGCAGTCCTCCTGCTTTGGCCTCCCAAAGTGCTGGGATTACAGGTGTGAGCCACTGCACCCAGCTTGGAATTTTTTAAGTGCATAATTGGATAAGCAGGCATTGCCAGAGGGGAGTATCTAGAGAGGTTAGGTATAAAGTGGTCAGAGGGGAGAGAAGGAAGAAAAAAAAGAGGTTGATTTAAATAACTGAGGTCCCTGGTTACAAACTCCCCACTGTCAAGTTTCATTCTGTCTCTGTGGAAAACATGCAACTGATTCATTCTGGCTACTTCCTATTGAAAAGGGGCATAGTCAGGGGGCCACGGAATGAACCTATCCACCCAGAGTTGAAAGTGTTCGAGAGTCCCTGGACTTAGAGAAGAGATCCGCTGGAGCATCATGGGGAGTGTGTAACAGCAATGCAGTCCACAGCAGAAGAATAATCCTATCCCTGTAATCATGAGCAACTTTTCCCACCAGGAGGGGCCAGATACAAATCATGAGGCAAGCCATTGATTTAGACATTGTGGGATCAGACATAGCATTAGTTTGCTTTGCATGTCTTGTAGGGCTGAGGATATTTCCAGAGTTATCCTGGAAGTACCCACATCATTCAATCTTTTTTGAGAAACAGAGTTTCATTCTGTGGCCCAGGCTGGAGTGTAGTGGTGTGATCTCAGCTCACTGTAATCTCAGCCTCCTGGGTTCAAGTAACTCTCATGCCTCAGCCTCCCGAGTAGCTGGGATTACAGGTGTGCACCACCATGCCTGGCTAAGTTTTTTTAATTTTTTTAATTTTTAGTAGAGATGGGGTTTCTCCATGTTGGCCAGGCTGGTCTCGAATTCCTGGTTTCATGTGAGCTGCCTGCCTCAGCCTCCCAAAGTGCTGGGATTACATGTGTGAACCAACGTGCCCAGCCAGCATTCAATCTTAACTATTACATTGATTAATAATTAAGTTCTGCACTGTCAGTTGTACCTGCAGCTTCTATGATGATCTGACATCAGAATGGTTAACGTGTTTAACAGGTTACAGGAGGAGCTGTGAATATTCATGAAGGCGGTCCTGACACATGTGTATTGAACAAATAAATATGCATGTAATATATGACCCACGTTCATTTTGGGATGGAGACAACATTTAAATGTACAGTTAGACCCTGTCTGTCAAAAGGTCTTTTCAGGACACGAAGGCATGAAGATGTGTAATTTCTTTTTTCTTTTTCTTTTTTTTTTTGAGATGGAGCCTCGCTCTGTTTCCCAGGCTGGAGTGCAGTGGCAAGATCTTGGCTTACTGCAACCTCCACCCTCCAGGTTCAAGCGATTATCATGCCTCAGCCTCCCAAGTAGCTGGGATTACAGGTGCATGCCACCACACCCAGCTAATTTTTTTGTATTTTTAGTAGAGACACGATTTTGCCATGTTGGCCAGGCTGATCTCGAACCCCTGACCTCAGGTGATCTGCCTGCCTTGGTCTCCCAAAGTGCTGGGATTACCTGCATGAACCAACACACCCGGCACATAAATTGTTTTAATATTACTTATCTTGAGGCCAGTACTTCTTTGGCTGCTAACAGAAAACAAAAATCCTGTGGCAGTTAGAATCTAGTTAACTTTTTAAGTGTAGAAGTGTGTGACTTAACCCTTGCCAGGCATGGTGTTAGGTCTTGTTTATAATTTGGTATCTTATTGTTTCAAAGAGCCTATATTGCCAGTCTTATGATATCAATTTTAATGTTAATGCTGGTCAGTTGTTCCTAAACTCCAAAGTGGGGAGGGTATGAAGAGGCACATCCAACCCTCCTTCCCTTCATGGCTTGGACTAGTTTTTCAGGTTTCTTTGGGATCCCCTTGGCCAATTTTAAGTACATATAAATTTTTTTACATAAATTTTCTTATCACAGCTTACAGAGACCATCTATAGCATGCTAAATAAATTTTAAATAACCTCCAAGTTATATAAAATTATCTCTTCTTAGAAAGAACACAACTTACAGAATTATATACTAACTAGAATTCTTATTCTTAGAAACTTTAAATTTTAGTGAAAACCTAAGAAACAAGAAACCCAGAGCTGTCTATCAGATGTTAGTATTTTATAGATTAAACCATTCCACGAATTTTAGAAACATGTTTCCCTATATTGTAAACTTTTTCATAATTGGAAATGACCCAGACATCCAACTAGCATCTGTTATTTAATTCAAAATAGTTTTAAGATATTATTTTTATTTTATCGTATGTATGTATGTATGTATTATGTATGTATGTATGTATGTATGTGTGTACTTAGAGACAGGGTCTCACTCTGTCACCCAGGCTGGAGTGCAGTGGTGCAATCTCGGCTTATGCAGCCTTGATCTCCTGGGCTCAAGCGATGTGCACATCTTAGCCTCCTAAGTAACTGGAACTGTAGGCGTGTGCCACCATGCTTGGCTAATTTTAATATTTACTTTAATTAATTAATGTATTTATTTTTGAGACAGGATCTCGCTCTGTCACCCAGGCTGGAGAACAGTGGTGCAACCTCGGCTCACTGCGACCTCCTCCCCGCGGGCTCAAGCGATCTTCCCACGTCAGCCTCCCGAGTAGCTGGGACCATAAGCATGCACCACCATGCCCGGCTATATTTTTGTATTTTTAGTAGAGACAGAGTTTTACCACGTTGGGTAGGGTAGGCTGGACTTGAAATGTGGTCTGAGAAGCTCTGCTCCAATGGAAGTAGTTTTTGAGAAGCCTGCGTTTGTTTCTTTTGATTTTGCATGGGAACATCTATTTCACGCTCTTGAATTCTCTAAGTAATCTACTTCCCCTTCAGTAATATTCTTTGAGTTTACAGTGACAATCAGTCTTCCCCATGGCCTATAAGAGACGGTGTGATCTCACTGCTTTTGAGGACAGAAATATCTGCTTATTACTGAGAAATTTTATGTTAAACCATTTTTTCACTTCTCTGTTTGCACCATGTCTGAAACGTGTGAGAGTAGTGCTGAATTGGGATGGGTTCTTCAATTCCAGAAACACTACAGACAGATGTTGTGTGTTTTCTGCTTTATGATTTCCTATCCAGTGGAGGTTTCAAATGTGATTTTGCAGAAATTTATACTTAGTAATTTTTATTAGAACACAAAACATCTCCCTAAATATTTGAAAGTCTAATGCTATTTTACTTCAAAATAATATTATAAGTGTTTGTAGTATAAACTGAGATTGGTAATTTAAACTCTGTATGCCCAAATTCTTCAACTGCAATACAATTTAATGTACCTTCTTCATACATTTCTCAAATATACTCTGTTACTGGGGAGCTTAAAACATTGCTGAGCATATATTAAACTCCCACTTGTTACTTTCTTTTTAAATAACTGTATTTTATAATTTTCTCCTGTTTGGTATCAAGTTTACCAGGACCTTCATATACATACATACATACATACATACATACACACACACACACATATATGCATTTACATGTGTATATGTGTATCTATGTGTGTAATGTGGATTTTTTTCACAAATAATTGGGTAATTGTATTCATTGTGTACAGTGTAATGATTTTATATGTGCATAGATTGTGAAGTGACTAACATAATCAAGTTAATGAGGACACACACGTATCACCTCACATGGTTACCTTTTTTTGTAGTGAGAACACTTAAGGTCTACTGTCTTAGCAAATTTAAAGTATACATAACATTATTAACTATAGTCATGAAGCTATACATTAGATCTCCAAAACTTATTTATGTTATCGCTGAAAATTTGTACCCTTTGAATATCTTCCATCTTCTCCACTTCTGAGCCCTGGTAACTGCTTTCATACTCTGCTTCTGTGAGTTCAACCTTTTTATATTCTTCATAGAAGTGAGATCATACAGTATTTGTCTTTCTGTTTTTGGCTATTTCACTTAGCATAATATCCTCTAGGTCCAACCATCTTGTTGAAATGGCAGGATGTCACTTTTTATGGCTGTATAATACTCTACTATGTATATATACCATATTCTCTTCATCCATTCAGCATCCACAAACATTTAGATTGTTTTCACATCTTTGCAATTGTGAATGATGCTGCAATGAACATGATGTTGCTGATATTTCTTTGAGATGCTGATTTTATTTTCTTTAGTTGTATATGCAGAAGTGGGATTGCTGGATTGTTTAGTAGTACTATTAAAAATAATTTTTTAAAATAAAAACTCTTTTATATTGGTTTTCATAATGACCCTACCAAGTTACAACTTGGTACAGTTGTACAGAATTTCTTTTTCTTCACATTCTTGTGAACACTTGTTATCTCTCTTCTTTTTGATATTAGCCATCCTAACAAATGGAAAGTGATGTCTCAACATGGTTTTAATTTGCAAATGCATGATGATTGGTGATGTTGAGCACCTTTGCATTACCTGTTATCCATCTGTATGTCTTTACTGGAAAAATGTCTATTCAGTCTTTGGCTTATTTTTTAATCAGATTATTATTACCATTATTATTATTGTTTTTGCCTTTGATTTGTATGAGTTCCTTACCTATTTTTGACATTAACCATCTATCAGATATATGGTTTGCAGATTTTCTTATTTTATTGTTTTCTTGGCTGTGAAGAAGCTTTTTAGTTTGATGCAGTCCAACTTGTTTATATTTGCTTCTGTTTGCTGTGGTATTCAGAAATTCATTGGCAAGACCAGTATCAAGATGTTTTTTAAATGTGTTTTCTTTTAAGATTCTTGAGTATTTATGTCTTACATGTAGGTCTTTATTTTCAGTTAATCATCAGGTATGATGTAAGATTAATGGTCTAATTTTGTTGTTTTGCTTGTAGGTATTCAGTTTTCCCAGCACCAAGTATGGAAGGGACTATACTTTTTTCATTGTGTATTCTGAGTGCCCCTGTCAAAGATTAGTTGGCCTTATATGCATGGAGTTGTTTCTGGGTTCTCCAATTTTTTTGTCCATTCTTGTGCATATATCATATGGTTTTTATTACAATAGTCTTCAAATGTAGATTGAAACCAGAAAGTATAATGCTCTTAGCTTTGTTCTTATTCCTCAAGATTGCTTTGGTTATTCAAAGTATTTTGTAGTTCCATATAAATTTTAGGATTGTATTTTCTTTTCTTTTCTTTTTCCTTTTTTTTTTGAGATGGAGTCTCGCTCTGTCACCCAAGCTGGAGGGCAGTGGTGTGATCTCGGCTCACTGCAACCTCCGCCTCCCCGGTTGAAGCAGTTCTCCTGCCTCAGCATCCTGAGTAGCTGGGATTACAGGTATGTGCCACCATGCCTGGATAATTTTTTTGTATTTTTACTAGAGACAGGATTTCACCATATGGCCAGGCTGGTCTCAAACTCCTGACCTTGTGATCTGCCTGCCTCAGCCTCCCAAAGTGCTGGGATTACAAGTGTGAGCCACTGCACCTGGCCAGGGTTGTATTTTCTATTACTGTGAAAAATGACATTGTAATTTTGATAGGGAGTTCATTGAATCTATACTTTAAGTAATAAGGCACTTTAATAGTATTTATTCTTCCAATAAATGAACATGAAATATTTTTGCATTTGTGTCTTCTTCAGTTTCTTTCATCAATATCTAATATATTCCAGTGTAAAAATCTTTCACCTTGGCACATGAGGTTTGTACCAAGACATTTCTTTCTCTGCCTGCACAGTACCCACCACCCATTGATTCACCTTATCCAAAGCAGTTTCCTTTGAACTGGCCAGTTCTATATTCATTAGATTATTGCCTCCTTCCTAAACTTTCCCGTTTACCAAGAGCACTGGGAAACTAATCCTTTTAGATAGTAGCTGTTTGTTGCTCAAAACGTCACATTTAAATTTAGTTTAAAAATGCTTTAACTTTTGTGTCAAAAAGGAGGAGATGAGCAGGATTCATACATAGTCCCATTGTATAGAAAACATCAGTTTGATTCAGGCATTTGTCACATTTCAGGTTTGACTTGTTCTTTTCAGAAGGCTAAAGGCAGGAATGGGGGGCTGGGCCACTCCCTTGGAGCTCTCAGATCTATAGACAAGCTGTGTGAACACAGATGTAATCTTGTGACAAATACTAATATAGTGGGGATGTGGTTTATGTGACCATCAGGTTCCTCCAAAAAGTTTTTCTTCCTCTCTTCAGAGCCAAAATAAAAGCAAACTATGCTGTTTAGATGCTGTCAGTTTGACCTAGCTGGTTTTGCTTATGGTCAAGTTGCAATCTGTTGAGAGAATAGGGATCAAGTTTTAAATCCTCCTCTCTCCCTGTTTCTGGAATCTTGATGGCCAGAGTTTTCTTTCTTATCCCGCTTGCTACCCTTTTGTGGTATTGAAAAATAATTTAAACCCAAGACTATCTTAAACCCTTCCTTGACCTTCTTGTTGTCTGTTAATTTTTGTGCCAAGGAAATAGCTGTCCCGATGTCTATGTCTTGCCTTCTTTGACTCATTGTTAGCACAGCAGAGAGATGCATTGAGCAGTCACAGCTGCTTTTCATTCATCACTTCTCTCTTCTCCCCAAGACCTGACAGAAGCCAGGGAAGAGTCCTTGGGTTACATCTGAACTTAGCACCTGTGATCGTTGGGGTATGGAGGGATGTGCACATGAGAGGGAGGGAGGGAGGGAAGGAGAGAGAGAGAGAGAAAGAATGCAAGAGCGTGAGTGCATGCATAGGTGCTAAGGAGTTGCAGTTGCCTCATGTTCTGACTTACGGCAATTTGACTCTGCACTTGGGGGTCTGTCTGTAGAGTTACTTATGTCATTGTAATGATTTCACTCGTAACTGTAACATTTTAGTCAAATGTGTGAATAAATACATAAAGATTGGTACCAAAAAAATCATTTGCCTTGGTTAAAGTTACTGTTAAAAGTTTAAGATTTTGATGCTATTGTAACTGAGTTTTTTCTTTTTATCTAATAGTTTTCTATTTGTGTATGAAAACACAGCTGATATTTGTAGTTAATTTTATATTCTGCGAATTTACTGAGTGTGCTTATTATCTGAAACACTATTTTGATGTATTGTTTATGGTTTTCTAATACAAGATCATGTCATCTACAAACAGCAACATTTTTACTTCTTTTCAATGTAGATGGCTTTAAGAAAGTGTTCTAGCCTAATTGTTCTGCCTGAGATTTCCAGTACTGTGTAAAAATAGAACCATTAAAAATGGACAAAATGCAGCCTTATATGGGTATCTGTGAATCTGAAGGAGCAAACACTTCTTCTAATTGTTATAAACTGGTGTCAGCAGGTAAAGATCTTCTCTTGTGGGGTCCCGAGGCTGATGGGACCCCTTTTGGGCTTGCAGTGGAGATGGGTGGTAAGTGGGTCATAATCATAAGGCTGCTGTTTGGGTCTGGCTTTAGTAAGTTTGGTACCAGTAGCCTGGGTGGTTGTTAATCTTGTCTTACTCCTGGGCAGACTGGATTGCCTTCAGGACTTTGATCTCTAGGGCTGGCACTAGGGCAGGGTTCTACAGTTGAGTCTCCCTGTGGTGGGCCTAATACTAGGTTTGTGGATGAGTATGGCTCCCACTTAGTACCTGGCAGGATTTCCCCAGGTCACTGTATGGGTCCTTAGGTGGACAGAACTGGCCATGGACTGTGGCTACGAGGGCTGAAACTGAGTACAGCTGAAGTGCCCGCCTCTCTGGGCATGAATGGGCATCTCTCCCCAGGTCTCTGAATGGGCAGGACCACTTCTGGACCATGGCTGGGAGGATTTGGAGACGGGTAGAGTCACTTTTGAATTGTAAGTGGGGTCAAGTTGAGTGGACCATTTACTGGTGTGTAGCCAAAGCCAGAGGTCCTCAACTTTGCCACCTAAATGAGGATCAGCCTTCTCAAAATGACTCCCGTTGGTCTTAGGCTTGAGCAGGGTTTCACCACCTTCTTTCTGAATCTCAAAATTAGTATACAGCCTATTTTTTTGAGACATGGTCTCACTATAATTACCCAGGCTGGTCTCAAACTCCTGGCATGAATTGATCCTTGTGCCTCAGCCTACCAAGTAGCTGGGATTACAGGTGTGAGCCAGAATGTCTGTCAAGATAATGGACTCCCTGTATCACTTCTTGTAGGTGTGTTCTAGAGGCGGCAGACACCTTCAACTTTTGTTTATTTTAGAAAGTCTTTATTTTTTCTTTATTTTTGAAGTAAATTTTCCCCAGGTCAAGTCCTCTTGTTTGATAGTATTTTATTTTTAATCACTTGGAGATTTTGGAAGTCCTTAGTCCCTTTTTTCTTTAAATAACCCCTCTACCATGTTTCCTCCAGTAAGTCCCACATTCTATCTTCATGTTTCTCCATTTTTAAAAAGTTTATTTCCATGACTTAATATTTATAAATGATACATCTTTCTGATTCTTTTTTCTGCTTTATTAAGTCTGCTGTTTTGACTCTAGTAAATTTTTCAACTATTATTTTATTCTTCAGCTCCACAATTTCAATTGGGTTGTTTTTCATAGTTTTTAGCTCTTTGCTGTTATCTCATTTCTTTTGCATCTTTATTTTGTCTATGTTCTAATTTTGCTTATTCAGCATATTTAATATAATTATTTTCAAGTCACTGTCAGATAGTGCAAAGTTTTGTTCCTTCAAGAGGGACATGTTTCCTGCCTTCTCTTTATGTCCTGAGCTCCTTTGATGAGATTTGGAAATTTATAAGCAGCCATCTAATGTAGTATTTAAAGACAGGCCTACCACAGGGGTGTACTGACAGCAGTCAATCAGGCTATAGATTCTGGAGGCTTCACAAACATGTTCCCAGTTGTGTCTTCTCTGGACTTATGTTTGTATTTTCTAAGTTAAAGACAATTTTCCTCATTTCATTTCCAGATTCTGTAGTCTTTTGCTTCCCTGGTTGACTAGTGTTACCACCAGTTTCTCTAGTGTTATAATAAGTACCCGCTTTTCTTCTCAACAGCTACAAACTGTTATCCTATTACCCCATCATTTCCTTTAACAATCCTTGTTAGGGGGGACAGAATGTAGTCACCAGACAGTTCTTTAAAATGCCAAAGCTTTGAATGTGTGTTTCACTCTTCTAGGTCACTCCTGAGGGAGACACTGAGAATTGTTTGTTTTTTCCTGAACCTAATTGCTATTCTGGGAAAGAAGAAGGGACGTGGTGAACAGTCTGTAAGCATGCAGCAAAGGACGTATCCCTGGAATATAAAAGGGAGAAGACAATAGCTATACATCCAGATTGATGGGAATGTATGAGCAGAGGAGATAATACATATGAGAGGCCCAAAGGTCAAAGAGGAAACCAGAGTTCAAAATGTGGTTTTGCAAGCTCTGCTTCAACGGAATTGTTTTTTTGACAAGCCTATATTTATTTTTTTTACCATCACAGAGGGCAATTTCCTGCACTATGGTTATTATGCTTTTAAATTCTCTAAGAATTCTCCTGTCCATCAGTGATCTACCAGTGCATTCACAGTGAGAGCTGAACTCTTCCCTTTATGCTGTGGGGGACCTGTGTGATCTGACTGCTCTTCCATTGCTTTGAGGGATCTGGATAAATTTGTGCACATGTTTGGAGACTTCTATGTTAGGCTATTTTTAAAGATCTGTTTGTGCCTTATGTCAGACGTCTGTGATGGGAGTAGTGGAGACATTGGGATTTTGTTCAGAAATTCCAGACATACCAGGTACAGATGTCATATGTTTTCTGCTTTATAATTTCCAGTCCCATGGAGGTTTCATACATGACCCTACAGAAAATGAGACTGAGAAATTCCATCAGAGCACAAAGCATCTCATTAAATATGAAAAATATCTGTTTAAGATTTTCTTTTTATTAGTAGGAGCTAAGTTTAGAAATCTAAACTCTATGTCAAATTCCTCTACTGTAGAATAGTTGATTGTATCTACTCACCTCATAAAAATTTTAAAAACACTAATACCGTAGGGAAACTTAGAGCATTGCCTAGCATGTAGCAAATTTTAAATTGTTACCTACTTCTTAATAACTATCATCTTAGAATCCTCCAGTATAGAAATTACCAGGACTGTATCCCATGTGTTTTCACTTTCTGATTGATCACATGTCAAATTTGCCTGTAATTTTAGTTTCAAAGTTCTGAAATAACATGCTTGATTTTATTATATAAAAAGAAAATTAGATAATTAGTGGGCACTCCACTTTTATTAAAATGTTTGGTTTCTATGTTTAAGATTACTCTTTGTAAAAAGTTATCATTAGCTAGGCTTACGCCTCCTTGGTTCAAGTGTTTCTCCTGTCTCAGCCTCCTGAGTAGCTGGGACTTCAGGCACCCACCATCATGCCCAGCTAATTTTTGTATTTTTGTAGAGACAGGATTTCACCATGTCGGCCAGGCTGGTCTCAAACTCCTGAACTCAGGTGATCTGACTACCTAAGCCTCCCAAAGTGTTGGGATTACTGGCGTTAGCTTCACTAATGAGAATGCGGTGGCTTATGCCTATAAGCTACTTGGGAGGCTGAGGCAGGAGAATCGCTTGAGCCCAGGAGGCAGAGGCTGCAGTGAGCTGAGCTTGTGCTACTGCACGCCAGCCTGGGTGAGAGAGCAAGATTCTGTCTCAAAAAAAACAAAAAGTTATCATTAGCATTTTCTTTGATTTTTCTTAACATTTATCTTAATGATAGGATAATTTGTCCCTAATTGTTCACTTTATACATCAGTATTTACCATTATATTTAGCATTTATAAATATATTTTAAGCATTATATTTAGAAATTTAATGTTTTTCTTTGCTTCTAAATGCCAGATTATAGCTTTTACATTTTGTATATGAAGAGCAGCAATATACTAATAACATAATACAGAAGTTTCTCAGAAGCGTTTCTCATAATACAGCAATATATTAATAACAATACAATATATTAATAGCACAGAAGGAATAAGAAAATGCTTATTTCTTATAATTTTCTCATCAAAGCTTTTAATAATTATGCATTTTCTGTAAAATTTATTGCTCTCACTTTATACTCATGATTAAAAATTTATGCTGTTCAATAGCAAAGATACAGAATCAACCTAGGTGCCCATAAATGGTGGATTGCATAAGGAAAATGTGGTCCATGTGTACCATGGAATACTATGCAGCCATAAAAAAAGAATGAAATTGACCAGGCACAGTGACTCACACCTGTAATCCCAGCACTTTGGGAGGCTGAGGCAGTTGGATTGCTTGAGCCCAGCAGTTTGAGGCAAACCTGGACAATGTATCAAAACCCTGTCTCTACTAAATGCAAAAATTAGTGATATATATTAGTGGGTGCTTGTAGTCCCAGCTACTCAGGAGGCTGAGGTAGGAGGATTGCTTGAACCCGGGAGGTCAAGGCTGCAATAAGGTATGATTGTGCCACATAAAGATGGAAACAGCAGACACTGGAGACCACTGGGTCGGGGAGGGAGTGGGCCAAGGGTTGAGAAACTACCTGTTGGGCACTATGCTCACTGCTTGGGTGATGGGATCAATCCTACCTTAAACCAACATCACGCAATACACCCATGTAACAAACCTGCACATGTAACCCTTGAACCTACAAGTTGAAGTTTTAGTAAAATCAAATATTTTTTCTTTATGGATGCCCAGTCATAGTTGAAAATTGTAGGTATCTAGAAGGATTCAGTAGTGAATTATGTTTATTCAAGACTTTTTGGGTTAATGTGTTTTTAAATTTTTGTTTTGCAATTTTTTTTTTTATTTGAGGCAGACTCTTGCTGTCAGCCAGGCTGGAGTGCAGTGGCATGATCTCAGCTCACAGCAACTTCTGCCTCTCAGGTTCAAGAGATTCTCCTGCCTCAGCCTCCTGAGTAGCTGGGACTACAGGTAAATGCCACCATGCCTGGCTAATTTTTTTTTGTATTTTTAGTAGAGACAGGGTTTCACCATGTTAGCCAGGATGGGTTTTGCAATTTTATATGTCGACATCTCATGGTTTAGGATGGGCTACCTCATTTTAGTTAATTGTGTTTTTGTTTTATTTTATATATTATAATTCTTTATGACAATATTCAACTTCATACACTTTAAGCCAGTGTACAGCAAAAGTCAAGTATGAATCAGCCATACGTCTATTGCCACTATAATTATCTTCATGTTTGTTTGCCTGTATAAATATTACCAACATTTAAAAAATAATTTGTGTATAATTAATTGTTATTTTGGTTGGTGATAGATGGTTATTTTCTCTTGCGTCAGTGAGTAGTCATGGAAATTGTCTTAATTTCCACACCTGTTTATTGTTGAATATGTATGATCTTGGTGTGAGAGAAATATTTTGTGATTTGGAGGTAAGTTTTGAAAAGCTTCGTAACTCTATCTATTGTACATTTATTTTTATTTGTGAAAAATACACACCAAAATGTACAATCATAAATACTTCATGTAGTTCAGTTTATGTTACATATATTGACATTGCTAGCAATGTATCTGTAGAATGTTTTCTATTTTTATGTTATTTCATTGAGACAGAGTCTCACTCTGTCACCCAGGCTGGAGTGCAGTGGCACAATCTCAGCTCACTGCAACCTCCATCTCCCAGGTTCAAGCAATTCTCCTGCTTCACCCTCTTTAGTAGCTGGGATTACTGGCATGTGCCACCATGTCTGGATAATTTTTGTATTTTTAGTAAAGATGAGATTTCACCATGTTGGTCAGGCTGGTCTTAAACTCCCAATCTCATGTGATCTGCCTGCTTTGGCCTTCCAAAGTGCTGGGATTATAGGCATGAGCCACTGTGCCCAGCCTGGAATGTTTTTATCTTGTAAAATTAATACACAATCCATGTGAATCCTATTTCCCATTGCCTGGCCCTTTCCAAACATTATCCTATTTTCTCATTTTAATAGTGTAACTACTTTAGATATCCCACATAAGTGGATTCACACAGTATTTTCAGGTGGCTTATTAACATTTAACATAATGTCATCAAGATTTATGTTTATGGCAGATGTTAGAAGGTTTCCTGTTTTTTTTAATTTTTATTTATTATTATTATTATTTTTTTGAGACAGAGTCATGCTCTATAGCCAGGCTGGAGTACAGTGACATGATCTCGGCTGACTGCAACCTCCGCCTCCTGGGTTCAAGCAATTCTCGTGCCTCAGCCTCCCAAGTAGCTGGGATTACAAGCACGCGCCACCACACCCAGCTCAATTTTGTATTTTTAGTAGAGACGGGGTTTCACTGTGTTGGACAGGCTGGTCTCGAACTTCTGCCCTAGTGATCCACCCACCTCGGCCTCCCAAAGTGCTGGGATTACAGGTGAGAGCCACTGCACCTGGCCTGTTTTTTTTTTAAAGCTGAGTAATATTCCATTATTTTTATATTCCAAATTATATTTATCCATTTATTTGGTGAGGGAAGTTTGGATTGCTTTTACCTATTGGCTTTTGTGAATAATGCCACAATAAATGGTGTTAATAACTCATTTGAACATACATGTGACAGTTTTTATCTGTGCTGTATTCTGTTTTGTTGGTGTGTAGGGTTTTACCAAAGTTCTTTGATTACCCTACCTTCATTTTGTATTTTGAAATCATTAAGCATGATGTGTCCAATATTGTTTTTCTTTTTTAAATAGTCAGGCTCTTTGTGGTTTCTTAATATTCCATATAATATGGAGGTTGTTTTCCTATTTTTGGAGAACTAAAATTTGGAATTTGAAAGGGATTGTATTGAATGTGTAGATAGATCACTTTGGTCAGTATGGCCATCTTCACAGTATTAAGTCTTCCAACATTTGGACAGGAGCATGCTTAAGAGCGTATTGTTTAATTTTCATATTTTGTGAATTTTTTTGGTTTTCCTTCTTTTAGTGATTTTTAGTTTCATTCAATTTTGGCCAAAAATAACAGTGTGTAAGATTCAAGGTTCAAAAATGGATTAAGACTTGTTTTATGAGATAGCAGGTGTTGTATCCAGGAGAATTTTCTTATGAGCTATTGAAAAGATTGTGTATTCTGCTGTTGTGTGGCATATTCTGTATATGTCTTTTAGGTGTAATTGTTTTACATTGCTTTCAAGTCCTTTGTTCCCTTATTAATGTTCTGTCATGCTTTATTATTTATTACTGAAAATATTAAAGTATTCTCCCAGTATTACATTACTTCATTTCTGTCAATGCTTGCTTTATATATTTGGGAACCCTGATAAGAGATATAAGTAGGTTCCCAGTGAATGAAACATTTTATTATAATTTAATGTCCTTGTGTGTCTATTGTGAGTTTTGACTTAAACTATATTTTATAAAATATGTCAGCTTTTGACTTAATATCATTAGTTCTCCAGCTCTCATTTGGTTAACATTTGCATGGAATAGCTTTTCTCATCCTGCCACTTTCAGTCTATTTTCTGAGGTGAGTCTCTTGGAAACATGACATAGGTGGATTCTGTTTTCTAAATTCAAAAAAGAAATCCCTTTATTTAATATTTGCCTTTTGATTTGGAAAGTTTAGTCCATGAATATTTTAATACTTTTCTGAAAGGAAATGACTTGCAATTGCCATTTTATTGTTTTATTTGACTCTTGTAGCTATTTTGTCCCTATTTACTTTGTATTTATTTGTGTCTTGTTGATATTTGCAGTGACATGCTTTGCTTTTTTATTTTCTATTGTGTATCTGCATTTTCTTTATGGTTCCCATTTAAATTACATAAAATACCTTAAAGTTACAACTGTGTATTTTAAACTAGTAACAACTTGCACTCAGTTGCATACAAAAATTCTTGCTCATTACATCTGCCCTCAACTTAACAATGTCACTAAGTATATCATATATTAATGGGTGCTTTAATTTTCATGATGTCTTTCAAATTTTAAAGCACAATTGTTTTCTGCCTATTTATTATAATACTATAAAGTATTATTTTTGTGTACGTGCATATCTTTCTCAGAGAGTTGCGTATTTTTATATGAGTTGGTTTGTTTTCTAGCATTTTAAATTTTTAATGGGAAAGACTTCCTTTTGCATTTTTGTAGGACAGTTATTCTGGTGATGTACTTTCTCAGCATTTAGTTATCTTGGAAAATCTTTATTTTTTAAAATTTTCTAGGACAGTTTTGCTAAAAGTTTTTTTCCTTCAGCACTTGGACTATATAACCCAACTCTCCTCTTGGGTTTTTGTTAATCTTGCAGGAGTATGCATATAGGTGATACATCCCTCTTGTCTTTCTGCATTCAAGTGCCGAGATTGCAGCATCTGCCCGGCCGCCACCCTGTCTGGGAAGTGAGGAGCGTCTCTGCCTGGCCGCCCATCGTCTGGGATGTGAGGAGCCCCTCTGCCTGGCTGCCCAGTCTGGGAAGTGAGGAGCGCCTCTTCCCGGCTGCCATCCCATCTAGGAAGTGAGGAGCGTCTCTGCCTGGCCGCCCATCGTCTGAGATGTGGGGAGCGCCTCTGCCCCGCCGCCCCGTCTGGGATGTGAGGAGCGCCTCTGCCCGGCCGCGACCCCATCTGGGAGGTGAGGAGCGTCTCTGCCTGGCCGCCCCGTCTGAGAAGTGAGGAGACCCTCTGCCTGGCAACCGCCGCGTCTGAGAAGTGAGGAGCCCCTCCGCCCGGCAGCCACCCGGTCTGAGAAGTGAGGAGCCCCTCCACCGGGCAGCCACCCCGTCTGGGAAGTGAGCAGCGTCTCCGCCCGGCAGCCACCCCGTCCGGGAGGGAGGTGGGGGTCAGCCCCCGCCCAGCCAGCCGACCCGTCTGGGAGGGAGGTGGGGGGGTCAGCCCCCAACCCGGCCAGCCGCCCCGTCCGGGAGGGAGGTGGGGCTGTCAGCCCCCCGCCCGGCCAGCCGCCCCGTCCAGGAGATGAGGGGCGCCTCTGCCCGGCCGCCCCTACTGGGAAGTGAGGACCCCCTCTGCCCGGCCACCACCCCGTCTGGGAGGTGTGCCCAGCAGCTCATGAAGAACGGGCTATGATGACGGTGGCGGTTTTGTGGAGTAGAAAGGGGTTGAGAAATCGGATGGTTGCCGTGTCTGTGTGGAAAGAAGTAGACATGGGAGACTTTTCATTTTGTTCTGTACTAAGAAAAGTGCTTCTGCCTTGGGATCCTGTTGATCTGTGACCTTACCCCCAACCCTGTGCTCTCTGAAACATGTGCTGTGTCCACTCAGGGTTAAATGGATTAAGGGCGGTGCAAGATGTGCTTTGTTAAACAGATGCTTGAAAGGCAGCATGCTCGTTAAGAGTCATCACCACTCCCTAATCTCAAGTACCCAGGGGCACAAACACTGCGGAAGGCCGCAGGGTCCTCTGCCTAGGAAAACCAGAGACCTTTGTTCACTTGTTTATCTGCTGACCTTCCCTCCACTATTGACCTATGACCCTGCCAAATCCCCCTCTGCGAGAAACACCCAAGAATATCAATAAATAAAAAAAAGAAAGAAAGAAAAAGAAGATTCTCTTCTTTTCTGTGACTTTCAAAACTTTGCTTAGATTGTGTCTTGTTATGGGTCTTTTTATCCAAGATGGAGTTTGTTGAGCTTCAGTTTTTAGTATTTTTTTCTTACATTGGATAATTTCTCAGTCATTTTTGTATTCTTCTCCAAAACTTGTTTCTTTTTGTCATTTTGTTGATATTCTTATTTTTCTGATTACACTTAGTTGTCTGTGTTCCCATGTTACACATTGAGCATAACTGAGATGTTTATTTTGATTTTTTTCAGATAATTTATTCATCTTCATTTCTTTAGGGTTGATTTCAGCATACTTGTTTCTTTGATTAGGCTGTGTTAGTCTGATATTTTGTATATATTGTAGTGTTTGGTTGAGATATGTGCATTAAAAATAAAGCCACCCATCACAGTCTGTATAAAGTGGATTTCTTCCCTGCAATTTACCAGGATGGATATTGAGAATTTCTCAAACCATTCTTAAGATGTCTCTTCCCTAGATTTGTGTTCCCCTTATTGAGTTATGCGGGTTTGCCCATGTTTCTGCTTAAGAGCCTGTAATTAGTTGGTACACCTGCTGTTTCTCTGTGGTCCTATAGTCTCTCTGCTGGCCTAAAAATCATTTACCTTTTGTCTCACAGACAGTAACCTGTCATTCAAAGTACAGCACAATTTCTTTCGGCACTCTGTGTCACAGTAGACAGAAACCAGTCTTTGGAAAGATCCCTCAAAGCCAGAAGTATGGACACATGTGCCACTATTTTTTTTTTTCACTGTTGAGAGAGAAGCCAGGCATTGAGGGTTTATACTTAAAGGCATTATTTTGTGTTTAGGAGGAAGTATGGCTGTGGTGGTTAAATGTAACAAATGCTCCTTTGTCTTCTCTGTGGCTCTTGGCATCATTCTCATCTATGGCACTGCAGTCTCTTAACTGGTTTTTAGAGCTCTTACAAAGGCATTTTGGTCAATATATTTTTGTTAAGTTTGCATGTCTATTAAGGAATTTGGGCCTGTAGTATTGTGCCATCTTATTGTGCTTGGTATAATTTTATATTTTGTATTTGTAAAGTATATTCACCTGAGTCTAATAAGTGGTATAATGTATTTTTATTTCTTTTAGCTGTGTTGCCTCATTTTACTCCAGACCTTTTGCCTGAGCAGAGCATAAAACATTCCCAAAAGTGATACTGAGAAGATATGAAAGCTATGGCATTCAAAATTTAAACTTAAGAAAAGACTGGGAATGTGTAGGTGACTGTAAGGGACAGAAAAAAAGTTATAATGGACTTAACCAATGTTTATCAACTACCCTTAGCAAAATCTTTCAATGTGATGAATGTGGCAACGCTTTTAACCAGTGCTCAATCCTTACTCAACATAAGAGAATTCACACAAGAGAGAAACCATACAAATGTGAGGAATGTGGCAAAGCCTTTAACTGGTTCTCAAACCTTATTCAAAATAAGAGAATTTGTACTGTAGGGAAACCCTACAAATGTGAAGAATTTGGCAAAGCCTTTAACCAGTGCTCACACCTTATTGGACATAAGAGAATTCATACTGGAGAGAAACCTTACAAATGTGAAGAATGTGGCAAAGCCTTCAACTAGGGCTCACATCTCAGTGGACACAAGAGAACTCATACTGAAGGAAACCCTACACATGTGAAGAATGTGGCAAAACTTTTAACTGGTTCTCATACTTTTCTCAACATAAGAGAATTCATACTGGAGAGAAACCCCTACAATAGTGAAGAATGTGCAAAAGCTTTTATGCATGGCTCAATCCTTACTAAACATAAGAGAATTCATACTGGAGAGAAATGCTACAAATGTAAAGAATATGACAAAACCTTTAATCAGAGCTCACACCTTATTGGACACAAGAGAATTCATACTGGAGAGCAACCCTACAAATGTGGAAAATGTGGCAAAGCCTTTAACTGGTTCTCAAACCTTACTAAACATAAGAGAATTCAAACTGGAAAGAAACTCAAGAAATGTGAAGAATGTGGTAAGTCTTTGATCAATGCTCAATCCTTACTGAATATAAGATAATTCATGTGATCGAGAACACCTACAATTGTAGGGAATGTAGCAAAGGTTTTAATTTGTGCTCAACTTTTACTGTAAGTGAATTCATTCTGGAGAGAGACCCTACCAAGGTGAAAAATGTGGCAAAACCATTAGTGAATGCTGACATCACAATCTACAGCAGTGATTTCATACTAAATAAAAGTGGTATTAATGTAATGACTGTTGAAGGATTGTTCACAAAATATAACCCTTAACGTGCACAAGATTATTTTAGTGAAGAAAAGCATTACAAATATAAAGGCAGAATACCTTACTTATACCACAGATTTTATTGTACACTGAAAAATTTATACTGAAGGGAAACTTTCCAGGAATTCCTCAAACTTTATATTGGGGAGAAACCCTATGGATGTAATTATGTGGAAAAACTTTTGTTCCATACATATACCTTAGAGAACACTGGAGAGTTTCTACTAGAATTTATTATACAGATTTAGGAAATGTGAAAAAGTAAATTAGAAATCAAGCCAAAGTAAATGTCATAGATTGACAGTAGAAAGCACCAAGGCAGTAACAGTTTGAGACATTACTCTAATCAGTGATGATTATAGAGAATAATTTAAAATAGATTGCTTACTTGTGTGTAAGTTTAAATGGAGAAGGAGATTGATTTTCTCTTTTTTGGACAGTTATAATTACATTCAAATTATACTTTTTGGAATTGAAATAATTATAGTTACTTTGAAAAGCAAATATTTATGTAAGTTAAACTCACAAATGTCTTGATGTTATATCATCATTTCTAGTGCTCATGTGAAAGCACGTGGTTAATGGTTTCTGCATCAGAGCTCTGAGACATCTTTCTCTATTAAGTGGGCACCATTAATACACTTTTCCATGGAACACTAAGGACACTTGAATGTAAGATGCATAAAGAAAATCTAAGTGGAGAGGCCCCTTATAACAATGTTGTAAGTGATTCATGAGGTAGGTGTTCAGGGTAACATGATTCAGCATTGTAGGAGAAGAGAAGCATTTTGAATCTTAGAAGTCAATTGTTTTACCAGTTACACATTAAAATAATAAAATGCAGTGGAGTTTAAAATGCTTTTTGAGATAATGTTTGAACTTAATTTATTTTAATGGAATAAAATTGTTTTTAGTATGTTAAGACTATTTTCCATTGAATGAAATGCATCTTACCACCAACATTAACCTATCCCACCTTACCCCATGTTGTAGGTAACTGATGGTCACAATATACTATTGGATAGCATAGTAGAGGATAACGTAGTACAATGACATCTTTTGTAATCCCTTTTCCCAGTGGAATATTGTTACCAGAGGTAATACATTTATTTTTTCTTCTTTTTGTAACTATAGGATCATTATGGTTATAATAAAGATTACATAAGACTATAATAAAATACATTCACATATGGTTATAATAAAGATTACATAAGACTATAATAAAATATATTCACATATTTCTGAATTCTGAATGACTATTTTAAAATTTTATTCTATATTTATCTGAATGTGCCCACTCTAGTCTGCAAAACACAGATTTTTAGTTTTGATTTACATGGGTTTACATATACAAATATATCACATTATCGATAAACTTCAGGTGTAAGAGATTTGTGGTGAATTTAACTATGTTTGTGTGAGTGTGTACCTATTTTGAGAAGAAAAGACAAACATTAGATCAATACAGATAATTTTTAAAAGTGATGATATTTACTAGGCAGATCAAAACCTCAAAGATTCTGAAAGCAAATCTATTTTCTCTGCTTTGTATTGAATTCATTTATCTAAAATCTTATGGCCCGTTGGCTCAGAATCTCCATGGAAATCCTCTGTTTTTTTCTTGCCTGTTTCTTATGCTGGACCTGCTATATAATTTTTTCATTCCAAGGTTCGTGAAGTATTCTTTATATGATGTCCTCTGGGATTATAAGAATTTTATGAAATTTTATTATTGGATAATTTTATTTTTGGATTATAATCTGGGATTATATAAATTTTATGAAATTTAATCATGCTCAGAAAATAACTTTTAGATGTTAGTGTTTCTACAGCGAGTGTTTTAAGTTACATTCCATCCTTTTTCTTTTAATTGGAGAACTCCATTTAAGCCACTTTTTCTTTCATGATTGTTCTTTTTGTAATGGACATAATCAAGTTTACTGAGCCAATTTGTTTATGTAAACAGTGGAAGGCTTCATACATCATGAGGCTGTTTTGGCACAGAAATGAACACACACAGAGCAGTGCTCGCTGTGTAATAGAAGCTCCATAATTAGCAGTAAAAATGCAGAGGCCCAGGCACTGTCATCTTTGTTCACTGAATTATGCCAAGCATCTAGAAAACTGATGTACACATTGTACCGAAAATATATGTATTGAATAAACAAACCTCAACAAGAACCTCCTCAGATATCTGAGTTGGGTAGGGACTCCTCTTTCAGCATCCTAGGAAGTTTATTCATTCTCTGTCAAGGACAAAATCCAGCTAGAAGAAATCTCAAATGTGGTTTACCAATGCAAACACAGCTTTGCTTTCTAGGTGCTGTTTCAAATGTAGAGGGACACAGGCCAATGAGGCAGGAGAACTTCTTGGGCAAAAAGACAGAAACAATATATATAAGCAACCAGAGCATCCTAAGCAGCCAGGCACTCAGCATCTGCTTGCTGTGTCTTATGCCATTTAGTCCCTACAAGAACTCTATGAGGTTCATCTTCTCACTTTTCAGAGGCATAGACAGGCACAGAGAGCTGCAATGATATCCTTAGTACCCACCTGGTAGCTTGCAGAGTCACCACTGTGTCTTGGAGGAGACAGACACCTACTGAATAGCTTACCCAGGAACTGTGGATTGGTGGTGAAGTCCTGGTAGGAGCCTAGGAGTGTGGTAAAGGAGAAGATGGCTCAACCTGGAAGTCTAGTACCAGAAGCTCATTCAGCTTCTCTCTTGTACCTGGCTGGGAGTGTCGGCATTATTCTCATCTCAAGGTTTAGGGTAGACTTATTTTCATATGCAGGGGAACAAGAAGAGACATATGGTCAATGGCAGCACTGTGCACCACTGGCAGATTGGGGGCTGGGGCTTATACCAGGAAGCTCCTATTTTTCAGAGACTTGTGCATGTGGAGGACACAGTACAGTGTCCATGGTGAAGAAGGTTCTAGGCTTCAAAAGTTTTATATGGGCCAGGCGCAGTAGCTCATGCCTGTAATTCCGGCACTTTGGGAGGCCAAGGTGAGTGGGTCACCTGAGGTCAGGAGATCAAGACCAGCCTGGTCAACATGGAGAAACCCCATCTCTAGTAATAATACTAAAAATTAGCCAGGCCTGGTGGCAGGTGCCTGTAATCTCAGCTACTGAGGAGGCTGAGGCAGGAGAATTGCTTGAACCCAGGAGGTGGAGGTTGCCATGAGCCAAGATCGCACCATTGCACTCCAGCCTGGGTGACAAGAGTGAAACTCTGTCTGAAAAACAAACAAAGACAACAAAGTTTTATGTGGGGGTGGAGAATAATTAAGCCATTAACACCTTCAAGGCATCTTCATGATACTTTGTCATCTGTGGAGCAACAGCACCCACCTACATTAATAGCCTATATGAAGAGAATTATCCCAGTGAGTCCTCAAAAAATGTCCTTCTTGTAGAGTTGGGAAAGCACAGGCTTTGCAATGTCAGATGTCTGCTCAACAGCACATGGGTCGAAACTGAGAACTATAAACAGCAAGGGCTGCAAGAAATGTCCTTCAATTAGAGACAATGCACATGGCAAGACAGCCTAGGAATACCTTTTTGACTTTAAGCAACACAATTTTTTAACATTAGAAGGAACCTAGTCAAACAGCTACAATTCTAGACATGACAAGGGGGCAAATGCTGGGAGAGTCCAGGATGGGAGAAAGCCCATTTAAAGGGCCAAGAATCTGAGCAGATGATTCAGGGAAAACACATATGTATTAAGCAATTGAAAGATGACTTGAGGGCCAGGCACAGTGGCTCACGCCTGTAATCCCAGCACTTTGGGAGGCCGAGGTGGGCCGAGGTAGGCTGAGGTCTGGAGTTCGAGACCAGCTGACCAACATGGTGAAGCCCCATCTCTACTAAAAATACAAAAAATTAGTCGGGTGTGGTGGCACATGCCTGTAATCCCAGCTACTTGGGAGGCTGAGGTAGGAGAATCACTTGAACCCAAGAGGTGGAGGCTGCAGTGAACTGAGATCGCACCATTGCACTCCAGCCTGGGTAGAAAGAGCAAAACTCCATCTCAAAAAAGAAAAGAAAGAAAGATGACTCAAATTTCAATCAGGAAGCGAAATCAACATGAATCAACATGATTTTATTTGCTACATGGATACCAGATCGGCAAAAAATTAAAAGAAAGTTAACATCCAGGAAAATCTGAATTCAGGGAAGCAGCTATATTCAGAAATTGCTGGTGGCAATGTACCTTCCAAAGCCCTTTTGGAAAGTGATCGGTCTTTAGCTATTAAAATTTTACATATGCATATCCTTCTACCGAGTAATCTCCTGGGAGTTTGTCATCTACAAGGGAATAATATATCCAATGGGCTGAGTGGTGTCCCCTCCCCAAAGTTCATGTTCTAACACTCAGTGCCTCAGAATGTGACTGTATTTGGACATATGGTCTCCAAAGAGGTTATAAGTTTTGGGTTCATTGGAGTGGACCCAAATCCAATGACTGGAGTCCTTATTAGAAGAGGCATTAAGGATGCAGAGATAGAAGTTCAGCCATCTACAAGCCAAGGAGAGAGTTCTCAGAGAAACCATCTCAGCTAACAGCTTGTTGTTGGATTGCTAGCCTCCAGAATTGTGGGAAACTAAGTTTCTGCTGTTAAAGTCCTTCACTATGCAGTGCTGTGTATGGATGCTCTAGCAGACACTTACAGATTAGGGCACACATAGGATGTTTCCTTAGAAGTGGCTGACATGGAAATAGAAGATGATCATGTCCAGGCTCCACCTGCATTGCAAGACTGAACTGCTGAAGAAAATGGTCTCCTTTATGGAATATAATGAAGCCATGTGAGGTTGCAGCTCCAGCCCTGATGGGGCTACAGGAATGAGTTCTGTGGGATAACCAATATATAGAGCAGCTTAACCATCCTCCCTCCCGCTTTTAGCTACCTTTTTGTGTAAAAACCTCCCTAGTAAGAGTGTGGGCTTTTAAATCTTAAAGGTGTGGCAGGGCAGTGGGGTTGCCTGCTACAGGAAATACATGGGGTGGGTGTTTAAAACAATATAAATAGGCTGGGCATTGTGGCTCATGCCTGTAATCCTAGCACTTTGGGAGGCTGAGGCAAGCGGATCACCTGAGGTTAGGAGTTCAAGACCAACCTGGCTAACATGGTGAAACCATGTTTCTACTAAAAATACAAAAATTAGCCAGGTGTGGTGGCATGTGCCTGGAATCTCAGCTACCTGGGAGGCTGAGGCAGTAGAATCGCTGGAACCCAGGAGGCAGAGGTTGCAGTGAGCTGCAGTTGGGCCACTGTGCTCCAGCCTAGGTGACAGACTGAGACTCTGTCTCACAAAAAAAAAAAAGCCAATATAAATAGTAGCAACATGCAAAGATACTCGTGGCCTAATGTAAACAATAAAAAACGATGTTCTCTCCTCTTTCTACAACTATGTGAGCAAGAACTTAGAATCAAATCAAGTTTCTGTTGGTGATGAATGGAGGTCCAGTTCTTTCGGGAGGGGACCGTGGGTCACTTAGGTGTGAAAGCCCTTCGACAGGGGCAATGGAGCCTCCATATTTGAGTCTGGGCCCTGGTCCTGCCTTGATCTTTTTGGATTCCTGTCTGAGGTGACCCCTGTGTTCCTACTGTCACCCCAGACCAGCGCTGGCCATGGTTGGTGGTGTGGTGCTCCTGCCCTTTGTCCAAGGAGATGGAGTGGTTGAACCTATCACTCATTTCTACCGATCTTCATGAAGCTCTGCAAGGAGAGCGCCCAGCAGCTGGGCCAAGAGGTGTCAGTGAACTGCCTGGCTATCTCTGCAGGGGGAAAGCCCAGTTAGAAATTCTGTTCCCCGGCCGAGCACGGTGGCTCATTGCCTGTAATCCCAGCACTTTGGGAGGCCAAGGTGGGCAGATCACGAGGTCAGGAGATCGAGACCATCCTGGCTAACACGGTGAAACCCCGTCTCTACTAAAAATACAAAAAAAATTAGCCGGGCATGGTGGTGGGCACCTGTAGTCTCAGCTACTCGGGAGACTGAGGCAGGAGAATGGCGTGAACCTGGGAGGCGGAGCTTGCAGTGAGCCAAGATCTCACCACTGCACTCCAGCCTGGGCGACACAGAGAGACTCCATCAAAAAAAACAACAACCAAAAAACAAAAAAAAAATGAAATTCTGTTCCCCAGATCAGGCACATATAAGCATCTGCATAGACTTCCAGCCAGAGAGAAAACAAGGTTACAATGTGAAGTCTTGGGATTAACATCTGAGTAGGCAAACTTGTTCCCCAACACTCACTTCTTACCCTGCCAGCCATGACCTGGGATATGATCTTGGCAGACCCATCAGGCTTCCAACAACTGACAACCTGCTCCTGTCCAGGGAGGACACCCTCAACTCTTGCTTCCCGGACACACAGTGATGGGCAGGGATGTGGGGTTGCCCAGATGGGATCACAGGCGAGGTCTGGCCTGGAAGGGTCTGCCGTGAGGTGCCCTGTGTTACCTATGTGTGTCCCCTGCCAAGTGACCTGAGGATTTGTGGATGAGAGCTGAGCCAACATCTGCATCATTAGAAGATGCCCTCACTTCAAGCCTTCCACAGATGAGAGCCTCAGGAAGTCAGGATAGAGCAGTAGAACATCTTGCTCTTGAGCATCTCCATGAAATTAGCTTGATACAGGGCTGTGTCTAGAATAAGGGTTTCTGGTTACCAGAGTTTGAAGTTCTGGTGGATCTGTCACCAAGGACATGAGGTTACTTGAAGGTTCCCTCACCTGGGCCCCTTCTTTCAGTGCGAGCTGCCCACAGGCCCTGCTGGGGTCCTGACGGCTCACCCTCCTTCCCCGTGTCAACTTCTAGAACTGCCTTAATTGCAAATGACATCATTCTTTATATAAAAGTGTGTAAGAGTTTCACTAAAATACCACTAGAATTAATAAGTTGATCAGTGTCACAAGATACAAGATACACATACAAATTTATACTTAAAGCAACCAAAAATGAGAATAAAATGTATACATTTGATTTATAATAGCTTCAAAAATATTTATAAAAAGTAATAGAAGTGCAAAGATTTTACACTTAATTTTTTTTTTTCTAGACAAGGTCTTGCTCTGTCACTCAGGCTGGAGCGCTGTGGTGTGATCGCAGCTCACTGCAGCCTTGACCTCCTGGGCTCAATTGATCCACCAGCCTCAGCCTTCTCAGTAGCTGGGACTATAGGTGTGTGCTACCATGCCTGACTAATTTTTGAATTTCTTGTAGAGACGGGGTTTCTCCATGTTGCCCAGGCTGGTCTCCAACTGGGCTCAAGCAATCTGCCTGCTTCTGTCCACTAAAGTGTTGGGATTCCAGGCGGGAGCCACCGTGCCTGGTCTACGCTTAATTTTTATTAATACTGAAAGAAATCAAGATCTGAAATAATTGAAAAATGTCTAATTTTCAAGGATAAAAATACTTAATATTTCCAAGATAACAATATCCCACAAATAGACCGAGAAATTCAATATAATCCCTTCAAATTCCCAGCTTTTTTTTTTTTTGTAGAAATTGACAACTCTCCACATACCAAAACCGATATAGATACGCACAGGAAACCAAATATAGGAAACGATCTTGAATAACAACTGACTTCCACTTCCCAATACAAATTCTTACAGCAGGCTGGGTGCGGTGGCTCACACCTGTAATCCCAGGACTTTGGGAGGCTGAGGCAGGTGGATCACTTGAGGTCAGGAGTTCCAAATCTCCTGGCCAACATGGTGAAACTCTATCTCTACTAAAAATACAAAAATTAGCTGGGCATGGTGGTGGGCATCTGTAATCCCAGCTACTTGGGGGGCTGAGGCAGAAGAATTGCTTGAACCCAGGAGGTGGAGGTTGCTGTGAGCTGAGATCACACCAATACACTCCAGCATGGGTGACAGAGTGGGACTTTATCTCAAAAAACAAAAAAAACTTACTGCAAAGAATAGTGTCTATTACCTCACTTCCTCCCCATTATTTTCTCTGTCCAGACTGAGAATTACAGAGTAACTTGACTGCTCTGTGATAACGGCCAGCTGCAGGTTTTTCCCTGCAGGCTTAAACCCAAGCCGGGACCTTGAACATTCCCAGGCACTGATAAAAACGTGTAGGATGTTGCCCACAGCATTGAAAGAAACTAGCCGTGGCCCTAAGCCAAATTCCTTAAAGCCTCATATAAACTCCATAACCAGACCCACTCATGGCAGACATACTGGGGTAGAACATCTCTGTTTTGTCCCTCGCAAGGATACGCTGCAGCCCCCTCTGTGTGTCTGTTCCTCTAATGAATACTTTGGACAGACCACTCTGGGCTTTAGAGCTTCTTTGTTTGGAATTCCAACTGCCCCATTTCAAGACAATTTGGGGCAACTCCTTTGCTGTCACTTTTGGGGCAACTCCAGCCACTGGTTCAGCCTGAGGGAAGAACTGATGTAGTCCTCATTAAAGAATGGGCTGGGAGGCCTGGTGTGGTGGCTCATGCCTGTAATCCGAACACTTTGGGAGGCTGAGGTGGTTGGATCACGAGGTCAGGAGTTCGAGACCAGCCTGGCCAACATGGTGAAACCCCGTCTCTACTAAAAATACAAAAATTAGCCAATTAGCCGGGGGTGATGATGGGTGCCTGTAATCCCAGCTACTCGGGAGGTTGTGGCAGGATAATTGCTTGAACCCAGAAGATGAAGGTTGCAGCGAGCCAAGACCACTGCATTCCAGCCTGGGTGACAAAGTGAGACTCCATCTCAAAAAAAAAAAAAAAAAAAAAAAGAGAATGGCCTAGGGAAAACAGGACCCTACCGATGAGATCCTGGGATGCCTCCAAGCGCCTGTGTGAGGCTCTGTCACCCGCTGCCTGATGCCTGCAGGCTGCCCTGTGAGTGCCAAGATGCTATGAAAGCTCCAGCAGGATAGAGGAGGCTGTTGGGGGGTTTAAAATTGCCAAGGAACCAAGAGCTTGGCAGGCAGGGAGGGGTTAGGCTGGCCTCTGCCACAGGCACTCCCCCTGGGAACAAAGGCTCTGCTGGGGGTCGAGAGCAAGGTCCCCGAGTCAGAGGAGAAGGAATGCACCTAGAGGAAGGCCTGCCCACTCTGTTAGTTGCCCCTGTGGAGGTTAAATGGAAGAAAGGCTCTCTGGAGAGGTGTCAGGGGAGCCTGCAGCCTCAGGCCTGCTTCTGAGGGTGGCTTTGGATGGTAGGGGCTCTGGGTCCCATTTTCTGTGGCAGGCAGAGGAAAAGGAAAGAGAAGCTGCACCACCTGCCCCACACTCACCTCAAACTCACTGGGGCTCTAGGTGATCTGTGGCCGTAGCTGGACCAGGCTAGGTCTTGAGGGGCAGGGCTGAGGGGTGCCGCAGCAGTGGCTGTTTTCATGTAGACAGCAGGCCCAGCTGATACTTGGACCTGTACAGGCCAGGAGTGGAATTTTGGGGGCCAGGAACGGAGTGTGGGTGCCAGTGTGAGGAGCAGGCTGGTCCCACCACCTCTTCCCTCTCCCAGGAGGGGAGCTAGCACCACAGCCCCTACCATGACAGGAAGGCCAATGTTCCCCTCAGTGTTGGGCCATTGAAGGGGACCAGAGGACACATGTGGCTAGAATGAGTCACTGGTCCCTTCAGAGCAAGCAATGAGTTTTGGCTCTGAGGGGTCTACATCTTATCAATCCCCCAGCACATGCTGGGGACAAATACTCTCCTGGGAACTGTCCTTGAGGCAACCTTAGACAAGTTCTGTCTCTAGGTGAGGGTCGCAAAAGCCATGCTCTGAGGGGAAGCCAATTGGAAGCCGGTGACATTAACCCACACAAAGGACTGGTGTGCATCAAACAATGTCATCTCCCAGGAGGACACAGGACATCATAGCTTTTTTTCTTTGGACAGAATCGTGCTCTGTTGCCCAGGCTGGAGGGTAGCGGCGCAATCTTGGCTCACTGCAACCTCCACCTCTCAGGTTCAAGAGATTCTCTTGCCTCAGACTCCTGAGTAGCTGGGATTACAGGCATGCACCATGATGCCGGCTAATTTTTGTATCTTTAGTAGAGATGGGGTTTTTCACCTGTATCTTCTGTGCTGTTTTGTGGTAGTGAGAGCTCTCACAAGATCTAGTTGTTGAAAAGCATGTGGCAACTCTCCCCTCTCTCTCTTGTTCCTGCTCCAGCCATGTAAGATGTGCCTGCTTCCTTTTCCCCTTCTACCATGATTTTAAGCTCCCTGAGGCCTCTCCAGAAGCTGAGCAGAAGCCACTTTGCTATTTCCTGTACAGCCTATGGAACTGTGAGCCAATTAAACCCAGTTCCAGGTATTTATTTTTCTTTCTTTTTTCTTTTCTCTTTATTTTTTTTTTGAGATGGAGTATCATTCTGTCGCCCCAGGCTGGAGTGCAGTGGAGCAATCTTGGCTCACTGCAACCTCCGCCTCCTGGGTTCAAGCGATTCTCCTGTCTCAGCCTCCTGAGTAGCTGGCACACCACCATGCCCGGCTAATTTTAGTATTTTATTGTAGAGAGAGGGTTTCACCATATTGGTCAGGCTGGTCTTGAACTCCTGACCTTAGGTGATCCACCCACCTCGGCCTCCCAAAGTGCTGGGATTACAGGTGTGAGCCACCATGCCAGGCACCCAGGTATTTCTTTATAGCAGTGTGAGAATGGACTAATATACCTTGTTTTATGAAAGGGCTGTATCTGCGAAGGGATGCCCAACACAGAAGGAGTCAAGAAACCAAAGAATGAGACAGACAAATCCAGTTTGTCAGTAAAAGATAATTTATTGGGGGGAATTTGTGGACAGAAGTATGGTCTTGAGTGGTAGCAAGACAGGTAGTTCCCCAGGCTGTTACCCCCAAGATTTAGGGCTTATTAGTATAGGAAAAGGGCAAATATGCTGTGTAAGGAATGTGCAGGACAGTTAAGGTCAGCCTTCCAGAAAGAGAATGAGGTGGACGTCATAGCCTGTAATTTGTATGATGACATCTAGGTAGCTTTGACCTAAGGAGAAGATTTGCAGTAAGTATGTGCTCTTACACAAGAAACAGTAGATCAAGTAGAAATCTTAAGGGCATTCCCAGAACTGGGGTTAATTCAAAGTCAACATGGTGGATTCGCATCCAAGATGGAGCTGCTTTAGCCTCCACAGAGCTCCTTCCCCAGACCCGTGGAGCCCTTAGGGTTTAGAGGACCAGCGTAGAAATTCTCATCCAGGCAGTTTCTTCCTTTTGGTTCTCAAAAGGAATTGAATGTACACATCTGCTTATTATTCTCAAATAATTTCTTCTTTCACCTTATTATTTCTCAAATCTTTCCTTCTTTTCCCTCTCCACAGAAAAAGTTCCAGAAAATTTAAAAATCTTTTCAGAAAAGACAGTACACTGAGCAGGATTTGCATATCAAGGAAAAGTGGAGACGGGAGATGGGAGTCAAGTGTTTTGGGGGGTAGAGAAAAAGATTAGGCTGGAAAGGGTACTGGGCCAGGTGTAGGGGTGTGCACACGTGTGTGTGTGTGTGGTGTGTGCAACTTTCTCACTGAAGGTTTACTTGAAAAACTCCAGCCCTGTCTAGCCTGTATTAACGGAAAGAAGTGTGTTTGCCCATGGGCAGGTGGGGGTTTGGGGGCAGGAGACTCCAGTAATGGGATGTGGTGATGTCAGCTGGGCTGTTGGGCAGGTAGGATGAGCTGCAGAAGGAGCAGGGCTCTGGTTCCCATGCTCGTCCATCCTGCTGGCATGGAGCCACCTCCAGGCTGTGGGGTGGGTGTGGTAGGTGGGGCTTCCTTCCTTCCCCAAACTAGCCCAGCAATTCCCCAGGAAGCCAGACCTCTGCTACCGCTTCTTTCTGC
Source organism: Homo sapiens (assembly GCF_000001405.40). Classification (NCBI taxonomy): domain Eukaryota; kingdom Metazoa; phylum Chordata; class Mammalia; order Primates; family Hominidae; genus Homo; species Homo sapiens. Next base: position 63,889,287 of record NC_000007.14, read on the forward strand.
ACCTCTACAGGGAGAGTCTTCCTGTCTGCACCAAGGATGGGGACAGCAGAGGAATCTCACAGGCCAGGTGGGTCTCAATGGGTAAACGGGGGGTGAACATATATGTGTTTGCTGTGGCTCCCCACTCTGTCATTTGCAGACACTGCTAATCAGTCAGTCACAGGATTCTCACCCCAGTGCCCAGTGAGCACTACCAAAAGCTCCAGATGGTTTATAAGTATCTGGAGACTCTTGCATTCCCTGTGGATCTTTCCTGACCAGATCTCAGAATCTTCTCTGGAAATGAGGAAGCGGCGTGTCACCACCCAGCCTTAGGAAGACCCTGCCCTGTCAGTCAGAGATGGCATCTTGGGTGACCACTCGCTGAGTGGAGGAAGATAGGGTTCTGTGCAGGGAACTCCCTTGGTGGATCATGGGGTAAGTGATGCCTGTGGTCTGACATAAAGCCTGGTGTGTGGAGCAGAGATTCCAGTGGGGCTGGGACAAGCAGGTGCTGCTCAAGCAGGCCTCCAGATACACCTTGTCCCCCTCCCACCATAGCTGAGCCTGGATGGGAATGTGGACACCCCATAGACTCCAGAGGATGGGACCCTGGTCAGTGGTGGTCCTGGGGTGTGGGGTGAAGGCAGCTTGGACAGGGCCTCCAGGTGTGGGAGGAGCCAGCCTCTCCTGTGAGGCCCTGGGCACGTCGCTGCCTTCTTTGGGTCTCTGTTTCCTCATCTGGCAAATGATGAGCCGGTTGTGCAGGCCCGACAGGGTCATGATGGGGTTTGGGGAGGAAGGGAATTTGAGGGTGCTTGTGCCTGGCTTTTCCCACAAAGGATGATGGTGAAAGCAATGCTGAGAGCCACATGAAACCGAGTCCTCAGGAGGCCCTGTGAGGATGGCGTGGTTCCCATCACACTTCCCTTTTGAGAAAACAGTGTCAGGGAGGCCCTGTGAGGATGGTGTGGTTCCCATCACACTTCCCTTTTGAGAAAACAGTGTCAGGGAGGCCCTGTGAGGATGGTGTGGTTCCCATCACACTTCCCTTTTGAGAAAACAGTGTCAGGGAGGCCCGGCCGCCTGCCCAAGGTGACACAGGCAGTGAGTGTTGGAGCTGGGAGTGAATCTAGAACCAGGGCTCACTGGAGGTGGTGGGAGCATTGCAACAGCTGACTCAGGCCAGTTATCCAGGATCTGAGGTCAGGGGGGCTGACCCTGGCAGGTGGGGACCTCCAAATTGGCCATGCTGGAGATGAATCCCCAGACAGCCCAGATGAGGCTGTGGGAGCAGCAGGTGAGTGGATTTGTGGTGGGAGGGGCTCCAGGGAGTCGGAGGACAGGCTTCTTCCCCCTCAGCTGGAGGCCTCCACATTAAGAGAACAGGGCATCTTCCTCCCCCAGCCCTGCCCTCCTGTGGCCACAGGGCCTGAAATGCCTCCATTAGAGAGACCAGAGAAACTGCCTGGGCGAGCTGGCTCAGTGTAGATTTGGGGAACGATGGGACAGGGGACCCCATGACCTTATGACTTGTTAAAATCCCATCATAGAAGTAACTGGGGGTATCTCGTGGCCTTGGAGGCCAGCTGGGGAGATGGGGAGAGGAGGAGGAGGGCTGAAGGAGGCAGCTGAGGGTCCTGGGCTGTTCCAAGTGGGAGACCTGGGGAGGGGGTGTCCAGGCAGAAGTGGTTGGTGAGATTTCAGGGGGCAGGTCTTGGGTGGGCACCTGGCAATAGGAGCTCACCACCACGACCACCCCAATGGCCCAGGGGGATGTGCCCCCTCTGGGCAGGTTCCTCACTGACCTGGTGAAGCTGGACACTGCCATGAAGGACTGTGTGAATGGGAGTGAGCCTGGGGCAGGCAAGTCGGGTACCAGGATCCTGAGGCTTGGGAGAAGGTAATTCCCTCTTGTCACTGAAGCAGCTGCATTTTTGGAGTACTTTGATCTCCTGGAGCCAGAGGGAAGGACAGGAGGCTGACAGGGCCTGAGTGGAAGACACTGAAGGGCCCTTGGGGAGGGAGTAAACTGAGGCCAATCTCTAGGGCTTTTCTCTTAATGGGCCCCCTCTTCTCCAATCCCATGCAGTCCCACCCTTTTCTCAGAGTTGGATATAAACAGATAAACAGGCCCCCTAGGAATTTGTCCATGATTCCTGTCCCCTACCCACATCCTCCAATTGGGATGGGTCTCCTCCTCTGTGTATCAAACCCTCCCAATAAATCCAGGATGCAGAGGATGGAGCCAGGGAGTGCTCTACCCAGGGTAAGTGGGTGGGGGTCTCTGACTTCCACATCCCCACCCTCCCCAAAGTGAAGGCCCCAGCTGCTCCCCTTTTTTCCATTCTGGGTGTTGATCACATTTCCCTGGAAGACAGCCAGCCAAAGACCCTCAGAAAGGACCCTGGCCCATGACTTGCCCACATCCCCACACCCTCCCACGCTGCAAAAATGCAGCTGCTTCAGTGACAAGGGGGAATTACCTTCAGACTCAGGAGGAATATGGGGTTTGTTTCAAGTCCATGGAGTGGCACAGTCTGATTGAGAAGTGAGAGCTTAGCGGATTGACAGGAGAGGGAGTGGAGGCTGTCTTGTGGTCAGTTTCAGACAGCCTGTGGCCACGGCTCCCTGGTCGGCAGCAGGCCCTGTTGAATGGGAGCCCTGGGCAGGCACTGGGAGGGAGGCCTGAGGTGTGGCTCCTGGATCCTCACAGCTGCTGCTCTGTCCTACAGCTACAACCTGTCCTGCTGCTGAGCCCCATCCCAGTAGGCCAGCCACACTCTCAAGGCCAAGAAGACCAGGCCATGAAGAATCTCAGGTCCACTGAGTGCCTGGGTGGCAGGGGCAGAGTGCCTCAGGGTTCAGTGAAGTTTGGGCTGAGCATGGGCTCTGTGAGTCAGACAGCTAGCTGCACAGGGCTCCCAGTTCCACCGTGACCAGCCCTGTGACTGGGGCAGGGGACTCACTGCTGTAGTATTTGGGCATCATTTTCATAAATTTAATGTGTTCATCCAATGCTTTTTTTTTTAAATCTATCTTCCTCTATAATCACCATGTACTAATGATCTCTGTTAGTGATTGTGTTCAAATGAATAAACATGTTATATAGTGTGTATTATACTTCTTCATGATTTCGTCACTATACTGTATAATTCCACTCATACAAGGTACTTAGAGAAATACAAAGTAGAAGACTGGTTCCCAGGGCTACAGGAAGGTAGGTGCGGGGTTTAATGGGTACAGAGTTTGAGTTTTGCAAAAACACTCCCTATAAATGTGGAGGATGCTGGTAAAACAGTGTGAATGTACTTAATTCCTTTGACCGGCACACTTAAAAATTGTTAAAATGAAAAAAAAAAAAATGTTGGCCGGGCACAGTGGCTCACGCCTGTAATGCCAGCACTTTGGGAGGCGGAGGTGGGCGGATCACCTGAGGTCAGGAGTTTGAGATCAGCCTGGCCAACATGGTGAAGCCCCGTATCTACTAAAAGTACAAAAATTAGCCAGGCATGGTGGTGCATGCCTCTAATCCCGGCTACTTGGGAGGCTGAGGCAGGAGAATTGCTTGAACTCGGGACGTGGAGGTTGCAGTGAACCAAAACTGCACCACTGCAATTCAGCCTGAGCAACGGAGCAAGACTCCATAATGTTGTATAAAAGAAAGTAGATGTAAAAGTCGAGATCGCGCCACTACACTCCAGCCTGGGCGACAGAGCGAGACTCTGTCTCAAAAAAAAAAAAAGTATACATACTATATAATTTGATTTATAAAAAAATCCAATAAGCAGACAAAACTGAGGTCCTGGAGGCTGGAGGGGGGTTGGGGCTTCTCAGCGCCGATTCCGCGGGAAGGGCCCTGGGGCCTCACACTTAGTCCCGGGAGCTGCAGGTCTTACCTGGAGAGACGCTGCACGTGGATCCCGCGCCGCTGCGGTTCTCAGCCGGCTCTGGAGTGCGGGCGGAGGCGACAGGGCCGATTCTGGAGTGGGACTGAGCCTTTGAAATACTCCAGCCACGACTAAAAGAGAAGCAGAGGAGCTGATAGAAATTGAGATTGATGGAACAGAGAAAGCAGAGTGCACAGAAGAAAGCATTGTAGAACAAACCTACGCGCCAGCTGAATGTGTAAGCCAGGCCATAGACATCAATGAACCAATAGGCAATTTAAAGAAACTGCTAGAACCAAGACTACAGTGTTCTTTGGATGCTCATGAAATTTGTCTGCAAGATATCCACCTGGATCCAGAACGAAGTTTATTTGACCAAGGAGTAAAAACAGATGGAACTGTACAGCTTAGTGTACAGGTAATTTCTTATCAAGGAATTGAACCAAAGTTAAACATCCTTGAAATTGTTAAACCTGCGGACACTGTTGAGGTTGTTATTGATCCAGATGCCCACCATGCTGAATCAGAAGCACATCTTGTTGAAGAAGCTCAAGTGATAACTCTTGATGGCACAAAACACATCACAACCATTTCAGATGAAACTTCAGAACAAGTGACAAGATGGGCTGCTGCACTGGAAGGCTATAGGAAAGAACAAGAACGCCTTGGGATACCCTATGATCCCATACAGTGGTCCACAGACCAAGTCCTGCATTGGGTGGTTTGGGTAATGAAGGAATTCAGCATGACCGATATAGACCTCACCACACTCAACATTTCGGGGAGAGAATTATGTAGTCTCAACCAAGAAGATTTTTTTCAGCGGGTTCCTCAGGGAGAAATTCTCTGGAGTCATCTGGAACTTCTCCGAAAATATGTATTGGCAAGTCAAGAACAACAGATGAATGAAATAGTTACAATTGATCAACCTGTGCAAATTATTCCAGCATCAGTGCAATCTGCTACACCTACTACCATTAAAGTTATAAATAGTAGTGTGAAGGCAGCCAAAGTACAAAGAGCGCCGAGGATTTCAGAAGATAGAAGCTCACCTGGGAACAGAACAGGAAACAATGGCCAAATCCAACTATGACAGTTTTTGCTAGAACTTCTTACTGATAAGGACGCTCGAGACTGTATTTCTTGGGTTGGTGATAAAGGTGAATTTAAGCTAAATCAGCCTGAACTGGTTGCACAAAAATGGGGACAGCGTAAAAATAAGCCTACGATGAACTATGAGAAACTCAGTCGTGCATTAAGATATTATTATGATGGGGACATGATTTGTAAAGTTCAAGGCAAGAGATTTGTGTACAAGTTTGTCTGTGACTTGAAGACTCTTACTGGATACAGTGCAGCGGAGTTGAACCGTTTGGTCACAGAATGTGAACAGAAGAAACTTGCAAAGATGCAGCTCCATGGAATTGCCCAGCCAGTCACAGCAGTAGCTCTGGCTACTGCTTCTCTGCAAACGGAAAAGGATAATTGAGCCCCAGGACATTCGGGGACTCCAAAGTCTTTCTTAAAATGTTTAGAGCAAGTATAGCTCTTACCTTTATTACTGAATTTGAATCTTCTTTTATTTCTAGGCTGTACAGTCTGATGCATGATTTTTTTATAAATATTTCATACTCTTGTGAATTTGGATCTTTTTATTTTGAGCATATATTTTAGAATATGTGTGTGTTAAAGGATCTCCACAATGTCTGCGGTGTGAAGGCAGGTTCATTGTGGAATAGTTTGTCAACAGTCAGGAAAGCTAAACTGGTCAGTATTAATGTGTAGCCCTACCAAAAATAGCCAGTAGTATCTGAAAATAAAAAATAAATGAAGTATCTCTAGGAAACAGTCTGGCTTAACTATATTTGAAAATATAACTGTTTCCCCTCTCTGCTGCTTTAGATGTTGCTTTACATAGAACCAGAAAATGGAATTTCTCAGATAAAGCATGTGTGCCTGTTTCATCTAATCAAGCAGAGCTAAAATGTTCATACCAAATAAATTTATAATAATAAATTACTAAACTAAGAGTATCAGGTTATTTATATATTTGCAAGCAAAGGACAGTAAGAAGTTGGCTGGCAAAAGAGCAGTGCTGAAGGAGGAGATCCAGGTTTAAATCTGGCTTATTAACTCAAGCCAATTTTAAGGATTTTCTGTATAGATTATTCATGTCAGACCAAGAATTTAAATTATTTTGAGAGAGGCATTTAATTCTAATAAACCAGCTGTTACAAAAATTATAAAATGATCTCTGTTTTTCCTGTCAGAGATTTAAAAAACTGAAAAGGTATACCTCAACCCAAAAATAAAGGTTTGGTTTGGTTTGTTATGGCTTCCTTTTTAAAAAAATTACCCTGTAGTGCCAGTTTATTATGCAAAGCAGCTTATATTCCTTTGTTTCTGATAAAATGAAGACTTTAAATCAGTCAGCAGTACTTTACCTTTCAAGGCATTAGTAAATTACTTGCAAATAGTTTTAAAAGGAAAATTCGACCTCTGTTATAGGCAGTCTTCTCTTTAAGACAATACTTTTCCACTTATTTTTTTTCCTTTTCCATATTATATATGTGTATTCATATATCTATATACATATTCAGTTGATCATTTTATAAACATATATGAAGGCATGAAGATATACAGAAGAAAAATTATTAAACAACTCATTTTAAGATTCAAATTAAGTAATTCCTGCATATATGACATTCCTTACATAAGCGAACACTAAACAAAAATGGCTAGAAATGTCTTTTTCTTTCTTTTCTCTTTTTGTTGTTTGTTTTAAGGTATTAAGCACGAATTATTACATGAGACTGGCAGATAGCTATTAATCCTCTTACAGATTTGAGAAAGTTGATTCTCAAATATTTATGCACCTTTTCCTTCATTGTTTTCTTTAAATATGTCCCCTTAAAAAGCTTCTTAAGAGCTCAGTTAATGCTTTTGACTTAACTAGGAGAAAAAGACATGATAATACAGGCAAGATGGCATTGTTAGCAATTCTGGTAGTGGTTTGGAATGAATCCTAAGAGGCAGGTATCTTAAGGACAAGGAAGAGAAGAGAGAGAGGAGGAATCTTTGATCTCTTTCTCTGGTAATCTTAACGCATAATTTTACTACAACATGTTCTCAATTCATTTATATTATTATATTAAGCTCTTTCTGCAGTTGATATCTGGGCAGAGTAAGATTTGTATTTCCATTTTTACTTTTTTGAAAGAGAATATATGGACAGATTATTAGTACAATTTGGGCACTGTGGTTGTAAGAATATCTGAGTAAAATAACAATATGAAATAATAAACAGAAGCTCTAGCGTCAGGTAACAAATAGACAGCAAGAAAGGTTTTGCACCATCCTCTTACGGCCTAGGGAGTTGACAAGTTGCTTGTAGTTTTAAAAAAATAATAAAGTATACCCTTCTGGTGTATCATCAAGAGCTTAAGAATCTTGGCTTTCATATTTAAAATGCTTTTGGGGAGACATATATTAAAATTTTAGCCAAGATGATAGACATGTCTCAATTATATATGTGTGTGTATGTTTTTAAAGCTAGAAACATTACTTTTAGATTCCTAGAATGAAAACTTTTTTCTCATCTATGCAATTCCCATATGGTTTTTTTAAAATCATATTTTATTCATTTTCTCCCTTTAGCAATTTTCATTTTATTTCTCATAATTTGAACAGAGACAGTTCTCCTACATGATCAGATGCTTTTTTTTTCTTCTTGCCATCATTTATGCATGACATAGGTAAAGTAATATGACTAATTTCTCCAGTTGATTCAAGAAACTCATTACTTTGCCTCAAATTATATGTAAAATATTTGTTTTACTTAGGTTACAGTTATCAGAAAGCCAGGTAGTTTTTTTCTTCTATTAAAATATAACATTGTGAAAGAAAATAAAATTTATTCTATTCATTCTTTGCTTTGTTTTTATAAATGAATTTTTCATAGAATTTACAGTATATTCAAAGGAAGAAAGATAAAATTATTGGTCATCATTTGTACCTTAGAAGTACAAGAATTTAAGTAAAAGAAATGTTCATTTTTGTTTTAAAATTTGTTTTCCATGTGAAGTTTTTATTGAGCCAACTTTCATACATATCTCGCTAGCCTAAAGTCTAAATATTTGTGTTGGCATCAGAAAAACAAATTAGGCAGAATTGCTATGTGTGGTTGATCTTCAGGTAAATTGACTGATCACATTTATTTTTGTATCAGTCTATGTCATTTAATTAGGAAAAACTGTTTAGTTGTTTTCTCCCCTGATTAATGGTGATACTCAAGTATGATACAAAAAGAACTGTACCACCAAATATTTTTGTGAGGTCTGCTGTTTTCCATATTCATTTTATGCTACTGCCTTTAAGAAAGAACCAGTGTATCCTTGAAATAGCACAAAAATGTTTTAAAATTCATAATTGCAAAACAAATCTGTGACTAACTTAATGTCTTCAGATCTAAAGGGTGTAAAAATATTGATACTTCAATATTTCACTTGCTGCCAGGAAAAACAAAATTCTTAATCTTTTGTAATTGGGAGGAGGACTTTTGCATACATTTTTACTCTTTAAATAACGACAATGACACTTATACTGTCATAATAACAATTATGTATTTCTTTGTGGTTTTAATTTTTTTTGTAATTTTACATAAAAGTTATTTTCTATTTTTACGCAGATAAAAAATATTTGTGCATAAAATGTAAAAATAGTAAAATGAGAAAAATAAAACTATTATACAGTAAAAACAAAAAACAGAAAACAAAAAACAAAAAAAAACTGAGGTCCTGGCTTTCAGTAATACCGGATTAGCTTGTTGAATTAACACAGATTATAATGATGACACCTGCATAATATATTACCTATTGTTATAGAAACACAGCTGCATAATATAGATATGACCTATGTGTCAGTAAGAACTGAATGAGGTTTTCAGCTGTGCCCACTGCAGGGTAGACAGGTATTGAGGTTTGAATCCAGCCCAATTAACACCTTTTGTAAAAAATAACACCGCTGTTAAAGGTACACAACAGAAATGAGAGTCTATATAATGATTCTTTACAGTTTTAGTACACAACTTTAAAATTCATGATACGTGTGAAGAAACACAAAAATAGAATCCATACGCAATTTAAAAAGCAGGCAGTAGGAGTGATCCTAAGATATTTAAGATGTTGTAATTCAGGATGTTTAAAGGCAGCTATTATAAATCTGTTCATGGGGGTAAAGGAAAATATTCTAACAATGAAGAGATGTGGAACCTCAGCAAAGACATGGAAATTACGAAATAATAGGAAGATAAGGAAATTTGAAAAATACTTTTGAGCTTATTCAAAGATTAGAAACAGAAGACAGAGCAATAGAAGTTGTCCATTCTGAATAAAAGAGTGAAAAAGCTTTAAGAAAATGAAGTCTTAGAGACCTGTAGAGTGATTGAGTCCAAGTTGGACAGGGAACAGAAAAATTAAATGAGGTACAAAGTTAATCACCAACTAATGGCTGAAAACTTCCAAAAATTGGTCAACCACCCCCCCCCGCCCAAGTTTTATACCCAACATGTCAACAAACCCCTCCAAAAAATACAAATAAAACCCTACCAAGGCCATATTGTGATTTAGGAGACTGGCAGAGGAGAGCTTCCTGTTGACTTGCTGTGATTTCTAATTTTAACTACTTAGAAGAATAAAAAATAGGGTCTCCTTAGAGTTTCTTTTTTTTTTTTTCTTGGAGAAAGTCTGACTTAGGCACAGATGACTGACAGTTTTTAAAGGTAGATGAGTTTCCAGACTTCTCTTAAATTTCCAGTGTGTTAACGTTGAAAATTATTTGAACTTGTTGCTTCCAAATCCTGCAGTAATACTGATGCTCCAGAAAGGCGTCCCATGGAGATTCTGCTCTTGTGCATCCATCCTGCACGGAGCTGAGGCTGTGCCTCCTCTAGTTTCATTAGCGTGTAGTTGTGGGGTACTTCGAGTTAATCTGAAAAACTCAGTGTTAAAATGGATTCAGGCCGGGCGCAGTGGCTCACGCCTGCAATCCCAGCATTTTGGGTGGCCAAGGCGGGCAGATCACTTGAGTTCAGGAGTTCGAGACCAGCCTGGCCCACATGGTGAAACCCAATCTCTACTAAAAAATGCAAAAATTAGCCGGGCGTGGTGGCGGTTGTCTGTAATTTCATCTACTCGGGAGGCTGAGGCAGGAGAATCGCTTGAACCCGGGAAGTGGAGGTTGCAGTGAGCCCAGATCGAGTCACAGCATTCCAGCCTGGGCTACAAAGCAAGACTGCGTGTCAGAAAAAGAAAAGAAAAATGGATTCAAAGATTTATCACTGTTAAGTTCCACCAGCAAATTATTAAATGTGGTTCCAAAGGGATATTTAAAAAGGGAAATTAAAATTGTTTCCAAGAAAGCCCTATTCACAGCAGAAACGTAGACACTGTACCTGACCTCACCACACAAAGTTCCCTCATGTGTTGGGAGGGACCAAGGGGCTCTCTGGTCCTGCACCTGCGTTAATTATGGCCGGGAGGTCCGCAGTAGGACCCTAAGGGCTAGGAACCAGCCTGGGTCAGGGGCAGAGAAGTGGTGGATGTGGCTCCCAAAGTGGCTTAGGGGTTCCCTTCCCTGTGGCTGTTTCCTGACTGGATGCAGCAGGGTCAGGCCTTTCAGTGTGACGTTTTCTACTCTTTATTAGAGTGGCAGGAGCGTCCCTGTGCGAGGCCTGACCCAGGTGTGGGCCTTGCAGCCAGCTCGGGGTCCAAGGGGCACTCCTGCGGTGCTGCAAAGGAGGATTTGTGACAACCCAGAGGATGGAGGAAACGGCGGCTTTGAAAAGGCAAGTGCCAAGTTATCAGGGATCGCTTATATCCATTTCTGGCAGTGAACTGACAATTTCAGACACTCAGGAGGGAGCTTCCCGCGTGGGATCACAAAAAGTCCGAGAAGTGTCAGACATCTGGCCATTAACCCCATTCCTACGCAGGGACTACACTGCCGCTTGTCCGAAGGGGCGTGTCAGGGGCGGAGCGAGGATGAGGGGCGGTGCCAATAAAAGAGGCGGGGGAGAAGGGGCGGTGCTGAGGGGAGAGGCCGGGCCAAGGGAAGAAGCGTGCGAGAAAGGGTGGGGCGAGTCCAGCTACAGGAAGAGTAGCGTTACTATGGCAACCCTGACAGGTTTGTGAGCAGCCCCCGGTCCCCTGCCGCTCCGTGAGAAATCAAACTTCAGGCACTGACGAAGCATGAAGCCAGCATCTTAGGAAGAGGTAGTGACATAATTACAAGGTAGGACCAACCGCCCTGGTCCCACTGTCGCCTGGCAGGCAGGAGAGGTTTGGGAACAGCCAGGCTCCCCTTGACATGGCAGTACTGCTCTGGACGCGGGGAGGTGTGGATTAGTGGGTGGGAGCTACACCTGGCATACTGGGAGTTGTCGTCTTTGATTAGCTTCCAGTTTTTTAATTGCAGGGCGACCGGATTACAATCACAGCCAGCATGAACATGGGGCGGCGCACAGTCCTGAAGAGGAAAGCCGGGCTGTGTTGACCTCGCTGTGCATGCTGGGAGTTGTAGTCTCTTCACTGCTCCCGCCCGTTGTTTCAGGCACTTCGGGACTACAATCCCAGCATGACCCGGGCTCGGGGACGGGGCGCAGTTCTCGTGGGAGGAGCGGGGCGGTGAGAGCCTGGCTAGGCAGGCTGGAAACAGTAGCTCTTAACGGTCCCCCGCCCGTTGGTGGCAAGGCGGCTGGACTGGAATCCCAGCAGGCGACATGCGAGGAGGCGGGCAGCCCAGGAGGGTTGGACACGGCAATGTGGACCTCGCCGCTTCCACAACGATGCTGGCTACTGATCGCGTGCACTTCCTTGCCAAAGAAAGTGAGTCCGGAGAGGGACAGGAGGGGCAGGTCCGGGCTGGGCAGTGAGGAGGGCGTGACGCCGCGATGTACACCTCGCCCTTGTCAAACTGGGACGGGTGTAGTCCTCACCCCACTTCCCGCTGCTCAGCTGGGTTCCCTCTCCCACCTGTACCCAGGGTCTTTCCTGGCCATCGCGCCTCCTGCAGCCCAGGGAGCCACCGGCTTTCCTAAGCTGCTGTGGGAACTGGCCTGAGGTCCAGGCGCTGTCCATTGTGCCGCTGCCCTCTTTTCTCTCCAGCCAGAGCGCAGTTCCGCCGCTGTGGGGAGAAATCCGCCGCCTGGCCCGCCAGTGCACAAGTTCAGAGCTTTGCACGGGGTGACATGGGCTGTGGCTTCGTGAAAATGTCACCCTCACCAGCGACTTTTTCGCGGATGTGGATATTGAGGGGGCAGGGAGGGCCATTATTGGCTTACCCAGGAGATGCTAAAAGCAGAGGAGAAAATTTCAGTTCCCAGGCGTGTGTCTCTGGTGCGCCATTTTTCACCAACCCATTTGGTAGAAAGTCCCCCAAATAGCTACCTAAAGATTAGGATGGTTTAGGTATTTTACACGTGATATCATTGGCCTCATCTCAACAAATGTCTGACTGGCCAGTGTCTCAAACACAGATGGCAGCCTGATCCTCAGGAACAGGTGGTGCTCCAGCTTTGTGGGAGCGACTTTCAAGGTGTGGACCATTTGGGGAGTCTTTGTAACTCCTCAGGCTTCACATCTTTGCTTTGAATGGAAAGCTCATCACCCCCCGGCACTCCCGGAGGTACCTTTACTCTCTCGGGCTGATCTGTTGACCTTTTCTGTCTAGACAATGGGAACTTCTGGGATCACTTCTAGTTTCGTGTAATTGATGTCCCTAATTTCCATATGTCCCCAGGGACAGTCCCTTTGATTCTGGAATGGCGCCAGCTTTTATGCTTTTTATGTCTAATCCGTAAAAACCAAGGTGTTCATCTACATGAAAATAAGACCTTGTTCGTATCGCACGTTCCAACAGGCTTCATTTGTGATTCCTGAATGTGGATTACCATAAAAAAAAACCCTAAAAACCCTGGTCATGGATATTAGACACTGTTATTGTACTTTGTGAAGAATTTACTCCTTCAGGATTAATTGCACACGGGCTCATCAGCACCTTTGTCAATAAAGGAACAAGAACCATGTGGTGTCTATGGATGTGGTGAGATGAGGAAGAGCCACAGCGCAGCGGTTCTTCTCTTGTTTTCAATAGAGTCTGTGGGGTCAAGTACCTGCGTTTCTCCCCCATCCCCCAATATTCTCATTCCACTCCTGAGTGTTCCGTCTTTAGGTGGAAGTTTCTAAATACACTTGTCCGCAAGTGTTGGTGGGGATGTTGTAACGTGAGGGCATCCATCATCCATCACCTTAAAGATAAATGGAGAGGATTTTGTGGTCTGTGTTCAAGAGGCACTGCTGTTGGGTGTGTTGCTGCCAAAACACGTGATCTCAGCTGTCCCCAGCAGCTGTCTTAGAAGATTGGTCCTGATGTAGCCACAGCTGCTGTTCACAGAGCCAGGAGCTCTTTGCAGTTTGGTGTATTCTGCTGAGATTTATGGCTCCGACCCTCCTCTGCTCTGCCATTCCTGGTAGTAACTGCTCAGCTGCCTGGTTTGCTCCAGTGTCCTGGGACCCTGTTATGTAACTGCATTTCAGAGGGTCTTAAGAGATTCTACCCTCACTACACCAGTCACTCTACACTGGCCGTGCACTTAGCTTCTTGGAGCCCTGCTTGTGTCCTCTTAAGTGGAGCTGTGAAGAGTTCTAGTTAGGGATAGATCTCGTTCTTATGCGCTTCAGGCTTATTAGAAAGCTGATCATCTCGTCTTTGGACACATGGACATTGTTACTTTTGTGTATTTTGAAGTCCGATGCTGTTTTTTTTTTAAATAAAAAAAAAATGTGGACCCTAGCAGTAACAGTCACTTTTAAATATCTTTGTGAATTTAACTCTGGCAACAACTCGATGATGTTGGCATGCAATCCCCATTTTATAGGTGTGGAAACTGACACTCAGAGAGGTAGAGTAGCTTTATTTACTTCACACAAGCTTTTGATGAATTTCAAGTCTCAACCTAGAAGTCTTCCTCTAGGGCATGATCATGGCATATTCTACTTTGTTTCTCTGCCAGCATCCCAAAGGGGTCCACATCTCATTAGGACTCCATTTTCTTAATAACAGGAAATTTGCAGAAACAGGCCTTTTTGGGGGAGAGCACTCACTGGGACTTGGCCTTCCCTGTCCTCCACCTTCCCCTTGGCAGAGCATAGGTGATTTGAGGGAGCTGGAGCAGCGGTACCTTACCTGGAACACTTGTTATGTAAAGCCCTCACCTGGAACGCTTGTTGTTATGTAAAGATAACTACCTCTCACTTTTTTAGGTGTGATTTTTTTTCTTCTAATTATTCCTCTGGGCTTTCTCTTCTAGATTTGTGCTGTGCACTAACATGCAATACAAATACTGATGAAAATAAAACTATTGCCCTCCTACCAAATGGTAACAACGCTTACATTTTTCCTTTTTCTAATTATAAAAGAAATGCATACTGTTTTAAGAATATCAGATCATAGAGATCTTTATGTAGTGAAAATCTCCCATGTCTTCCTCTTTGTTCCAAACTCACTCTCTTCTTAGAAGGAATTATTATAGCTTGGTGTTTATTTTTCTGGATGTTTTCTATAAATTTATAAATACATATAAAGTTGGCCAGTTGCAGTGGCTCTCGCCTGTAATCCCAACACTTTGGGAAGCTGAGTGGGGATAATCCGTTGAGCTCAGGAAGTTGAGGCTGTGGTGAGTTGTGATTATGCCATTGCACTGCCATCTGGGCGACAGAGTGAGACCCTGCCTCCAAAAAATTTTTTTAAAAAAAGGAGATACATACCTGTACAGTTTTTGAACACATTATATCATACTATATTGTGTTTTATTTTGCTATTTCACAAGCAATATATCATTTACACTATTCCATATCAGTGCATGAGATTCTATTTTTTTTTTGAGATGGAATCTTGCTCTGTCACCCAGGCTGGAGTGCAATAGCACGATTTCGGCTCACTGCAACCTCCACCTCCTGGATTCAAGTGATTCTCCTGCCTCAGCCTCCCAAGTAGCTGGGATTACAGGCATGTGCCACCAGGCCTGGCTAATTTTTGTATTTTTAGTAGAGACAGGGTTTCACCATGTTGGTCAGGCTATCTCGAACTCTTGACGTCAAGTGATCCTCTCGTCTCGGCCTCCCATAGTGTTGAGATTACAGGCGTGAGCCACAGCACCTGGCCTCTATTTTTAATGTCTTAAATATATTCCAAAGAATGGGTATACAAGACTTGTTTCACTGTTTATTCTTTGATAGAAACTTAGATTATTTCTAGTTTCATCATTGTTAAAAAATGCAGTGATAAGATTCTTGTACATAATTTATTACACTGATAACTAACTGTTCAGTTTATCTTGCTGCCTCTTAGTCGGAGAATATGTCATGAGTTTAATATTTATTTTATGATTTGATTCATAGAGAAATTAATGTTATGACTGGATGAAGACAATTGTGAAGAAACTGCACTTTGAGGTTGTCTATCTCTGTATTCTGATGGAAAAGCGTGGAGTTTAGAAGCACTGCTCACTCCTTCAGTTTCTAACAAGTCAGTATTCTCATAGCAATTTAAATTTAAATGTTCAAATTACCTCTCCTTCCCTGGTTCAGAATAAGTATGTTGTTTTTCTGTTTGTAAAATTTCTGACTCTGGGTTTTTTCAGTTGGGCTTTAGAGAGGATAACTCCCATATCGCTGTTGTATCTATTTCTCTTCAGCATCTGGCTGCATGTGATAAAGATCATAGAATTAGACCTGGTCCTGTATGTATTTTGGGACAAAAATTCAAAGTAATCAACTCAAGATAGGAGTCTACAACTTTAATTCTTAATAAAAGATTTCCTTTGATTTCCCCACATCTTTATGATTCCTAGTGTAGCAGGACAAGCCACAGACAAAACCCCTCAGACACCAAGTTAAAGAAGGAAGTGGTTTATTTGGCTGGGAGCATCGGCAAGACTCCTGTCTCAAGAGCCGAGCTCCCCGAGTGAGCAATTCCTGTCCCTTTTAAGGGCTCACAACTCTAAGGGGGTCTGCTTAAAAGAGTTGTGATTGATTGAGCAAGCAGGGGGTACGTGACTGGGGGCTGCATGCACTGGTAATTAGATCACAACAAAACAGGACAGGGATTTTCACAGTGCTTTCTATACAATGACAATGTCTGTGATCTATAGATAACATAACCGATTAGGTCAGGGGTCGAACTTAAACTACCAGGCCCAGGGTGTGGTGCCGGGCTGTCTGCTTGTGGATTTCATTTCTGCCTTTTAGTTTTTACTTCTTCTTTGGAGGCAGAAATTGGGCATGAGACAATATGAGGGGTGGTCTCCTCCCTTACTAGAAGAAATTCACCCATGGGTGAAGCATGTGGTTCTGTTGAATAATGTTTTGTTGGGGATTTCCACATCGAGTTTCATGAGGCATACTGTTAGACAGGGTTTTTTTGGTACTGTCTTTCCCTGATTCTATTGGAGAGTAATACTAGCTTCCTAAAATATATTGGGAAATGTTCTCTCTTCTTCTACTTTTGGACAATATTAAACTCATAATGACAAGTTTTCTTGTGAAAATGCTCTGAAAAAAATGTAGGGTGGGCTGGGTGCAGTGGCTCACACCTGTAATTCCAGCACTTTGGGAGGCCGAGGGAGGCAGATCACGAGGTCAGGAGTTTGAGACCAGCCTGACTGACATGGTGAAACCCCATCTGTACTAAAAATACAAAAATTAGCCAGGCATGGTGGTGTGTGCCTGTAATGCCAGCTATTCAGGAGGCTGAAGCAGGAGAATCACTTGAACCCAGGAGGTGGAGGTTGCAGTGAGCCGAGACTGAGCAAGACTCTATCTCAAAAAAAAAAAAAAAAAAGTGTAGGGTGCCTTTTCCTTTTGTAGTACCTAACATTCTTTATCTTGATTGGTATTTACCCATATACCTGCCAATGGTTCAATGAGCCCCTGTCTTCTACTCTCCAATTGTACCGTACTTCAGCCCCTCCTCCCTACTTTCTGGTACTCAGCCCCATGTTTTTCTCTCCTCACATTCTCAACCCTATCTCCTTAACATGTGGACTTCCATGCTTTTCTTATATCTTCCCACCATGCACTGCCAGGAGGCTCTGCAGGCTCTAAGCTGGGGCAGCAACGCGGTCCCCTCTCTTGCTTTCAGCCTCCAGACCTCAGTCCTGTGCTCCTTGCAGATGCTTCTAGTGTTTGGAAACATCTGGTTCATGTGGTTGGTCTGGCTTCCTATGTGTTTGGTGCCAGAGGGAGTCTGTTTCTTGCTCTTCCACCATACAGAGAAGGCAAAGCTCTGAACTGATTTTGAAATCAATTCTTGGTTATTTCTTTTGGGCTGAAATAAATTGACTATTATTTTGTGATGACATAAATATTGTAGCTTAGTTTGTGGTAGTTAGAATTTCATGTTTATTTATTGTTTCACAGGCCATGCTACCACGCGCAGCCAATGTTTTATTGTTTGGTAGAGGCATGGTCTCACTCTGTGGCCCAGGCTAGTTTCCAATTCCTACGTTCATACAGTTCTCCCACCTTGGCCTCCCAAAGTGCTGGGATTACAGGCATGAGCCACCACCCAAACTTAAATTTTTTTTCATTTTTGTTGTTTTTATATGCTTTAATTACTTTTTCTTTTTCTTCTGTGTATCTACTAAAGTTTTTTTTCCTAGTGGTTATCATGAGACTTATATAAAACATGTTGTATCTTAACAATCTTGTTTGAGATGATGACAATTTAACTTCTATGTGTAGAAAAACTTTACACATTTTCTCCCTTTCACACATTTTATACTATATATGTCACACTTTACAATTTTTTATTGTGTGTCCATTAACAAATTATTGTAGCTATTTTATTTTTAATTTTTTTATACATTTTGTACTAAAGTTCAAAGTGACTTATGCAAAACCACTACAGTATTAGAGTATTCTAAATTTTACTATGTATTTACCATTTTCACTGACATTTATACTTTAATATTTTTCATATTATTAGTATTCGGTCATATCAATATAAAGACTTCCTTTTAGCATTTCTTGCAGAACAGGTTGAGGTGTGATAAATTCCCTCACCTTCTTTTTTGTCTTGAAATGTTGGAATGTCTTGACCTCTATTATTTCTAAAGAACAGCCTTGTTGGATAAACTCTTCTTAATTGTCAGTTTTTTTCCTCCTTTCAGCATTTTGAATATATGGTCTCCAAGTTTGCTTGCAAAGCTTCTGCTGAAAAATCCACTGATACCATTATAAAGGTTTCCTTCTATGTGAAGAATTTATCTCTTGCTGTTTTCAAGATTTGTGCTTTATCTTTGTATTTTGACAATCATAATGTGTCCAAGGGCAATCTTTATTAGGTTCTTCTTGCTGAAGATATTTGGAGCTTCATAAAACTTGATGTTCATATTCTTTTCTAGATTCAGAAAGTTTTAAGACATTATATATTTAAATCTCTGTTCCTCTTTCTCTCTTTTTCTGAAATTTCTGAAATGTGTATATTTGTTCACTTTATGGTTGGTTACTTGTAAATAGCCTGTCTTTGAGTTTGCTGAATTTTTCTTCTTTATTATTGATTCTCCTGTTAAACATTTCTATTATATTTTTTCAGTTCTGCCACTGTTTATTTCAGTTCCAGGATTTCTGTTTGATTTTTTTTTTACTTGCTCAATCTCTTTATTTAGTGGCACACATAGAATGAATGAATGAGCTCTTAGTTGTGCCATACTTAGTAAGTCTGATCTTGCTTATAGAAATAGGATCTTAATAATTCATTCTCAGAACACTTTAAAACCCAAGACACAGTTTTTCTTTCAAGGATGTGGAAAGCATTCCTCATTCAAATCTGATTTATGGTTTTATAAAGTATGTACCTCATTTTTATTAGTCATTATCTTCATGCTAGATTCTAATATTCTTTTTGATGGTGGCGTGTTCAATGATAGAAACTTACAGAGAGAAAATTCCTTCCTTCTCAATTTTAAACAAAAATTTTAAAAGCAACATTTTTGATGTGGTAGGAAGACATTTATATGACATACACAGCTACTGCCTTAAACTGGCAAAAATAACAAAAGAAAAAATTGTTATTTAACCTTTAAATAATGAGTATCTATTTGCTACAAATCTACAAATATTTTAAATATATTTCCTCTACTGCAATAAAAATTAAGATAACCCTCTGTTTAACAGCTTTTGAAGATGTTAATTTTATAAGGAAATAAAAAAGATTGACTTGCCTCCTGAATATCCAGTGATAAACTGAGCCCTAATTTCCCTCCCTCAAGAACATAAAAATGATGTAAAGTGGATCAAAGTATGTAACAATATTAACAATATTAAAAATGATTTTTCATATGGTCTTTCACTAATCAATGTAAAAAGAATGTAAAAATGTGTTTTTGCTTGAAGATTTAGTGAATGTCCAAGGAATCACAATTTTTGAGCTTTTACATCCAGGGTAGTATACTATGTGAAAATACTATAGTGCCTCATATAAAAAAGCACAGTGATAAAATTTCACATGTAAAATAGCCTAAATATCAATAATAATTACATTCTCCATAATCGTTTATTATCTAAAACTTCAAAGCCATCCATCTTTTTCAGTGCTTTGAGTGAGTAATCAAAACAATCATGTTTATTCAGGTTTAAAACTTAATTTCTCCTCTTGAAATCTGGAGGCATAGATGGAAGAGACACTTAAGGTCATTTTTTCCAACTTCTTAAGCCCACATATGTGGAAACAGTCTACAACATCTCATTATATCATCATTGACGCACCTTCTTCACCAGTGGCATCGTGGGAAATATGAAAGTCTTCAGGCATCTCAGCCAGACTAATTCCAGGTGCTCCTTCATCATCATCACTTTCCACAGGGATGGTTGACTCTCTGTAAATGTTGACATTTTTTCTAATTGCCTCATCTTCTTCAAGATCTTCAAGAAAATCTTGGTATTGCCTTTCATCATCTGTATCCATGTTCTCTCTCCTGCAAGCTCTTTCAGTTTCCAGTTTCTACATCACTGATGTTTGGTCCAGTCTTAGTTCTTCTTGATTAATACCACATCTGGAACTCTATCTGAGTTCATTTTGTTGCCATGCTCATCATTTAAATTGCAGCTGGCCAAATCAAACCCTAACACCAGCTCTCCAGGATTTAGAAGATGTCCCAAATGAGTATGACAAAAATACTGTTTATCTGTATTCATTTCAGATGTCTTCTGTACCCAGACTTCCCTGAGGGTATGCTTTTTTGATATCATTCCAGCATCTGCACCGTGTTTTATATTTCGGACTATGCTGCATTTCATCACAATAAATTCCTCTAGCTGTTTGGGGTGACATAAACTACTGAAAGAGTGACTCCAGAAAGTGCTGCCATCAATATCTGCAACTTGTAGGGTGTTTGGATCAATGAGGTGAATGGCACTGGTTATTCGAATACACACACAAATCTGGTTCATATTTCCCAGGCTTTGTGTCAGTTTTGGAGACAGACAGACAACATAATCCTGGCATATTGGAACAATTTCCACAGAAAAAGTGCTTTTGTAATTGTATGTATTACTATGGACATCCTGAGAGATCAGTCTTTGGGATGCGTTGTATCTACAGGGAACTGTATACTGAATAAATTCGACCATCTTCTGAGCATGTGGTTTTGAGGAATAATAAAAATCCAGACCATCATGAATCTCTTTGATACGAAGTGTATTCTGATGCCTTCCATATTTCAGAATTAACTGTTCCAGATAGTAGAAAGCTTTTTTGTGCAAAGTCTTTTGCCTCACTTGAATCACAGCCCTCCAGAAACCCTTAGCTTCTACTCTATGGCAATCTCCACATATTTGGGACTGAACAGCATAATCCACCACAAACACTTGTTGAAGGACAGCACCATTCATCACCTCTTTCTGGAGTCAGTTTAACTTTAAATCTCTTAGAATGGGGCTCAGTCCAAACAAAGCCTGCATTCACAAGCCGTTCCTTACTCAGAGGGGCTTTGAACACAAAGCAAGAAGTTCCCTGGATTCTAAAGCACACCGTATCCAAGTTCCTGGTGGCTGAAAATACCTTTGACATTGTTTGTAGAACAAAAGTGAGACTTGTTTTGGAATATCTTGGCTGATGCCCACTTTACTTTGCAAACAGGCCACACAAATATTGGCAGGATTGGGACTTATTGCAATACCACACTCACAGCACAGGATGAGTCCAGGGCTGCGGTCAGTCGATTCTGTCATATACTCCATTGTTCTGTATGCTTCACACCTCCAGACCAGCCCTGGATTTGCTGAAAACCTGCAACAAAATAGACCCCGGCTGTCCTGTCAGCTGCCACCATGGCCATCTTCACCACAGCGAAGATCTCACGAAGTGGTTGTTTTTTATGGTTTCTATTTATCTATTAAAATAATTTTTTAAATATAGGTGGGGTCTTGCTCTATTGGCCAGGTTGGTCTTAAACTCTTGGTCCCAAGCAATTCTCCAGCCTCAGCCTCCCAAATTGCAGTTAGCACAGGTGTAAGCCAACATGATCAGCCTATTTATTATAATTCTCATTTTGTTTCTGTGTCATTTCATAACATTTTTAGTTATCTATTGGTGTTCTTTTGGATTTTATTGAAATCTCTTGATGATTATTTTTAATTCTATGTTGGCCAATTCTGAGATCTCCATTTCTTTGCAGATTTTTACTAGAGCTTTATTAGTTTCTTTGGGTGATGTTCATGATTTTCAGATTCTTTAAGATCTGTGCAGGCTTATGTCTGTGTCCCTGAATATGAAGGAGTAAACACATCTTCCACTAATCATAGGAGAGTTTTGAAAGATAAATACTTTCTCCTATTGGGTCCCTGGGCTGATGAGATTTTAATTGACATTGCAGTTGAGTTTGTTGGAGCCAGGTCACATAATTGCTACTTGGTCTTTAGTGGGTTTCGTGGTTGGCAGACCCGTTATTAACACATAAGACAGTTATAAATTCTGTCTGTTCCCTGGAAGAGTCAACTTTCTTTTTTTTTTTGAGACGGAGTCTCGCTCTTTTGCCCAGGCTGGAGTGCAATGGCACTATCTCGGCTCACTGCAAGCTCCGCCTCCAGGTTCACGCCATTCTCCTGCCTCAGCCTCCTGAGTAGCTAGGACTACAGGCGCCCGCCACCGCGCCCGGCTAATTTTTTGTATTTTTAGTAGAGAAGGGGTTTCACCGTGTTAGCCAAGATGGTCTTGATCTCCTGACCTCGTGATCCGCCCGCCTCGGCCTCCCAAAGTGCTGGGATTACAGGCGTGAGCCACCGCGCCCGGCCAAGAGTCAACCTTCTTTAGAATATCGATTATCAGGACTAGTGCTGAGATAAGAAATTGCAGTTGTTTCTGCATATGGGGTGCTGGTAGAATAGATGTAGACAGGTGTGGCTCCCACTAGGTCTCTGGGAGTGCGCTAATCCAGTTATTAGACAGCTTACTGGATGGGCAGTACTGACCCCTAATCAAAGCTGAGAGCCATGGGAACTAATTTATAGGGCTGCTTCAGGATACACGAGTGAGGCTAAATTCTTCAGTTCTGTCTCTGGGTCCATGGTGTATTTCCCTCCAGGTTTCTGGGTGGGTAGGACTGCTCCCAGACACTGGCTGACTGGGATTAGAACTGGGTTACAGGGCTGCTTTAAGATTCACAGTGAGACTGATGTCAGCAGGCCTGCCTAGAGGGGCACTGATTTATGATTTTAGGCAAATCTCAGGTTGAGCAAAACTGCTTTTGAACTGTGCCTGCATGAAACTAGAGCCCAGCGCCGTTTCTGTTTTCTTTTCTTTTCTTTTTCTTTCTTTTTTTTTTTTTTTTTTTTTTTTTTTTTTTGACAGTCTTGCTCTGTTACTCAGGCTGCAGTGCAGTGGTGGGATTTCGGCTCACTGCAAACTCTGCCTCCTGGGTTCAAGTGATTCTCCTGTCTCAGCCTCCCGAGTATCTTGGACTGCAGGTGCCCGCCACCACCCTGGCTAATTTTTTGTATTTTTAGTAGACACAGAGTTTGACCATATTGGTTAGGCTGGTCGAACTCCTGACCTCAGGTGATCCACCCACCTCAGCCTCCCAAAGTGCTGGGATTACAGGTTTAAGCCACTGTGCCCAGCCCAACCATTTCATGATCCACATTCAGTTCAATATTGATTGTCCTACATCCAAGGAAATAGATGGATGTTTTTCCCTGAGGGTCCCTGTGTGGACAAGATTTCTCCCTGACCATGCCTGAGAAGTAAAGAAGGTGAGTTTTGTCTGATTCAGGGACTACAGACAGAACCAAGTTTTGCAGGCCTGTCACCTAAGTCTCAGGTGAGTATCAATTCTCCTGGGTTTTTGGCAGATGGTTGCAGTGGCAGGACCAAGGCCTAGTGAGCTATAGCTAAATCTACAGTGGGATGTGGCAGTATTTTGTTTTGGAGCTGGGACCATGATTGGCAAGCACGCCACTTGGCCAAGGGCTTACTCTCTCAAATTGTTCCCCTTGGTCTTTGCCTCCAGCTGTCACAAACTGACCTGGATCCCAAGGCTCTTATAAATGCAGTTTTGTTTGGCATGGCTTCCACATTCTGTTGTGGGATATGCCTGCAGGACCTCCTGTTCCATCATCTTGCTTATGTTACTCTCCTATACACTTCACTTTCTGAAATGAATGTTGTTTCTGACTTTTAGATTCAAAAGTTACACATTATGTAAGATGTAAATTAAATTACCAGTAGGTGCCCACATATTTATTAAAATATTTCATTATAATTTTAAGCTCACTGAAAGCAAAAAGAAATCATTAAAATTTATATTCATTTTCAATCTGTTTCTAAATGCCAGTATATTTTAATTCCAAATATTTACTTTAAAGCCAGGCACCATGGCTCACCCCTGTAATCCCAGCATTTTGGGAGGCCGAGGCAGGTGGATCATTTGAGGTCAGGAGTTCAAGACCAGCTTGGGCAACATGGTGAAACCCCATCTCTACCAAAAAAGAAAAAAAAATGCCAAGTGGTAGTGGTGGGCAACTGTAATCCCAGCTACTCAGGAGGCTGAGATAGGAGAATTGCTTGAGCCTGGGAGGCAAAGGTTGTGGTGAGTCAAGATGGTGTCACTGCACTCTAGGTGACAGAGTGAGACCCTGTCTCAAAAAGTAAATAAATAAATAAATAACTGAAATATTTACTTTATACTTCAGTAATGCTGATTGTGTTTTGCAAAATTTATGTTGTTCTTGTATTTTAAAAATATAAAGTTTTTATTAGCTCCCAAAGGCCATATTATAGACAGTATATCTGTGTAAGAATACCACCAATATATTGAGAACATGATAAAAACTTCTCCTACTGTCTCTTTAATGCTTATTTGAAAATTTTCTCATTAGTCTATTATTAATGATTGTAATGTATTTTCTATGAAGTTTTACTGTTCTTCATTGAATAGCAATGATTCACAATGTCTTCTCTTCATGAGTACACACAGTTAAAAACTGCAGATATCTAAAGAATTATTTTTCATAGTATATCTATGTTGTATTCAGCATTTTATGCATTAAAATCTCTCTTATTTTCAATTCTATATTTATTGTGTTTTTGGGGGGGTATGATTTCTCAGATCAGTTCATTGTATTTTTGCATTTAACGCTTGATATTATGAATTGAATAATTTTTTAGCTCTGTACACTTTAAGACAATAAGATGTTTAATTTATATGTAAATTAGCCACATGTCTGTTGCCTATAGACATATCTACGTGTTTTCACCTATGTAAATACTGCCCCTACTTTGGTTATGACATCTTTTTTTCCTTGTTTTTTTTTTTTTTCCAGTTTCAGATAGGTTTTTTTTTTTTTAGAAAGAAAACTTTAAAACAGAATCAAAAGAACAGAAATCAGTTATCTGTCCTCTTCCTTCCTCACAGGTTTGAGACTATGGTTAGGTGGTGAGGAAGGCAGGCTCAGCACCCAAGCCTTGGGGAGACGCAGAAAGGGCCCATCCCAGGCACTCAGGTGGAGGTAAGCATAGCCTTTGGGCCATAAGACCTCATGGCCACTGGGGTGCTGGTCTGGAAACAAGTCCTCATCTTCCCAGAAATGTCATCTTTTGTCTGCAGCAGCTGGCTGGAGAAAGATTTCAGAAAGGTGTGTGCCTGGGGCACCCAAAGGCATGACCTTCCTTTCTCCTTGGCATAGGCCTTACAACACTGAGGAAAGGCCATGGTTTGGCATTGGAGCCTTCAATAGTTTTCACCCCTATGGATCGAAAAGATTGTCCAAATAGAAGCTTATATAGGATGTTAAAAAGTAAACTGACAGGACTATGAAAATTGTCTCCCAACAGAGTACAGCTTTTTTTTTTTTTTTTTTTTTTTTTTTTTTCTGAGAAAAAACTCCAGGATGGAGTACAGTGGTGTGATCTTGGCTCACTGTAACCTCCACCTCCGGGGTTCAAGTGATTCTTCTATCTCAGCCACTCGAGTAGTTGGGACTACAAGTGCGTGCCACCATGCTTGGCTAATTTTTTGTATTTTTAGTAGAGACAGCGTTTCACCATGTTGTCCAGGATGGTCTCAATCTCCTGACCTTGTGATCCGCCCGCGCCTGCCTCCCAAAGTGCTGGGATTACAGGCGTGAGCCACTGTGCCCGGCCCATTTTGTTAAAAATACAGAAATATTGGTAAAACCATTATCAAAAGCATTGTGGAGCTTTCTAAAAACTTACAATACCACATTATCCAGCAAATCCACTTCCAGATATATAACCAAAGGAAATAAAACTAGTATCTAGAAGAGACATCTGTGCTCCCATATTTATTGCAGAATTATTTACAATGACAGATGTGCAAACAACCTAAGTATTAATAAATGAATGGATAAAATAATTGTGGAGTATTTATATAATGGAATATTATTCAGCCATAAAAAGAAAATCCTGTTATTTACAACTATATGAATGAACCTGGAGAAGAGTAGGCTGAGTGAAATAAGCCAGACAGAGAATGAGAAATATTGTTTGATTTCAGTTATATATGAAGCCTAGAAAGTTAAAGTCATAGAAACAGAGAGTACAAAGTGGTTTCCAGGAGCTGGTGGGTGGGAGAAATGGGGGGTTGTTAATAAAAAGTGCAAACTTTCAGGTATAAAATAAACAAGTTCTAGTGGTCTACTGCACAGCATGGATGTTACTGAATGTTATCTTAGTCTGTTCCAACTGCTGTAATAAAATACCTTAGAATAGATAATTTATAAGCAGTATAAACTGAGTTCTCACAGTTATGGAGGCTGAGAAGTCCAAGCTCAAGGCACCAGCAGTCTAGGTGTCTGGTGAGGGTCCAGTCTCTGGTTTCAAGATGGCACCTTAAATTGCTGTGTCCTCACACAGCAGAAGGACAAAATAGGCCAAACTCATTTTCTCAAGCCGTTTTACAATGACAGCTAATTGCATTGTTAAGGGCAGATTTTTCATGCCCTAGCAACCAACTAAAGTCTAATACTATTGTATTGAGGATTAAGTTTTAAAGTAAATTTGGGAGGGACACAAATATTTGAACAATAGGAATTATGTTAATTTAACTGATTGTGAAAGTGATTAGACAATGTGTGCATGTATCAAGTCATCGCATTGCACACCTTGAAAATACTCAAGCCTCACTTGTCAGTTAACATTTTTAAATTAATAAAATAAAATGTGGAAGTAATTTATCCTTTGAGCAATAAAAAAGTCTACTGAAGATTTTTTTAACACCAGCACTACTTTGGCTGTTTGGTGTTGTGAGATTGCTAAAAACTGAAAAATGCAGAAAGAAATGGAAAGAATCACACACAGTCTTCACAAAAAAGTCAGCTCTGAGTGTGAGGTGGTGTTAATCTGGGCGAGGCAATGACAAGTGATGGCAAATAAAAATAACCCTAAGACAAGATTTTCAGAATAAATTAAATTTTCTTAACTTACTGGAAAAAATTACATTACTAGCCATGTAACAAACCTATTTTGTACAGGTGGTGAAACCAAATTTTAAGTATAAATTATGATGTATTAAAAAACAAAAAGAATATTTTTGTGGTCTTAGAAAAAAATTATTAAATGAACCAAGTAAGCAGAATATACAACATTTTCAAATACTAAAGAAAAAAATCATTGAAAATTGCAAAATTTTAGGCTCCAAAAGACTCACTAATTTAATAGAAGCAGAAATCCTACAGCTAGAAAATTTGCAGATAGAAAATATATTTTTCAGCTTGGAAATCAAAATGGAAACTACAAATTCAAGCGTAACCAACAAATAATATATACCTACATATCGTGTAACTTTTTGTTGAAAAAAGACATTTCGAATATTATAGTAATTTTGAAATCAGATTATCATCCTTCTTCTGTGTTTTTGTTGCTACCTATTGCGACGTGTGCTCTGTCATGCATGTACATTGACATCTCTGTTCCATTAGCTTGGTAGTAAGCTACTGATTTGCAGAGATTTTCTTAAATGTTTGTTATTTCCCCACTTCCTCCAAATAAATTTTATAATGTTCTCTTTTGGGTGTGTGTGTGTGTGTGTGTGTGTGTGTGTGTGTGTGTGTGCGTGCTGGAGCATGCCTTTACTAATCAGCCAGAAATTTACAACTTGGTTCTTGCCTTACTTTCTGCTGATACAGAGTTTGAAGGTCAAACAAGGGTGAATACTGAGGGTCTTCCTGGGATTTCTTCTTTTCTTTTCTTTTCTTTTCTTTTTTTTTGAGATGGAGTTTCACTCTTGCTGCCCAGGCTGGAGTGCAATGGCGCGACCTCAACTCGCCACAAACTCTGCCTCCCGGGTTCAAGCAATTCTCCTGCCTCAGCCTCCCAAGTAGCTGGGGTTACAGGCATGCACCACCACACCCCACTAATTTTGTATTTTTAGTAGAGATGAGATTTCTCCATGTTGGTCAGGCTGGTCTCAAACTCTAGATCTCAGGTGACCCACCTGCCTTGGCCTCCCAAAGTGCTGGGATTACAGGTGTGAGCCACCATGCCCGGCCCTCTTCCTGGGTTTTTCTAGACTGCATACCTGGCCCTGAGCCTCCATATGACCTCCTAAATTTCCTAGACTATTATCACAGCCCAATCCCCAAAGTGTCCCATTCCCCAGTCTTTCCTTTTAGGGCTTTTTTTTTTAGCATGATTATTTTTTCCTCTATTAGTATATTTTGTCCCAGGAAAGCCAGGTAGTATATTCATTTAAAAGTTTGGGAGAACTTATTATTATTGACTTGAGTTTTTTTTTTGTTATTGAGATTTTTTTGTTATTGACTTGAGATTTGTCTTTCTTTTTTAATGAAGAAATTCACTGGTATAGGTTTCCCTCAAAACACTGCTTTCACCAGTTTCCGTAAGTTTTACGTTTTGGTTACATTGTCATTTATGTTAAAACACTTTCTGATAAGTATTTGTGGTTTTCTTTTGATCCATAAATTATTTGGGATTTTGCCATTTAATGTCCACATACTTAAGAGTCTCCTAAATTTCTTGCTTTCATTGATCTCTGATTCTATTATGATTAGAAATCACCCATTGTATTATCTCAATCTCTATTTTTACTGATGTTTTATGGCCCAGCAGGTGGTCTGTCCTAGAGAACGTTCCATGTGGATTTGAGAAGAATATATATTCTCATGTTGGATGCAGTGCTGTGCATATGTTTGTTAGGTTTAGTTGTTTTATGTTGTTGTTCATGTTTTCTATTTTTTATCTTCTGTCTACTTGTTCTATCCATTAATATAAGTGAAGCATTAAAGTCTCCAACTATTACTGTTGAATTATCTATTTCTCCCTTTATTTCTGTCATTTTTGCTTCATGTATTTCTGTGCTTATTTGATAACTGCATATATGTGAATAATTTTTTTATATTTTCCTGATGAGTTTACCCTTTGCCAATACAAAATGTCTTTATCAGTATATATTTTTTTGTTTTGTTTCATTTTGTTTTTTGAGACAAGAGTCTTGCTCTGTCACCCAGGCTGGAGTGCAGTGGCACAATCTTGGCTCACTGCAACCTCCGCCTCCTGGTTCAAGTGATTCTCCTGTCTCAGCCTCTTGAGTAGCTGGAATTACAGATACCTGCCACCATGCCTGGCTAATTTTTGTATTTTTAGTAGAGACAGGGTTTCACCATGTTGGCCAGGCTGGTCTTGAACTCCTGACCTCAAGTGATCCACCTGCCTTGGCATCCCAAAGTGCTGGGATCACAGGCATGAGGCACCGCACCCGGCTGCTTCTTGCAAGTTTTTGAACGTGTCAGTGAAGAAGCAGTTGTGTCATTTTGTGAAATAAATTTCCATTTACAAACACAGGAAGAGGACACATTCATGGACTCCAAACATAGGTCGAGCTGGCCCTCCTTATTTATTGGTTCTGCATTCCTGGATTCAACAAATGAGCCTCAAAAATATTTTTAGTAATGTTTCTGTACTGAACATTTACAGAATTTTATTTTTCTTTTCACTATTCCCTAAACAATACAGTATAACAACAATTTAGGTATTAAAAGTAATCTAGAGAAGATTTAAAGTATGCAGGAGAATATGCATAGGTTATATGTAAATACTATGCCATTATATATAAAGAACTTGTGCATCCATGCATTTTGGTATACAAGAGGACTCCTAGAACAAATCCTCCAGAAATAGCAAAGAAATATGATAAAGAGTTTACAGTGTTCATAAAACTCTAGCTGCTTACTAGAACAACAGTTCGATGAAATAAAAGGCAGACTTGAAACTGTCCTTGGCCTGTATGGCTTGGCTGGCAGCCCCTGGCTTGCATGCCCCTTCTAGCAAGATGCACGTTAAGGCCACTATGTGCAGCTGAGGGAGAGTCAGGTGGCTCTTCACCAGGAGCAGATCACATCCCTCTTTTTTCACATTCCTCCCTCTTAAGAGTGTCATGCTGAGAGGCATGCCTTCTTGATGCAGGAAAGAATTTGCTGGCAAGCTCTGCCAAACATCTGTTTCCATGTACTTCCTACGTACCCACAGTTGCAGATCATGAGAAATTAGATAGTTTATCAAAAATAGCTTTCACTTTTTAAAATGTTCCTTTTTAGTTACAGTTGAAAAAGAGAGAAGACAGTGCTAATTCTAGAAATGAAAGAGGATCTATCATTACTGAGCACATGAAGAATTAAAGAATAATAAACATTATAAACCACTCTATGCCCACAAATTTGATAACCTAAATAGACAAATTCCTTGAAAGAAACAAAACAACCTACCAGAATCACACAATAAGAAACAGACAATGTGAATAGTACTACATCTATTAAAGAAATTGGGTCAATGATAAATAACCTTACCAAACAGAAAGTACCAAACCCTAGTATATTTATGTAAATATTTAAAAGAAATTATTCCAACTCTCTACAATCTCCTCCAGAAAACAGAAGCAGAGTGAATACTTTCAAAGTCATTCAGTGGGGCCAGAATTACCATAATACCAAATTTAGACAAAGACATTACAACAAAAAAATGCAGAGCAATATCTCACATGAACAAAGATGCAAAAGCCCTCACCCAAATATTAAGAAATCAAGTCCAAAAATGTAAAAAAAGAATTATTTACTACAACCTAGTGAGATTTATTACAGGCATGCCAGGCTGGTTCAACATTTGAAAATAAATTAGGCTGGGTGTGGTGGCTTATACCTGTAATCCTAATGCAGTAGGAAGCCAAGGAGGGAGGATCACTTTAGGCTGGGAATTCAAGATAAGCCTGGGCAACACAGCAAGACTCTGTCTTAAAAAAAAATTAGTTCATCATATTAAGTTAAAAAAAGATAAGATCTTATCAATACTTTCAGAAAAATCATTTGACAATATCCAAAACCCATTCATGAGAAAACCTCTCTGAAGACTAGAAATAGAAGAAAACTTCAATTTCATAAATAATGTCTATAAAAAACCTACATCTGGCCAGATGCTGTGGCTCACGCCTGTAATCCCAGCATTTTGGGAGGCCAAGGCGGGTTGATCATGAGGTCAGGAGATTGAAACCATCCTGGCCAACATGGTGAAACCCTGTCTCTACTAAAATACAAAAAACTAGCCTGGCGTGGTGCAGCATGCCAGTAGTCCCAGCTACTTGGGAGGCTGAGGCAGAGGAATCGCTTGAACTCGGGCGGCAGAGGTTGCAGTGAGCCAAGATCGCGCCACTACACTCCAGCCTGGAGACAGAGCGAGACTCCATCTAAAACAAACAAACAGACAAACAAACAAACAAACAAACCCTGCATCTAACCTCATACTGAATGTGTGTGTTTTTTTGTTTTTTTTTTTGAGAGGGAGTCTCGCTCTGTCGCCCAGGCTGGAGTGCAGTGCCGCGATCTCGTCTCACTGCAAACTCCGCCTCCCGGGTTCCCGCCATTCTCCTGCCTCAGCCTCCTGAGTAGCTGGGACTACAGGCGCCCGCCACCGCACCCAGCTAATTTTTTTGTATTTTTTAGTAGAGACGGGGTTTCACCATGTTAGCCAGGATGGTCTCGATCTCCTGACCTCGTGATCCACCCGCCTCGGCCTCCCAAAGTGCTGGGATTACAGGCGTGAGCCCCCGCGCCTGGCCCTAACCTCATACTGAATGTTGAAACACTAGATGCTTTCCTGCTAAGATCAGGAGCAAGGCAAACATGTCTCCTCTCACCATTCCTATATAACATTATACTATAAGCCCTAGGTAATGCAATAAGACAAGAATAGAAAAGGTACACAGAGTGGGAAGGAAGAAATAAAACTGTCCTTTTACACAGATGATGTAATTGCCTATGGAGAAATACAAAAAGATCACAAAACAAAATCTTAGAATAACCAATTTTAATGAGAAATTATAGCAATTTGCACAATATAAGATTAATATACAAATGTCAATTACTGTCCTATATATCAGTAATGTAGTTAGAATTTGAAATTTAAAAATTCAGTGACATTTAGGCTAGCACCAATAACAATGAAATTCTTAGGTACAAATATAACAAAATAAATATAAATATAGAATCTATATGAAGAAACCGGCAAAACTGTAAAAACATCAAAGAAGATCTAAATAAATGGAGAGATAATCCACATTCAAGTAAAGAAGGCTTCAACATTGTTAAAATGTCAGTACTTCCCAACTACATTTACATATTCAATGCAATCCCAATCAAAATTCCACAAAGTTAGTTTGTGGATATTGACAAACTGATTCTAAAGTTCATATGGAAAGGCAAAAGGCTCAGAATAACGAAGAAAATATTTTAAAAGGACAGTTATAGGAATGACACTACCCAACTCTAAGCACTACTATAAAGCTACAGTAATCAAAACAACATGGTAGTGGTAAAAAATAATAGAGAAACATCAATAAAACATAAGAGAAAGCTCAGAAATTGACCCATAAAAATACAGTCAGCTTATCTTTGAGGAAAGAGCAAAGACAATTCAATTGAGAATGAATAATTTTTCAACAAACAGTACTGAACAACTGGACATCCACATGCAAGAGAAAAAAAGAAAAAAAAAAAACCCTAAACCTAGACCTGACAACTTTCACAGAAATTACTCAGAATGGATCAGAGACCAATATAAAAGGAAAAACCACAAAACTCCTAGAAGATAACAAAGAGCAGAATCTGAATTACCTCAGGTTTTGCTCCTTTGATAAAACACCAAAAATGTCAGGCGCAGTGGCTCACGCCTGTAATCCCAGCACTTTGGGAGGCCAAGTCAGGTGGGTCACGAGGTGAAGAGATCGAGACCATCCTGGCCAACATGGTGAAACCCCGTCTCTACTAAAAATACAAAAATTAGCTGGGCGTGGTGGCATATGCCTGTAGTCCCAGCTACTCCGGAGGCTGAGGCAGGAGAATTGCTTGAACCCAGGAGGAGGAGGGTGCAGTGAGCCAAGATTGCACCACTGCACTCTAGCCTGGGTGACAGGGCGAGACTCTGTCACAAAGAAAAACAAAAACAAAAACACCAAAAACATGATCCATGAAAGGAAAAGTTGCTAAGTTGAACCATATTAAAAATAACATTTCTGCATTGTCAGACACTGTTAAAAAATAAAAAGACAAGCCACAGAATGGGAGAAAATATTTGCAAAACACATAACTGATAAAAGACTGGTATCAAAAATATGCAAAAAATTCCAGAGCTCTTAAAACCCAAGAATAAGAAATGAACAACCCAATTATAAAATGGCAAAAGATACAGATCCTTACTAAAGAACATATAAGCATGGCAAATAAGCACATGAAAATATGCTCAACAGCGTGTCATTGGGAAATTGAAAATAACAATGGCATACTGCCACACACATATTAGAATGGCTAAAATCCAAAACAGGGGCTACACTAAATGCTGGTGAGGATGTAGAATAACAAGAGCTTGTTGGTGAAAATGCAAAGTCCTATGACTAGTTTGGAAGACAGTTTGCCAGTTTCTTACAGAGCTAGAAACACACTTACATACAATCCAGCAATCACACTCTTTGGCCTTAATCCAAAAGAGGTGAAAACTTTCATCTGCACAAAACTCCGCAGGTGACTGTTTAGAGCACTTTTATACATAATTGCCAAAACATGGAACCAACCAAGATGGTCTTCAATAGGTAAATAATGTTTTTAATAGGTAAATAATGTTCTTCAATAGGTAAATAAATAAACTGGCTGTGGTGCAAGCATACAACAGAACATTATTCACTGATTTAAAAAAATGAGCTGTCAAGGCTTGAAAAGACGTGAGGAACCTTAAATACATATGGCTGTGAAAAAGACAGTCTGAAAAGGCTACATACTATAGGATTCCAACTATATGACATTCTGTAAAAGGCAAAACCATGGACACAGTAAGAAGACCTGTGCTTTCCAAAAGTTTGGGGGGAAAAGGGGTGAGATGAATAGATGGAGTACAGTGGATATTTTAAGACAATAAAACTATTTTGTATAATGCAATAATGGATACATGTCATGTCATCATGCATTTGTCAAAATCCACAGAGTGTAAAACAGAAAACATGAATTCGAATGCAAACTTTAGATTTTAGTTAATAACTTTTCTATATTAGTTCATTAAGAGTAACAAATATGCCACACTAATGTAAGGTGTTAATAATAGAGGAGAAGCTGGGTGTGGGGAGAGGATATATGGGAACTCTGTATGTTCCGCTCAATGTTTATGTAAACTCGATACTCATCTAAAAAATAAGTCATATTAAATATCCCAGTGATGACTATCAAAAGTAGAATAGATTTAAAAATTATACTATGTTCATATAATTGAATATAGTACTATGCAGCAATTAAAATAAATAAATTCTGATGTTAAATGTCATCACCATGATGGTAATCACAAAAAGAAGCTATAGAATATACACAAAGGAAATAAAAAGTTAAAATATTTTACTAAAAAAAATTAACCCAATACATAAGAAGAAAATAATGTAGAAAATGTAAAATAAAAAGACGTAAGGTATACAGAAAACAAATAGCAAAATGACAGAAATCTACCTATGAATAATTATTTTAAATGTAAATGGATTGAACTATCAAATTAAAAGGCAGAGATCAGCAAAACAGACTAAAAAACATGATGCAACTATCATGTTTGTACAAGACTCACATTAGACTGAAAGACACAACTGGTTGAAAGTGAAAAGAGAAAAACAGATATTTCATGCAAATAATAAGCAAAAGAGATTTGGGTTGTCCTATATTAATATCGGACAAAATAAGACTTCAAATTGAAAAATGTTACAAAAGAAAACAAAGGCATTATGTATTCAAATCCAATAAGCAAACAAAACTGAGGTTCTGACTTTCAGTAATGCTAGAGTAGCTTGTTGAACACTCTCACAGGTAACGAGAAAATCTGGATAAAATATATATAGTTACACAGAAATGCACAACTATATACAATACATGCGTGTGTGTGTTCACCGAATGAGGATTTCAACTGTGTCCACTGTAGGGGAGGTAGGTATTGCTGTTTGAATCCAGTCAGATTAACCCCTCTTCAAGTAACAATGCTCTTCAAAGGAATACAACAGAATTTAAAGTCTCTATAACTACTATTTATAATTTCTAGTACACAATATTAAAATTCATGAAATGTGTGAAGAAACGTTAAAATGTAATCTATACACAAGATAAAAAGCAGGCAGCAGAAGCTAATTCTAAGATGTCCAAGACGATGTCATCAGCAGACAAGGGTTTGAGAGCAGCTATTATAAGTATAGTATGTTCATGGGGATAAAGGAAAACATCCTCATAATGAATTAACTCATGTGGAGCCTCAGCAGAGAAATGGAAATGATGAAAAGAATGGAATAGAGAGATAATGAAATGAAAAATTAAAAAGACCGTTGAGTTTATAAACAGTAGAAACAGAAGACAGCAATAGAAATCATCCAATCTGAAGAGTGAAACAAGTTTGAAGAAAATGAAAAGCGCCTTGGAGACCTGTGGAATGACTGAGTCCGAGAAGGAGAGGGAGAGACAGAAAAATTAAATGTGATACAAAAGCAAATAAACAATAGCCGAAAACTTGCAAAATTTGGTCAAAACCCCAAATTTGTATATTCAAAAGGTGAGCACACTTCAAAAAGAAAATACACATAAAACCATACCAAGGCCCTATTAGAAGACTGGCAGGGCAGGGTTTTCAAGGGACTTGCTATGATTTCTCATTTTCACTATTTATAATAATGGACAATATGCTCTCCTTAGAGTTTTCTTCCTGCAGAAAGTCTGTTACGTCAGGTGCAGATGACTTTTTAGTCTAGTTTTCAAGGTTTAATTTCTTAACTTGGAAATCAATTAAATTTGTTTCTTAAAATCTTGCAGTAAAACTGATGCTCCAGAAAGATGCCCAGGGAGATTCTGTCCTGCTGCGTCCGCACTGTACAGAACTGACGCTGTGCCTACGCCCGTTTCAGAAGCGTGGAGTACTTAAGAGTTAATCTAAAAAAGCAAATATAAAAATGGATTCAAAAAAATGATCACTGTTAAGTTCCACCGGCAAAGTCTTAAAAGCGGTACCAAAGGGAGTATTTAAAAAGGGATAAAGTTTTTCCAGGGAACCCTATTCAGGGCAGAAACACAGACACTGTCCAAACCTCACCACACAAACTTCTCTCACGTGTTGGGAGGGACCAAGGCGCTCAGGTCCTGCACCTGCGTTAATTACGGCAGGCAGGTCCACACCAGGACCCCGGGGCCTGGGAACCAGCCTGTGTGGGGGGGCAGAGAAGTGGTGGATGTGGCTCGCAAAATGTCCCTTTCTCCTGGGACATTTTCTCCTCTTTATCACAGTGACAGGAGCGTCTGTGTGCGAGGCCTGACCCAGACGCCGGCCATGCAGCCAGCCCGGGGTCCAATAGGTGCATCTGGGGAGCAAAGGGAGACCGAAAAAAAGGTGGTTTTCAAAAGTGAAGTGCCAGGTTACCAGAGACTGGGCACCTTCACATGAGGCAGCAAACAACGGTTTAGGACACTCACGAGGAAGCTTCCGTCGCCGGACCAAGGGGCAGCACTGCGCATGTAGCCAGGGGAGGAACAATAGAGGGTGGGGCTAAAAGGAGAGGCCCCTCAGTGGGAACGGGTGGGGTCGACCCGGCGGGGGGGGGGTGGGGTGAAACGAGCGTTACCATGGCAACCCTGCGGCGGAAGCTCTGAGAAGCTCTTGGCCTCTACCGGTTCTGCGAGAAAGTAAACTTTGGGCACGACAAGTCATGAAGTCGGCACGTTGGGGAGACACCGTGTCACAATGACAAGGTGAGATCAGCTGCCCCGGCCAAGCTGTCTCCTCGAGTGCAGGAGAGGTTTGTGAACAGCCAAGCTTCCCTCCGCATGGCGGAACTGCACTGGAATCCTGAAAGAGCTCGGTGCAGAACGGCCCTTTGCTGGGAATGATGGGAGCTGTAGTCTCTTATCCGCACCCAGGTGTTAGTTGTAGGTTTACAAGACTACAATCCCAGCACGAAACAGGATTGGGAGTGGTACAGATCCCTGGAGGGAGACATAGCGCGGTGCGCTACTGCAGGGTATTTGGCAGGAGTAGTGTCTTAGCCGCTTCCGGCCGTTGGTCGCAAGGCTGCGGGACTACAATCCCAGCATGCAACGGGAGTGGGGTTGGTGAGGACACCTGGGGGGGCAGCGCGGGGCGCGCCTCGCCAGGCATGCTGGGAGAAGTAGTTTCTTCACCGCTTTCGGCCGTTGTTCGCAGGGCTGCGAGACTACAATCCCAGCATGCAAGGGGAATGGGTTGGTGATGATACCTGGAGAGGGCGGTGCGCGCCTCGTAAGGCATGCTAGGAGGAGTAGTTTCTTTTTTTGTTTTTTGCTTTTTTCTTTGAGACAGAGTCTCGCTCTGTCGCCCAGCCTGGAGTGCAGTGGCGCGATCTCGGCTCACTGCAAGCTTGGGAGGAGTAGTTTCTTAACCGCTTTCGGCCATTGGTCGCAGGGCTACCGGCCTACAGTCCCAGCAAGCGCCGGGCTCGGGGGTGGTGCGCAGCCTCAGAGGGAGGAGCTGGGCCGTGTGGACCTCTCTGCTTCCAAACCTACGCTGGCCCCTCAGTCTGTGCCACCCTGGCTAAGGGGATTGAGTCCGGAGAGGGACTTGAGGGGTAGGTCGGTGCTGGGCAGTGAGGAGGGTGTGATGCTGCGAAGTGCATCTCGCCTTTGCCCAAATCGGACGGGTCTCAGCCTCACTCCATCTCCCGCTGCTCAGCTCGGTTTCCCTCAAAAGCGTCGCGCCTCCTCCAGCCCAGGGAGCCGCCTGCTCTCCTAAGCTGCTGTGGAACTGGCCTGAGGTCCCAGACGCTGTCCATTGTGCTGCTGCCCTCTACACCCTCCAGCCAGAGCGCCAGTTCACCCGCTTTTGGGAGAACTCTGCCGCCTGACCTGTCCGCGGATAAGGTCACAACTTTGCAGGGGGGTGACATGGGCTGTGGCTTCCTGGAAATGTCACCCTCACCAGCAACTTTTACATAGTTGTGAATTATGAAACATGAGGGAGGGTAATTATTGGTTTACCCAGGCGATGTTAAGAGCAGAGGAGAAAACCCTAATTTCCAGGCATGTGTCCTGAGCCAGGGACAGGTTAGCCAGACCCTGCTCCCCCAGTGCCGCCAGAGAGCAGCCTACTGCCCTGGTTTCTGTGGGAGTCCCTTCATGCTGCTGGGCCTTAGCCTCAGGGACAGCTCAGTCAGGTGACGGTGGGGATTACCCATGGGCTTCTGGAGCTGGGCCGGTGGTCCTAGAAGGGCCGTCCCATCCCCCTTGGAGAGGGTCTTTGTGCTGAGGGATGCCCACAGAGGCCTGGATACCAGGAACACTGCTCCAGGCCAGGGGCCTTTCTTCCAGATTTGGCTGGAAGGAAGGAAGACTTCGTCAGCTTTTCTACCCAGCTCATCTGGCCCTTGCAGGGCTGCACCCCATGGAACTGGGTTCCTGGAGTCCTCGAGGGCTTTGTGTGGCCCACTTGTTCTGATACTGAGGACACCCCTACAGGCTGTTAATTTCAGAGTAAGGGGTGTGTGCAGACTGTGGCATGGGTGCTGTCAGGGCATCCCAGGCTGCTCCGGGGACAGCACCCCAGTGTTCAACTTGGCTCAGGGCTTCCTGCCTCACACCCTTTCCCCAGGGATGTTTGGCCTGGGCTCCAGCCCTGGTCCAGAACTCAGCTGGGAAGGGCTGTAACTCTCACCTCACCCTCTCGCCACCTAATATAAGGGCCTGACTCCACAATGGGTGAGACTCCCCCTCACACTGGTCTCTTCAGCCGTGCAGGGCCATCCACTCCATGCTGCGAGTTCCCACACTGAGCTGAACTGTGTTCTGGCTCTGGGCTGGGTTCTCCTGTGCCCTTTCCCTGAATCCTCTCTGGGTCTGAGAGACTGATTCTCTCTACTCCCTGGCTTAAGTCTTGACATCCTGGGAGGGGTTCTCAGAAGTGAGGGGCTCCTGCTGCTCTCTGGGTCTGTTGGTACTCACAGGTGTGGGTGTTGGCTTGCACTGAGAAGTCCAACCCTTCCAGTGCCCTTCAGGGGTCCTTCCAGAGCAGGAGTGGTAGGGCGTGGGGGAGTGCCTTAGAGGGATCTTGCCCTCATCCTCTGCCCTGTCTATGAGATGTGTCCAGTAAACCGAAGGTCAGCACCTCAGGAATGAAATGTCTTTTGCAGAAACTTGAATGAAGCTGGAGGCCATTATTCTAAGTGAAATAACTCAGGAATGGAAAATCAAATACCATTATTTCTCACTTATAAGTGGGAGCTAAGCTATGCGTATGCAAAGGCATACAGAGTGATATAATGGACTTCGGAGACTCACAAGCAGAGGATGGGAGTGGATGGGGGTGAAAAAACTACCTATTTGGTACAATATATACATTATATACTACTCAGGTGACAGGTGCACTAAAATCTCAGAATTCACCACTATACAATTCATCCAGGTAACCAAAAACCACTTGTACCCTAAATGATACTAAAATAAAAATTATAATAAAACAACCATAATAAAATTAAAATTATATAATTATAAACAAAAATTATAATAAAAAGCTTTTTTTTCTTAAAAAGAAAAACCCATTGCCACAGTTTTTGGGTTCTGGTGTTTTGGATAGAAAGCCCCTTTTGCTCAGTAACACACACACTACTGGAGAAACAAAATCCTAAAAATTCAAGAACCTTGGCATAAATGATATTTCTGACAAGTTATTTATACACTGCCTACATGAGTATCGCAGATATGTTTTAAAGACAAAGATTCATGTTAGACTGGGTCAGCTTTATGCTTGGTCATTTTATTTCCAATTCTCCCTTAAAATACAAGTCATGGGTTGCCATGGTGATTAATCCAAATGCACTGTGATTACATCGAACTGGTGACGTGTTCTAATTTCCCTCTCAGTTACAAAATGAGCCTGATGCTCTTAGCCATCAAAATCTCACCAACACCTACTACTTCAGTTTTAACTCTGGTTCCTGTTTCAAGGAAATCACTGAAGGTTGCAAATCACAAAAAGACAAAAATGTTTTAATGAACCAAAAACTTAAAAAATTATACCCTCCTGAAGCCATGTAATTTGGTTTTTATTTATTTAATTGTTCAGCTTCATAAACCTACAACTGTAATAAAATATGCCATTCATGATAAGTTAATATTTATTGAATAGTAAAATAAATACACGGTAAGGGTAGATCTGGCTTCAGGTATAACTGTAATCAGGGCTGAAGTGAAATGTCTAGTAGTCAAGGACAAATGTCAGTTATAATCTGACCTCCTCCACTTGAAACACACAACAATAAATGTCTGAAAAGAAAGTTACACAGGGAATACATGAAAGAACAGTTATGAATTAGATTAAAATTATGAATTAATCTTAGATTAAGATTATGAATTAGATTGTTATGAATTAGATTAAGCCTGGTTTTAAAATAAAGACATACAAATATAAAAAATACTGAAGAACAATTAGCATAGAGGAGCACTAAAAGTATGATAATGTGTTTAAAAATATTAGTTTCTGAGTTAAGTTTGTAGATATAGAGACCTGACAAAGAGTTGCTCCTACACATAAAACAAGCAAACAAAACCCTGGAGAAACTGCAAATGAATGGATGGTTTCTCCTGAGCCCTTTAGAGAACTGAGGTCATGGGGCAGACTACAAACCCAACATCAGGGGATGCAGAAGCCTGCAGGTCACACAGGCCCCAGGTTTTATGTGCACCCTGAAAACCATGAAAACTGGTAAAATTAAGCCAGAAATTTTGAACTAGTTCCTAGTGGCTGTGTGTGGGAGGGTGAGGAGAATGTGAAACCTTGGAGTCTACAGATATAGGGTTTACACTGTTGTGTATAATTTTTCTAGGTACCCTACAAGGCCTGTCAGGGAAGATAGGGTAGAATCCTGAGAATGCTCCCACACAGTGCTGATGGGGAAGGACCACTATCCCATCCACTGCTACAACTCTGGAGACACAGCTCTCCTATCTCCCCTATATGACACAAGGCCTAATCTGCAGAGAAAGAGCATCCAAACCTGAGTCACAAGGCACTGGGGAAAAACTCCCGAACTGAGGGTAGAGAAACAAGGCCAACACCCACATTTTTGCACAGATGCATCTCCCATAAAGAAAACAAATTATTAACTTACAGGGCACTGTTGCAGGCCCACTTCAACTGGGAGTTAAGAACATGGAGAAGGAGTATCTCTCCCCTACCATGGACAAGTAGGGACAGGAATGTGTTCTTGCCCTGGCATTGCATCTACAGGAGGGGCAGGAAACTCTTCAAATGTCAGTAACCCCACACCCCAGTTCACAGTGCTAAGTCTGAGGCTTCCTCAGAACATTGGAGATCCCCTCACTCCCTCACCGCTGCTACCAGGCTAAGAAGCATGGAGTCAAAAGAACAGTGGAATATAGCTGGGCCAAGTGCAAGAAACCATGTGTGGGAAGAGACACAAAGGGAAGGCACAGCAAACCCGGGAGATATTAGCAAAGTATCATGAAAGGGATTTGAATTTCCTCGTCATCAGAAGGCTATTACTGCCATAACGACTTTTAATCCCAGCCTACCTCTCATCTACATGACCACAAACCCCTACACTAAGGCCTATCTGAGGGAAAATCGCTCATCGATAACCTAAAAACTATCCCCTTTCAATGCCAGTGGGCTGATGAAAAAAATAAAAAGAATAAAAAACCCATTTACCCCAATGCACTATCCTATACAACATATGCTATTGCTTTTAACAAAAATTAGAAGCCAAGACATCCCTTTTTATCTTTAGTGAGAATATTTATTTGTGTTAAAACCAAATTAAGGTCCCAGTGTGGAGTTCAGGATGCTGGGACCTCAGACCATGCTGGGCGCCCGCCTCCCGCCCGCCGTGGCCCGACCGCGTCCAAGAAGGCCCAGCGGAGGCTCCGGGGAAGGCGACCCTGGCAGGCGGCCAGGCCCGCGACATCGAAATCGGCGTCCGTTGCCCACGGAGCGCGGGAGGACGCACCTGCAGCCCGACGAGCGCTCGCACCCGCGGGACACGGCGCATGGATTCCGCGAGTACACTGTCGCGGCCACGGCATCCCGGGCCAGCACCGCGGCCTCGGCTCCCTGCTCTGCCGCTCTATCCCCAAGGCGGCTTTGGGTTCTGAATGTTCCTGTTCCTCAGCAGCCAGACGAGGGATGCCCAGGGACGGCCTTACAACAACGCAGGCTGCTGTGCGGCTGGGGCGCCCGCGTGGCCGGGGCCGTGGTGGTCATATTTCCCATGGACGCCATCAAGGTGAAGTTCATCCACCGCCAGACCTCCCCAGACGTCCAGTGCAGAGGAGTCTCCCACCGGGGTTAGGGAGATTGTGCGGGAACAAGGGGACCCAGCGGGGCCTCACGGCCCCCGCGCTGAAGCAGGGCTGGAACCAGGCCATCCGCTTCTTCTCCTGACCCCCCTGCATAGCTGGTACCG
Organism: Homo sapiens; assembly: GCF_000001405.40. Taxonomy (NCBI): domain Eukaryota; kingdom Metazoa; phylum Chordata; class Mammalia; order Primates; family Hominidae; genus Homo; species Homo sapiens. The sequence goes on from NC_000007.14 coordinate 63,931,680, forward strand.
AGGGGACAACCCCAGCAAGCCCATGAACCCGCTGGTCGCTGGGGCCTTCGGAGCCATTGCAGGCGCAGCCAGTGTCTTGGGAAACGCTCCACTGCACGGGATCGAGACCCGGATGCGGGGCCTGAAAAGCACAAATGCAGAACACACGGGACTGCGGCTGCAAATCCTGAGAAAGGAAGGGCTCAAGGCCTTCTACAACGGCATTGTCCCCCACCTGGGCCGGGTCTGCCTGGATGTGACCACAGTGTTTATCCTCTGCCATGAGGTAGGAAAGCTGCTCAACAGTGTGGAAGACGGAGTAAGCCCGGAAGGGCCTTGAGGGGACCGCCCCAGGCACCTCCAGAGCGGCCACCACCCTTGTCTCACAGGATTCCAGTGCAGAAATGCCAAGCGGCCCCTGCCCAGGTCCCTCGAGCTCTGTGACCTGCCTTGTGCATTATGACGTCAAGTCTGTGTGTCCCCTAGGGCCATGTCGCCCCGTGGTCTGTATGTGACAGCGGCCCTGTGTCCACTTGTCTGGCCCGGTGTTGGCTGGATGTCCATCTGGCCTGTGAGTCTGTGCCCCCTTGTCCATGTGCTTACTGTGAGCCCTGGGCCTGTGATTCATGTTCTGCGTCATGTGACACTGCGCCCCACCTCCCAGGGTGCCCGTGTGGCCTGGGTCCTCGAGCCTGTCGCCCTGGCCCAGTCCCAGTCCACTGCCTTCCACCCTGCCCTGGGCTACCACAGCTGCCTCCAGGCCTCGGCCTGGTTTCACCGCATTCTCGGGATTACACCCCTGACCCCCAAATCCCGCCCCCCACCAGCGCTTCTCCCACTATTGGCTTAACTGGCCCGCTGGCCCTCCCTACGCCCAGGAGAGGGTGACACCCACCACTCTCAGGATCACCCTGCCAAGGCAGAGTAAACCGGATCCTATTGCAAAAAATAAAAAATAAAGTATGAAGCACAGAAGAAGATAAGGTACGAGGAAAAAGGGTTAGAAGTTTTTTTGTTGTTTTTTTTTTTTTGAGACAGAGTCTTGCTCTGTTGCCCAGGCTGGAGTGCAGTGGCACGATCTTGGCTCACTGCACCCTCCACCTCCCGGGTTCAAGTGATTCTCCTTCCCCAGCCTCCCGAGTAGCTGGGATTACAGGCACGCCCCACCAAGCCCGCCTAATTTTTGTATTTTTAATAGAGACGGGTTTCACTATGTTGCCCAGGCTGGTCTGGAACTCCTGGCCTCAAGTGATCCTCCCACCTCGGCCTCCCAAAGTGCTGGGAATACAGGCGTGAGCCACTGTGCCTGGCCGGTTTGGAAGAAATTTGATATCACATAAACTTTGCATACTGGAAATATATTTATAATATTTTAAATGTAAAAAGTATTATAAATATATTTATATTTATAAATATTAATATAAAATATTAAATTTAATTATTTTAAATGTTTAAGTAAAAACAAATGGGGAAAAGATGATATCAAAATAATTTTTGAAAGAGCAGGAAACTATAAACTGAACAAACAAATTTGGAAAAGAGCAAATAGAAATGGAATAATTTAAACATAAAGAAATTTAATATACAATATGTGAGTTAATTATAAAATTAGACTAAGTTGATGATGAGAGAATTAGTAAACTGGGTTAATGAATTGGAATTTTGAGCAGAACGAATATAACCAAATAAAAGGAAGAGAAACAAAATAATAGCAATATGTATGCAATTATACATATGTGAAGAATAGAAAGAGTAAAGCACAATTATTTCACTTGAATCCATACAAATAATGTCATACTAATAAATAATTATTTACAAATTTCTGAAATTAAAAACCAGACATGTGCCTAAAAGAGACACTGTGCCTGAAAGAGAGCAATAAAGAGGCCGGGTGCGGTGGCTCATGCCTGTAATCTCAGCACTTTGGGAGGCCAAGGTGGGCGCAACATTTGAAGTTAGGAGTTTGAGACCAGCCCGGGCAACATGGTGAAACCTCGTCTCTACTAAAAATACAGAAAAATTAGCCAGGCATGGTGGCCAACACCTGTGATCCCAGCTACTCTGGAGGCTGAGGCAGGAGAATCGCTTGAACCTGGGAGACTGAGGTTGCGGTGAGCCAAGATTGCACCGTTACACTCCAGCCTGGGTGACAGAGAAAGACTCCATCTCCGAAAAAAAAAAAAAAGTGAGAGAGCAATAAAGAAAGATATCCAACACGATAAGTCAAACTGCATAACACCAAAGAGAATGAAGAAAATTAAAATCCATGAGAGAGAGAGAGAGAATCTACACAGGTGAGAATAAAATCTCCACAGCCCATGGCAGAGCCAGAAAACTGAGAAGGAGATACTAAGAGTGCTGAAAAATTATTGTTCAACCTATAATTGAATACACAACTAGCATATTTTTAAATAAATAAGGGTAAACTAAATAACCTTCGAAAGTAAACACACACACACACACACACACACACACACACACACACACACACACAAAGAGAAATTTCATCTACCAACAGGAGCATCTTAAGTGTACACTTTAAGAAGATAGAAAAGTTGTCTTATATAAAATTTAGGGAATCAAAATTAAATGTAAGAAACTTGTGGACAAAGGGAACTATGATGTTGGACTTTGAACTAAAGAAACCACCAAGTTCTTGGCAGCATAGTTTTCAAAAGTATTAAGATGAAATAAAAGTGTAATAAAATAATATATCAAATCGCCTGCTTCTTGAAAAATTTGATGTCAAAATCTGTTTTTCAGATAATTGTTTTCATAATTTATTAATCATCTATGATATTTATATCACACATTATGCAAAATTTTGATTATTCTTTTATCAGAACTAATTAGCATAAAAGGGCTAACAGAAATTGCCCACAAGCATCTGGACACCCACGATGACTGAGTCATAAGCCCATAACAGGGTTGAGGATGATGAGATGATAAGGTCCACCCAGTACATGACCACAGAGCAACTCACCAGCAACAGAATGGTCTGTGTGGCCCTTTTCTCTGGGGAGGCTTTTGCAGAGAGGTTGGTGCTGGGAAGGTACTGGGGTTGTCTCTGATGTCTGGACAAAATAATTACCATGTATGCCCTTGAGAGAAACATGATTGCTACAAAGAAGACATCTGTAAGTAGTGGCAGCATGAAAAACAGGCTCCTGATGTTGTCCCTTATGTAAGAAAGTGAACAGTATTTACTGATACTTAGCACGTTGCTATTGGTCACATTAGAAGAGGCCACAGTGGAGGAGGGCAGGTTATTACTGAGAAACAAATTGAGAACCCAAAGAAGTGAAAGATGCAACGTGTGAATTTCTGTTTAATTCTTGCCGACCAGGAGGTGCTGGAGCTAATGGTGACAGCCTGGAACATACTCCGGAAGCAGGTGGTACAGATGGAGAGCCCTCATCCCTCTATGCATGTAGAATACCTTACGCTTGAAGTCATTCTGAAAATACTGTGACTCAAACAGGTCTGGAGATGCCAAGAAGCTCACAGTGAGGAGCATCACTAAGTGGACAAGGGCCAGGTGACAGGTGATGAGGTCAGTGGGCTTAGACCTGCAGTCCAGAGGGAGTGTGCAGATACAGAAGAAAAGGAGGAAGGTGTTGGCTGTGAGTCTAATACCGGCTTGGAAAAAAAGGGCAATTTTTAATAGTATCATAAGTGGAACAAGGTCATCTTAATCATGAAGAGGAATCATACTTTATATATCTGAAAAAAGCAATAGATATCCTATCATCACTATTTATTGCATGGTCAAAATTATTACCAACATTATCATTTTAATTTTACCCATTTATCTCGATTAACCCCAACTATCTTATATAAATTCTTTAAAATGTAGCCTGAGCTTTATTTTATAACAAATAAATATCATAAAATACATATCTCAAACATCCACACATCCACAATCACACCTATGTAGGGTGCACATTATCTATACTCATATAGTACTTGTGGCTCACTCCTCAGAAAGCATTTCCTTCCTTTCTGAATTTCTCAAATCGCTGAACATTCTCAGGTCTCGAATTTTTTTCTTCGTAAAAGCTTTTCAGCTTCTAAGAATATATATATTTCAATGCTCAAAGACAAAAAACTGTCCACTAAAAATTTTATCCTCAGAAAAACTATCAATTAAAAATAAATAAAAATAAAAACATTTCAGATAAATAAAAACTGAGGCAATTTCTTGATAGCAGACAGATCATTTGAGAAAGAATAAAAATAAGTTTTCAGGCTGAATGCAAGTAATCCCAGATAATTTCAATGCCCCAAAAAGACAAAGAGGACTAGTAAATGTAACAAATATTTAAGGCAATATAAGAAATATTTTTTCTCATATTACTGATTGTCAAAAGCAACTTTGTAATATTGTTTGTAATTGCATCTTCAGTGCAATTTATATAACATAAAGAAATTTAATTTATTTGCCAATAACAGCACAGAGAAGGTGGGTTCAAAAAAAGCTATATTGGGCTAAGAAAATCTGTCCAGGTAATAACTTGTATCCACAAAGATTTAAAAAAATACATTAGTAAAACTGAAAGATTAAAATAATACCATGAATAATAAGAAGTTTAACAAAATAAACCTGTAAATATACAAGTGCTCTTTTTTCTTATTTCAGCTAATTTAAAACAAATAAAATTATATGAGCAGATAACTATAAAAACATATTGTGTTTGTAACATATGTAGATTTAAACATCAGTACCCAAACTAGCAGGGAAAGAGAGAATAAAGTTGTACAGGAGTAACATTTTCATAAAAGGAACATAGGGTTAAAATGTGATGCTCCAACAAATGCATACATACATATACATAGTGTAATTCTCAAATTAATGTAATTAGCAGGTACTATTATGTGTACCTGCTGGTGCCCTAATCTTGGACTTCTCAGCCTCCATAACTGTGAGAACTAAGTTTAGACTCTGTATAAATTGCCTATTCTAAAATATTTTGTTACAGAAATAGGGATAGCCTAAGACAACATTCATGGTCATCCATGCTATAAATTAAATCACCAGAACTTATTTATTTTATATCTAAAAGTTTGCACTTTTTATCAACATGTCTTCGTTTCTTCCACCCACCACCCCCTAGGAACCACTGTGTGCTCTCTGTTTCTATGACTTTGACATTTTTGGCTTCATACATGAGTGAAATTAAACAGTATTTGTCATTCTGTGTCTAGCTTATTTCACTTAAGCTAATGTCCTCTAGGTTCATTCATATTGTTGCAAATGGCAGAATTCTCTTTTTTATGGCTGAATAATATTCCATTATATAAATATTCCATAATTTCTTTATCCATTCATCTATTAATGGATACGTAGATTGTTTGCATGTCTCAGTCATTGTAAATAATTCTGCAATGAATATAGAAGTGCAGATGTCTCTTCTAGAGACTAATTTTATTTTCTTTGGTTGTATATCTGGAAGTGAAATTGCTGGATAATATGGTAATTCTGTTTTAATTATTTGAAAAAGGTTCACAGTGTTTTTTATAATGGTCGTACTAATATTTCTGTATTTTTAAGGGCATGTTATACTCTGTTGGGAGACAGTTTTTATAGACCTGTCGGTTAATTTGTTTTATGTCTTATATAAGCTTCTGTTTGGACAATCTTTTCAAGGATGTTTCTAAATAACTAACAGCCTTGTGTGAAGTGAGTAGTGTCTCTTTTTAGAGCAGAGGTCAAATACATACATAAATAATTTAATAAAAATTATGTTTTCCCCAGAGGCAAAGGTTGGGAAGGTTTTATTTGAAACACTTTATTGATTTTTCAGAAAAATTCTCTGTATTTTGGTGAAGTAAGAGAGTAGTCCTTGAATGGAAGAGAGGACAAAAAGGGAACCCCAAAATACATGACGTGCTGAGAACCCCAAAGTCCAGTGGAATTCACGTCAGGCATACATTCCAGAGAGGTTCTGAGTGAAATCCCTGCTAGAAAATTTAGCCATATGAGATGAAGGAATTCCCCAAATTTAGAGGTATCTCCTAAGCCAAGAAACAAAATGATGGAGCAGGGCAGGGGCTCAATCCTTAAGAGTTTTTCAATTTTAGAGGAACTGGGAAAGCACATGGGGACCTCCTCATCTAGCAGGGTGGGGGATATGAGATCCTGACGCAACATCAGAACAGCAATAAAACATTGATTAGTTGGTGGGCAAGGGTCCTTGGCATGGCGGGCTAAGATTGGCTTCCTAGTGGCTGGGAGTGAGGTCTAAGGCTCAAGACAGCCTGTGCTGAGTAGGCAGGAAGGCAACTCATCAGCTTGGGTTTGATAAAAGGAAGGTTTAGCGGTATCTCCCTCAATCTTGGGGAGTGACCCTCGCAGCAGAAAAATTGTGGCCAGAGTCTGTGGCAAAAGGAGCCACTCCTTTTACTGGAACTTGAGGCAGTCAGACAGCAGGTACCGCATGGCTTGGGGCAGTTGCTGGAGATTTTTCTGAGGTCCAGGGACAAAGAGTCACAGCCCACCATAAAGATGATCTGGTCACAGCTGCCAATGTGGCTGTAAGCAGTGAGCCATTCATGAGTTTTTAGAGCACAGCTACACTGGCATAGACGTCCAACTGGGAGCTGAAGGGTTTCAGGTTCTGCATGAAAGTCACCTCAGCTGCGATCCATAAAATGGAGGCTGAAGGCTGCTCCAAGGGCTGGGCCCTGCTTCATTGTGTCTTCACTGTGGTCAGACGGGAGTCACTCATCTTTACCGGGAACCCTTTGTGTCAAAAAATGTTATTAGACTTGAGATCTTCTTGGATAATATTCTTGACATGGAAGTAGTTCATGCCCTAGGCAGTCTGCGGGGCCATGTCAATTAGCTGGACAATATAATATAATATAATATAATATAATATAATATAATATAATATGTAACATAATATAATATGTTGCGATATAATATATGTCAGACATTATATAATGATGTCATATGTAATACATTGTGATATCATAATATATTATACCATAATATATATGGTATAATACATTGTGATATCATAACATAACATTTTGATTTTTTAATATATTTTATATTTTTTATAAAATAACATAAATTATAATAATATGACATCATATTGGACAAAATTTTATTATATTACATTATATTACATATTGTAGTATATTGTGATATTATAACATAAAATTTTGTCTTATAATCTTATAAGAAAATTGATTTAAATTTTGTAAAAACATTAGCATATAAACTTAATAGAACCTAAGAAAATTATCTGCTCTCATGTAAATGACCACTTTTTCGATAACTCTGCGAAGGCCAGCTATGAGTGTGAAAAGGGTCTGCTACTTACTTTATGAGACATTGACTTCCAAATCATCACTGTTATTAACCAGTGCCCTTGCAAGATAAGAGAATATTTTACTCTAAGAAAGTATTTCTTTTTCTTTTTTTTCTCTTTTCTTTTCTTTTCTTTTTTTTTTTGAGAGGAGTCTCGCTCTGTCGCCCAGGCTGGAGTGCAGTGGCGCGATCTCGGCTCACTGCAAGCTCCACCTCCTAGGTTCAAGCCATTTTCCTGCCTCAGCCTCCCAGGTAGCTGAGATTACAGGCACCCGCCACCAGGTCCGGCTGATTTTTTGTAATTTTAGTAGAGACGGAGTTTCACCGTGTTAGCCATGATGGTCTCGATCTCCTGACCTCGTGATCCACCTGCCTCGGCCTCCCAAAGTGCTGGGATTACAGGCGTGAGCCACCACGCCCAGCAGAGAGCATTTCCATAGATACCATAATAGGAATTTTGCTCACTTTGGTTAATAAATTATTATAACTTTTTTGGTTATTAATAGTTTATGTCATTATTAAAAATATACTTCTACAGATAACACATAGCACAGGTGTTTTGATTTGTCCTTTAACCTCAGGTCAAATTTAAAAATTTTTATTCATCAAATTTTATTTATTTTAAATAAAAGAGACCTTGTATCTACCATGTGCTGTAACATCTGTACTTTGTTAGAAAGACAAATTCTCAGACAAAACTCATGACTATTTTGAAATTCTCCCTATTTTTATCAAAATCTAGATTTTAGGTAATGTTTCTAGGTGTTTCCTTTCAATAAAAATCCAAACCAAAACAAATTAAAAATGTGTAGGTAATTCCCATGCATATCAATAATTTTTCAGTGGGGTACTTTTATTTTTAAGAGAGGTATTGTTTATATGTATGTATTGATGTGTCAATCCGGTACAGTTAATATTGTACCTTTTTTTTTTTTGACAGCATCTCAATCTGTCAGTCAAGGTGGAGTGTAGTGATGCAATCACAGCTCACTGCAGCCTTCACCTCCCAGACTCGAGCAATCCTCCCAAGTCAGCATCCCAAATAACTGCACCATCTACAAGTGTGCACCATCATGCCCAACTAATTTTTTAAAAATTTTTGTAGAGATGAGGTCTCACTATGTTGCCCTAGTGAGGTCTTGTTATGTTGCCTAGGCTAGTCTCAAACTCCTGAGCTCTGGCTTCCCAAAGGGATGGAATTACAAATGCAAGCCACTATTTCTGGCCAAGATTGGACCTTTCAATGAGCTCACATCTTACTTTTTTAAAAACCTAATTAAAAGATAAAGTCTGAGTAACAAATGGGTTTACAGTAATGATTATTAACTTGGATACTTCTATTCTTAAAAGAAAAATTGTTTATATGTGCGTATTGATGTTTTAAGAAGTACAGTTAAGACTGAATCTTTCTCTTTTGTTTTTGAGACAGAGTCTCACTCTGTCACCCAGGCTTGTGTGTAGCTGCCCAGTCGCATCTCACTGAAGCCTCAACCTCCCAGACTCAAGGGATCCTGCTATGTCAGCATCCCAAGTAGCTGGGAATACAGGCATGCACCGTCATGCCTCATTTTTTTGTGTGTGTTTTTGGTAGTGATGTGGTCTCACTATATTGCCCAGGCTGCTCTCAAACTCCTAAGCTCAAGTGAGCCTCCTGTCTTGTCATTCCAAAATGGTGGAATTATACAGGCTTACGCCATTGTGCTCAGCCAAGATTTTACCTTCAATTAGCACACATCTTACCTCTGAAAAAAATAATAATAAAGAATAAAGTCTGGGTAGAAAATGGATTGGAGTATACATAAAACAAATTTGGCACATTATTAGTGGTTGTTGAGCTGGGTAACAGGCGTATTATACTGTTTTCTTTATTTTGTATATGTTTTAAATTTTCTGTAATGAAACATGTATACAAATACAAAGTTGATCTACAATGTTAGCTCTTAAGACCTTAGTGACTTTGGGGAGCAAAAAGAGAGAAAGTGGGATTGTTTGGCGCAAGATGGCTGAATAGGAACAGCTCTTGTCTGCAGCTCCCAGCGAGACCAACGCAGAAGGCAGTGATTTCTCCATTTCCAACTGAGGTACCCAGTTCATCTCATTGGGACTGGTTAGGCAGTGGGTACAGCCCATGGAGGGTTAGCAGAAGCAGAGTGGGGCATCACCTCACCCAGGAAGTGCAAGGAGCCAGGGAACTCCCTCCCCGAGCCAAGGGAAGCTGTGAGGGACTGTGCTATCCAGCCCAGATACTATTCTTTTCCCACGGTTTTTGCAATCCACAGACCAGGAGATTCCCGTGTGTGCCTGTACCACCGGGGCCCTAGGTTTCAAGCACAAAACTGGGTAGCTGTTTGGGCAGACACTGAGCTAGCTGCAGGAATTTATTTTGTTACTCCAGTGGCGCCTGGAACCCCAGCAAGACAGAACAGTTTACTCCCCTGGAAAGGGGGCTGAAGCCAGGGAGCCAAGTGGTCTTATCAGAGGGTCTCACTCCCATGGAGCCCAGCAAGCTAAGAACCACTGGCTTGAAATTCTCACTGCCAGTACAGCAGTCTGAAGTCAACCTGGGATGATCGAGCTTGGTGAGGGAAGGGGTGTCTGTTATTACTGAGGCTTGAGTAGTCGGTTTTCCTCTAACAGTTTTAAAGAGGCCAGGAAGTTTGGACTGGGTGGAACTCAACAGAGCCAGCAAAGCGGCTGTGGCCAGACTGCCATTCTAGATTCCTCTTCACTGGGCAGAGCATCTCTGAAAGAAAGGTAGCAGCCCCAGTCAGGGGCTTATTTTTATTTATTTATTTATTTATTTTTGAGATGGAGTCTCGCTCTGTTGCCCAGGCTGGAGTGCAGTGGCATGATCTCTGCTCGCTGCAAGCTCCGCCTCCTGGGTTCACGCCATTCTCCTGCCTCAGCCTCCGGAGTAGCTGGGAGTATAGGCGCCCGCCACCACGCCCAGCTGTTTTTTTCTATTTTTAGTTGAGATGAGGTTTCACCGTGTTAGCCAGGATGGTCTCTATCTCCTGACCTCATGATCCGCCCGTCTCGGCCTCCCAAAGTGCTGGGATTACAGGTGTGAGCCACCGTGCCCGGCCCCCAGTCAGGGGCTTATAAATAAAACTCCCATCTCCCTGGGACAGAGCATCTGGGGGAAGGGGTGGCTGTGGGCACAACCTTAGTGGACTTAAACGTTTCTGCCTGCTGGCTCTGAAGAGAGCAGCAGATCCCGACAAGGAGGATTTTCCCAGCACAGTGCTTGAGCTCAGCTAAAGGACAGACTGCCTCCTCAAGTTGGTCCCTGATCCCCATGCCTCCTGACTGGGAGAGACCTCCCAGGAGGGGTGGACAGACACCTCATACAGGAGAGCTCCAGCTGGCATCAGGCCGGTGCCCCCTGGGACGAAGCTTCCAGAGGAAGGAGCAGGCAGCAGTCTTTGCTGTTCTGCAGCCTCCGCTGGTGATACCCAGGCAAACAGGGACTGGAGTGGACCTCCAGCAAACTGCAGCAGACCTGCAGAAGAGGGGCTTGTTCAAGGAAAAACTAACAAACAGAAAGCAACAACATCAAAATCAACAAAAAGGACCCCTACCCAAAAACCCCATCCAAAGGTCATCAGCCTCAAAGATCAAAGGTAGCTAAATCCACAAAATGAGGAAAAACCAGCACAAAAATACTGCAAATGCCAAAAACCAGGATGCCTCTTCTCCTCCAAATGATAGCAACTCCTCTCCAGCAAGGGCACAAAACTGAATGGAGAATGAGTTTGACGGATTAACAGAAGTAGACTTCAGAAGGTGCGTAATAACAAAACTCTTCTGACCTAAAATACTATATTATAACCCAATGCAAGAAGCTAAGAACCTTGATAAAAGGTTACAGGAACTGCTAACTAGAATAACTAGTTTAGAGAAGAACATAAATGACCAGATGGAGCTGTAAAACACAGCATGAGAACTTTGTGAAGCATACACAAGTATCAATAGCCAAGTTGATCAAGTGGAAGAAAGGATATCAGAGATTGAAGATCAACTTACTGAAATAAGACAGGAAGACAAGATTGGAGAAAAAAGAATGAAAAGGAACAAACAAAGCCTCCAGGAAATATGGGACTATGTGAAAAAACCAAACCTACAATTGATTGGTGTGCCTGAAATTGATGGGGAGAATGGAACCCAGTTGGAAAACACACTTCAGGATGTTATTCAGGAGAACTTCCCCAACCTAGCAAGACAGGCCAACATTCAAATTCAGGAAATACAGAGAACACCACTAAGATACTCCTTGAGAAGGGCAACCCCAAGACACATAATCATCAGATTCTCCAAGGCTGAAACAAAGGAAAAAAAGTTAAGGGCAGCCAGAGAGAAAGGTCAGATTACCTACAAAGAGAAGCCCATTAGACTAACAGTGGATCTCTCTGCAGAAACCCTACAAGCCAGAAGAGAGTGGGGGCCAATATTCAACGTTCTTAAAGAAAAGAATTTTCAACTCAGAATTTCGTATCCAGCCAAACTAAGCTTCATTAGCGAAGGAGAAATAAAATCCTTTCCAGACAAGCAAATGCTGAGGGATTTTGTCACCACCAGGCCTGCCTTACAATAGCTGCTGAAGGAAGCACTAAATATGGAAAGGAAAAACTGGTACCAGCCACTGCAAAAACACACCAAAATATAAAGATCAATGGCCCTATGAGGAAACTGCATCAACTAATGTGCGAAATAACCAGCTAGCATCATGATGACAGGATCAAATTCACACATAACAATATTCACCTTAAATGTAAATGGACTAAATGCCCCCAATTAAAAGACATGGACTGGCAAATTGGATAAAGAGTCAAGACCCATCAGTGTGCTATATTCAGGAGACCCATTTCACATGCAAAGACACACATAGGCTCAAAATAAACGGATGGAGGAATATTTACCAACCAAATGGAAAGCAAAGCAAAAAAAAGCAGGGGTTGCAATCCTAGTCTCTGGTAAAACAGACTTGAAACCAACAAAGATCAAAAAAGACAAAGAAGGGCATTATATAATGGTAAAGGGATCAATGCAACAAGAAGAGCTAGCTATCCTAAATATATATGCATCCAATACAGGAGCACCCAGATTCATAAAGCAAGTTCTTAGAGACCTACAAAGAGACCTAAACTCCCACACAATAATAGTAGGAAACTTTGACACCCCACTGTCAATATTAGACAGATCAATGAGACAGAAAATTAACAAGAATGTTCAGGACTTGAACTCAGCTCTGGACCAAGCAGATCAAATAGACATCTACAGAACTCTCCACCCCAAATCTACAGAATATACATTCTTCACAGCACCACACAGCACTTATTCTAAAATTGACCACATAATTGGAAGTAAAACACACCTCAGCAAATGAAAAAGAGTGGAAATCACAACAAACAGTCTCTCAGACCACGGTGCAATCAAATTAGAACTCAGGATTAAGAAACTCACTCAAAACTGCACAACTACATGGAAACTGAACAATCTATTCCTGAATGACTACTGGGTAAATAACAAAATTAAGGCAGAAATAAAGAAGTTCTTTGAAACCGAAGAGAACAAAGACACAATGTACCAGAATCTCTGGGACATAGCCAAAGCAGTGTTAAGAGGGAAATTTATAGCACTAAATGCTCACATCAGAAGGTGGGGAAGATCTAAAATCAACACCCTAACATCACAATTAGAAGAACTAGAGAAGCAAGAGCAAACAAATTCAAAAGCTAGCAAAAGACAATAAATAACTAAGATCAGAGCAGAATTGAAGGAGGTAGAGACACAAAAAAGCCTTAAAAAATAAATGAATCTAGCAGCTGGTTTTTTGAAAAGATTAACAAAATAGATAGACTGCTAGCTAGACTAATAAAAAGGAAAAGAGAGAATAATCAGACACAATAAAAAATGATTAAGGGGATATCACCACTGATCCCACAGAAATACAAACTACCATCAGAGAATGCTATAAATACCTTTATGCGAATGAACTAGAAAATCTAGAAGAGATGGATAAATTCCTGGACACATACACCCTCCTGAGACTAAACCAGAAAGAAGTTGAATCCCTAAATAGACCAATAACAAGTTCTGAAATTGAGGGAGTAATTAATAGCTTACCAACCAAAAAAAGCCCAGGCAGCACCAGACTGATTCACAGTTGAATTCTACCAGAGGTACAAAGAGGAGCTGGTACCATTCCTTCTGAAGCTATTGCAAATAACAGAAAAAAAAGGAATCCTCCCTAACTCATTTTATAAGGCCAGCATCATCCTGATTCCAAAACCTGGCAGAGACACAACAAAAAAAGAAAATTTCAGGCCAATATCCCTGATGAACATCAATGCGAAAATCCTCAATAAATTACTGCCAGACTGAATCCAGCAGTACATCAAAAAGCTTATCCACTACAATCAAGTTGGCTTCATCCCTGAGATGCAAGGCTGGTTCAACATACGCAAATCAATAAACGTAATCCATCACATAAACAGAACCAATGACAAAAACCACCTGATTATCTCAATAAATGCAGAAAAGGCCTTTAATAAAATTCAACATCCCTTCATGCTAAAAACTCTCAGTAAACCAGGTATTGAGGGAGTGTACTTCAAAATGAGAGCTATTTATGGCAAACCCATAGCCAATATCATACTGAATGAGCAAAAGTTGGAAGCATTCCCTTTGAAAACTGGCACAAGACAAGGATGCCCTCTCTCACCACTCCTATTCAACATAGTATCGGAAATTCTGGCCAGGGGAATTGGGCAAGAGAAAGAAATAAGGCGTACTCAAATAGGAAGAGAGGAAGTCAAATTGTCTGTTTGCAGACGACATGATTGTATATTTAGAAAACCTTATTGTCTCAGCCCAAAAACTCGTTAAGCTGATAACCAACTTCAACAAAGTCTCAGGATACAAAATCAATATGCAGAAATTACAAGCATTCCTATACACCAATAATAGACAAGCAGAGGACCAAATAATGAATGAAATCCCATTCACAATTGCTACAAAGAGAATAAAATACCTAGGAATACAACTTACAAGGGACATGAAGGACCTCTTCAAGGAGAACTACAAACCACTGCTCAAGGAAATAAGAGAGGACATAAACAAATGGAAAAAATAAATTCCATGCTCATGGGTAGGAAGAATCAATATTGTGAAAATGGCCATACTGCCCAAAGTAATTTATAGATTCAATGCTATTCCCATCAAACTACCATTGACTTTCTTTGCAGAATTAGAAAAAAACTACTTTAAATTTTATATGGAACCAATAAAGAGCCCATATAACCAAGACAATCAGAAGCAAAAAGAACAAAGCTGGAGGCATCATGCTACCTGACATCAAACTATACAACAAGGCTACAGTAACCAAAACAGCATGGTACTGGTGCCAAAACAGATACGTAGACCAATGGAACAAAACAGAGGCCTCAGAAATACCGCACATCTATAACCATCTGATCTTCTACAAACCTGAAAAACAAGCAATGGGGAAAGGAATCCCTATTTAATAAATGGTGCTGGGAAAACTGGCTAGTCATATGCAGAAAACAGAAACTGGACCCCTTCCTTACACCTTATACAAAAATTAACTCAAGATGGATTAAAGACTTAAATTAAAACCTAAAACTATAAAAACCCTTGAAGAACACCTAGGCAGTACCATTCAGGACATAGGCATGGGCAAAGACTTCATGCCTAAAACACCAAAAGCAATTGCAACAAAAACAAAAATTGACAAATGGAATCTAATTAAACTAAACAGCTTCTGCATAGCAAAAGAAACTATCATCAGAGTGAACAGGCAACCTACAGAATGGGAGAAAATTTTGCAATCTATCCATCTAACAAAGGGCTAATATCCAGAATCTACAAGAAACTTAAACAAATTTACCAGAAAAAACTAAACTAAATGACCCCATCAAAAAGTGAGTGAAGGATATGAACAAATACTTCCCGAAATAAGACATTTATGTGGCCAACAAACATATGAAAAAAAGCTCATTATCACTGGTCATTGGAGAAATGTGCAAACCAACACCACAATGAGATACCATCTCACGCCAGTTAGAATGGCGATCATTAAAAAGTCTGGAAACAATGGATGCTGGCTAGGATGTGGAGAAATAGGAACACTTTTACACTGATGGTGGGAGTGTAAATTAGTTCAACCATTGTGGAAGACAATGTGGCAATTCCTCAAGTATCTAGAACCAGAAATACCATTTGACCCAGCAATCCCATGACTGGGTATATACCCATAGGATTATAAATAATTCTACTATAAAGACACACATACATGTATGTTTATTGCAGCACTGTTTGCAATAGCAATGACTTGGAACCAACCCAAATGCCCATCAATGATAGATTGGATAAAGAAAATGTGGCACATATACACCATGGAATACTATGCAACCATAAAAAAGAATGAGTTCCTGTCCTTTGCAGGGACATGGATGAAGCTGGAAACCATCATTCTCAGCAAACTAACACAGGAACAGAAAACCAAACAAACACCACATGTTCTCACTCATAAGTGGGAGTTGAACAATGGGAACACATGGACACAGGGTGGGGAACATCACACACCAGGGCCTGTTGGGGAGTGGGGCAAAAGGGGAGGGAAAGCATTAGGACAAATACCTAATGCATGTGTGGCTTAAAACCTAGATGATGGGTTGATAGGTACAATAAACCACCATGGCACATGCACACCTGTGTAACTAGCCTGCATGTTCTGCACATGTATCCCAGAACTCAAAGTAAAATAAAATAAAAAATGTTGTAAAATGATGCCTACAATGGATACAGAATTATAAAATTTTTCAAAAATTACCTTCAAATCACAAAGGATTTTGCTCACACAAAGATAATATAGATTTCTCAATAAATACATTATAAAATTAAGTGTATTTTTATGACTTCTCACCTGAACAGGATAAAGCATCCTTTGACACCAGCCAAGAAACAAGAAAAAAATTAAACAAATTTAAAAGCATGTCATTCTCATGGATAGGAATAATCAATATCATTAAAATGGCCATACTGCCCAAAGCAACTTGTAGATTCAATGCTATTCCCACTAAAGTGCCATTAACATTCTTCACAGAACTAGACAAAAACTATTTTAAAATACATGTGGGAATAAAGTAGATCCCAAATTGGCAAAGCAATCCTAAGCAAAAAGAAGAAAGCTAGAGCCATCATGGTACCCAACTTCAAAGTGTAATACAGAGCTACAATAACCAAAAGGGCATGTTACTAGTATAAGAACACATAGACCAAGTGAATAGAATAGAAAACCCAGAAATAAGACTGCACACCTACAACTATCTTATCTTCAGCAAACTGGATAAAACCATGCAATGAGGAAAAGATTACCTATTCAATAAATGGTGCTGGGATAACTGGCTAGCCATATGCAGAAGATTGAAACTGGACACTTTCCTTACACGATATACAAAAATTTACTCAAGATGAATTGAAGGCTTAAATATAAAACCCCCAAACTATAAAACTCCTGGAAGACAACCTAAGCAACATCATTCAGGAGCTAGGCACAGGCAAAAATGTCATGACAAAGATGCCAAAAGCAATTGTAACAAAAGCAAAAAATAACAAATGGTATCAAATTGAACTAAAATGCTTCTGCACAGCAAAAGAAACTATCAACAGAGTAGGCAATCTGCAGAATGAGAGGAAATTTTTGCAAATTATGCATCTGACAAAGGTCTAATATCCAACACCTATAAGTAGCTTAAACAAGTTTATAAGAAAAAGCAACCCTATTAAAAAGTGCGCAAAGGAGGTGAACAGACACTTCTGAAAAGAAGACATACAGATGGCCAATAATCATGTGAAAAAAGCTCAACATCACTGATGACTGGAGAAATGCAAATCAAAACCACAATGAGATACCATCTCACACCATTCAGAATGTCTGCTATTAAAAAGTCAAAAAATAATAGATGCTGGTGAGATTGTAGAGAAAAAGAAATGCTTATACACTGTTGGTGGGAGTGAAAATTAGTTCAACCAGGTGGAAGAGAGTGTGGCGATTCCTCAAAGACCTAAAGACAAAAGTACCATTCAACTCAGCAATCTCATTACTGAGTATATACCCAAAGGAATATAAATCATTGTATTGTAAAGACACATTCAAACACATGTTATTGCTGCGCTATTCATAATAGCAAAAACGTGGAATCAACCTAAATGCCCATCAATGATAGACCGGATAAAGAAAATGTGGTACATATGCACCATGGAATACTATGCAGCCATAAAAAAGAAAGAGATCATGTCTTTTGTAGGGACATGAATGGAGTTGGAGGCCATTATCCTTAATAAACTAATGCAGGAACAGAAAACCAAATACAGCATGTTCTCACTTATAAGTGGGAGCTATGTTATGAGAACACATAGACACACAGAGGAGAACAACACACACTGGGGCCTATCAGAGGGTGGCAGTTGGAAGGAAGAAGAGGATCAGGAGAAACAATGAATGGGTACTAGGCGTAATACTTGGGTGATGAAATAATCAGCACAACAAATCCCCATGACACATTTACCTATGTAACATACCTGCACATGTACCTCTGAACTTAAATGTTAAAAAATCAATATATACAAGGCAAGACGTGAACAAAATTGAGGCCTGTAGTCCCCAACTGGACACCTTACTTTTTTCTGGTGTGTGAAAATTGTTATTAGTCCTTGAGGCATAGATGACTTTTCTCCCGACCTCCTTGCTTGCTTGCTCCACATGTTCAGGAACTAAGATCTGGGCTGGTCCTCTGTCTCTAAGAAGCCAGGCACCTCACTATGAGAATATGGAGGAGTGGGGTTTGAGGAAAGTCAGAGGAGAAGGTGAGCTGTGGGAGAAGGGAAAACAGGACAACCAGGCACCTGGGGCCACTTGGTGGCAGTGTGGGCAGGAACGGCTGCTATCTAGGCAAGGTGGTCCAGGGTGCCAGGAGTCATTGCTATTCCCAACCTCCATCTAAGAGCACCAGGGCAAATCTCAAGTCATTCCTAAACTGGGTGCTCAAGAAACTGAAGAAACAGCAGCTTCAGCTTGGAGTGGCATGAGGGTAGGTGCATTGCCCACCACCTGATGCCCACAGCTTTGTCTGCAGCCTGGGCCAGGGTGCCCACCAAAACAAGGTTGGTGCAGCTGCCCTCGTACTTCTCTCACCTTCTTCTGTTGTGCAAAATGTTCAGGTGGCTGCATCGCAGGCAGAGGGGTCAGAGATGTCTACAAGAAGCCCTGCTTGTGTCCTTGGCATGGAGGAGAGAGAAAGGTGGCCAGCTGGTTTGGGTTTTAGGGGGTAAAAACCTATAAGACCCTGTCTCTTCAGGGGTTTTTCACTGAAGTCTTAACTGGTCTCCACTCACCTGAGCCTCTGAAAACAGAAGAAATTGGCTCTTTTAGATTTTCCCAGCCGTAGTGGTCAGGACCGTTGTGTGTGTGGCTCTCTGGAAGCCATTCTACTTCAGGAGTATCCAATCCAGGTGTAGTCAGGGCCTCCCAGCAAAGTTGCTGAGATGTCTGGGCAGATCTTCTTATTGAAACTGGCCTATCTAGCCTTCAGTGTTGCAGGCCATGTCTGTTGCTTGCAGAAGGCCCCTGCAAGCCTCAGTGTTGCTGGTCAAGGCCCTGACTCCCTCTTTTTTTGTGTCCCATCTTTCACCTCAACACATGATCCAGAGCACTGACTCTGCCCTTCCTCCCCTTTCCCAGGACAG
This sequence comes from Homo sapiens, assembly GCF_000001405.40. NCBI lineage: Eukaryota > Metazoa > Chordata > Mammalia > Primates > Hominidae > Homo > Homo sapiens. The sequence continues at coordinate 63,950,746 of NC_000007.14, forward strand.
GACCCACACCCACTCCACTCTATCAGGGCATGTCTGGACCATATGTGTGTCTCTTTGTTGTTAAAAAAGAGAAAATGATTTAATTGGCTTTTTCTTTTGACTTCATAGAGCTGATTTATTATTAAAATGTTCATTTTATGGGTAAATATGCATGGAAATTTATACAAAAATGTTAATGATGTGAGAGTAACATTCTTACACTTTGTTTGATGATTATGGAGTTGCTATTTCACCTTTCCCTATTTTTATCTTTATGTTTATATGTTCAATGGAAAAACATCCAGTGAAGTCTCCTCAGTATGATAGACAAAAGTTGTGCAATCAATCATTGATAGATGCACAGTGAAGCGACTTCCAGTTCCCATTTGGAGCTAGAATTAAAAACTCCTGATGGTAAACTCACATGATGAGGAGTTATAGAATGCTATCATTTTCTACACGTCCATCTGCCTTCACAGTTGCTGTCTGAACTTGCCAAGGGAAAAAGTGGGCATATGTTTTCCTAAGACCTACTCTTCTCCATTTTATAGGTTTCTAGTTCGTGCTTTGTTCAGATTGCCCAGAAGCTGATGATCACAGAGAAGAGGTCATATTTGTCATGAGAAAGCTTTCCTGCACCAGGATTCAGTAAAGGCGTTTACCAGCAGGGCCCATGGTGCCTCCAGAGGCAGGATGGTGCTCAAAACCCATCACTGAGGCCAGGAAGTGAGGACAAAAGTTGAGGGCTGCCCATAGGAAAGAGAAAAAATGCTCCCTTTGGGTTTCCAAGTAGTTACTGCTTATTGTTGCATCAGTCTTGCTCCTGACCACGATGTGTTCCTTGTTCATTCTCCTTGGTATCCCACTGATTGTGCATCTATGAAAAAGAAGACAGGATCGGGGGTGGTGCAAAGAACAACTGCATCCTTCTAGAGCTGATGCCCTGGTGAGCTCTGAAGCACACTTAGCAGAGCCTGAAATCTACTCTCCCTGTGGGGTATGTTGTGAAAAAAAATCCCCATCTACTCCCATGGGAATGGCAGCAGGTTCAAGAGGCTGAGGAAGGGACCCAGAGCCAGTGAATGAGATATGGAGATTTACTGGGGGCTTACATAGAGGGGAGGGAGTCTAGTGTCAGTGGGCTGAGCAGGAGAACCACACTCACTTGCAAAATGCATGCAGTTTGTATAGCATTTTTATTTAGCACCTTCACCTGAACAACCTTCACCAGGCAACCTTCGTTTAACACAATGTGAAGGGCTTCAATATCCTGTATGGCCTGCATTCCATGGCCCAGGATGAGACAGGCCAGAAGCTCAGAGGTTCCTTATAGATAAATAGTGAATCTCCAGGTTGGCTGCTCCTAGATTCCTTAGCTCAGAACTCTGAACACTCATTCAGAAACATTTTCCATACAGGGTCAGTCTTCAGGTATGCCCAAGTCAAGTTACCATTGTCAACTGCATCTGCCATACAGGGTGGTTCAGGAAGTGGAGGCTGTTTCTACTGAGCATCTAGATTCAAAAGTTTGTGCCTCTTTCTACATCTCTGGGTTGATAGGAGCTTATCCAAAAGGCTTGAAGTTTGTACACATTGCTGGTGTGGTTTTTCAAGTGAATGAGATGGCTCTTTAGTTGGTGGGTTTCATTACTAAAACAGGTGTGACTGAATGTGTAAAGGCTGCTGGGGTGCTCCTTCTCCAGGTTACCATTGGACCATGAAATTCTGGGGCTCTTTGTTCCAGCCCAACTATTTTCCAAGATGGGACATGTCATGCTGAACCAGACCCTCAAATTGTGGCTTAGGGTGACCAGCCTGAAGCTGCCCTTTAAAGGGCAGAACTGCCAGGTCTGTGTCTTATTTTCCTTTTCATTCTGCTATATTCCTTGGTATGGAAGCCAGAAACGAGTCTGAGTATGTGAGAGCTCTATTCCTAGAGTTGGTACTATTGATACAAGTGTCAAGGTAGGTTGAGAGATCTCTCTTCCTGCCACAGCATGAATGAGCAGGAGGATTGTGACCCTTAGTGCTTGGCAAACCATAAGATGTGTGGGGTAGAGAAAGAGCTGGTATAAATGACAAGTTGCAGGTCAAATAATTGGAGGCAGAAAGAGGATGAGACCTACTTAGAACAGTACACACACTGCCTGGGTGCAGCAGAACAGTCAGGCCAGTTCTCTGATTTGGGCCTTGTGCCATGGAATGAACAGGCCCATTTCTGCTCTGGCCTCGGTGCTGAGTTATTTGGTTCTGGAACCAAATGTGAATTCTGGACTCTGGAATGCCAGTTGGGTTTCACAGGCCAGTAGAGTGAGGAGGCCCAGGTGGGCCCACAAGAGTGACTGTGGGTGGGCTTACCACACATGAGTGGTGGCTTCTACATCAACACTCACAAGGAAGAGGGATCTTCTCCCAGTTTCAGACAAGCCCAGGAAGGTCAGAGGCCTATGGAGGCCAGAGAACAAAGAAGGTAATGCCTCAGCCCAGTGCCTTTGCCCCACGTGGCTTATGGTTTTGGAGACTCAATTTGCTGATCAGGAAAATGAACTGACTGGCTGCTCACTCCACTCTCACCAGGCCACTGCACTGTGCCCATCATGCAGCTTGAGGTACGGCCTGTGCTTTGAAAGGCTGGGGAGTCTCTGGGATAAGTTCAGGGCCCTGAGAGGGTTCTACCCCCAAGGACCCCTCATGCCTACCCCTCTGTGCCCACCTGACAGCTCAGCATGTCTTCTGGATGCCACCTTCATTGTCTGCTCTGGCCAAGAGCATGTCTCCCCAGGAGAGCTGGGGGCCCAGGATCACTGAAGCCCAGGTGGGCTGTCCAGCCTCCCTCCAGTGCACAGCCTCAGGCAGCTGCTACCCAGGTTCCCTCCTGGAATGTGATCCCAGGGGACCACAACAGCACATTCTTTCCTAACCTATTTACTAATCAGTCACTTAATGTTCCAAGATGGATGTGGGCCCTGACACTTTTGATCCTTTCCCTAGCAAGGCTGCATTGGGGTTGCCACCTTGATTCCTCTGTTAAAAAAAAAAAAAGCTAGCGGGTGAGATAGGACCCAGGGGCCACGGACAGGACAGGGCACCCTCTAAGGCCCCCGTAGGCAGGAGGGCTCAGTGGAGTTCCAGGACCCTCTTCAAGGATGGTGCCCGTAGCCCCTCCCTGGACCTCCAAGAGGGTCAACTCCCTCTGCAACCTGCACCCACTAGTCTCTTGGAGGTGAGCATCCATCCATCTTTGTGCACATGGCTGTCTGCTTCATTTCCACTGGATAGTCTCCTTGGCAGAAACACCCAGGGAATCCTGGTGGGCCTGTGCCGGATGTTCTGTAAGTACTAAGGTCAGTAAGAGGGGCTTGAAAACTCAAGAATATAATTAATATTATTTTCTGCACTTTACTATCTCAGGGTTACTTTCCCTCCAAAATGTGTAAAAACAAATAATTGAGATCTCTATCCTTTACATTCTTTTAATTAAGTCATCATACAAACCTTTCATTTTCTTGAAATTTATTTTTATGCCATTCATTAAATTTTTGTTTTCTTCATTCAAATTGTTACCTGTTTTAGAGACAAAATTTTTAACATTATATGCTTCACAAATTCTAATAGGAAATGGCATTTTATTTATGTAATTACTAATGTAATTAATAAGCGTATTAAAGAAGTAAATAATTGAAGTAAATTTAGTTTATATTATATGAATTATTTTACATTTTATCTTCTATCTTAAAAAAATTTTAACTAGTTATGCAATTCAAAATTGACAGATATTTTAACTCAGAACTTTAAACATAATATCCATTGATTTGTGAATTCTATGAAGATGTCAAAATATGAGTTAAAAATCTGTTGTTGCTTTGTAGTTAGCATTTTATATTTCAATGATTCTAAATCACTTCATTTTGGTGTTAAGCTTTTTAGTTATTATGATGTTTTTAGATATTTGTTGTACTTTCCTTGGTTGATATTTTATTAGTTCTTTAAAATGTTTAAGCATGCCATATTTTCTCTATTTTGTTCAAAAATCATTAGACAAGGCCAGGCGCGGTGGTTCACATTTGTAATCCCAGCACTTTGGGAGGCCAAAGCGGGTGGATCACCTGATGTCAGGAATTCAAGACCAGCCTGGCCAACATGGTTAAACCTCGTCTCTACTAAAAATACAAAAATTAGCTGGGTGTGGTGGCGGGCATGTAGTCCCAGCTACTCGGGAGGCTGAGGCAGGAGAATCACTTGAACCCGGGAGGTGGAGGTTGCAATGAGCCGAGATTGTGCCACTGCACTCCAGCCTGGGTGACAGAGTGAGACTCCAACTCAGAAACAAAACAAAACAAAAACCATGCAACAACAACAACAACAAACCATTAGACATAGCACTCTTATTTCATTTTTAACTTACTCTAACTTGTATATTTTCCACTCATTTTTCTCCTTTTCCTGGCATCTAAGTATTTCTTTTAGATCTTTCTTTTTTTTTTTTTTTTTTTTTTTTTTAGATGGAGTCTCGTTCTGTCGCCCAGGCTGGAGTGCAGTGGCGCGATCTCAGCTCACTGCAACCTCTGCCTCCCAGGTTCAAGCAATTCTCCTGCTTCAGCTTCCCGAGTAGCTGGGATTACAGGTACGTGCCACCATGCCCGGCTAAGTTTTTGTATTTGTAGTAGAGATGGGGTTTCACCGTGTTAGCCAGGATGGCCTTGATCTCCTGACCTCGTGATCCGCCCGCCTCGGCCTCCCAAAGTGCTGGGATTACAGGCGTGAGCCACCGCACCCGGCCTTTTTAGCTCATTCTTTTACTTATACTTTAGCTCATATTTTTTACTTTGCTGATATCCCTTATATTTATCTAAAAAAACTATGTATATATTTTTTCTTTTTGTATTTTTGTAGAAATGAGGTTATGCTATGTTGACCAGGCTAGCCTTAAACTCCTGGCCTCAAGTGATTCTCCCGTCTTGGCCTCCCAAAGTGCTGGGATTACAGGCACGTGCCACCATGCCTAGCTTACATATTTTCGGCGCATCTGCTTTGGAATTCCTTGACGTCTAGTTGTACAAGTATTTTATGATGTTATTTCTGAACAAAATTAATTTTTGTGTCCTTTAGTTTGCATATTTAAAAAAATTACATTGTGTGATTATACTTGACAAGTCTGAACTTAAAAGATTTTCAGTATCTTGGGTTGAGATTTTTTTCCCTCAAAAAAAATTGTCTGGAATTTTTGTTTTCTTCTCTACATGCATCTGGAAAACATTTAAATTAACTTATTAAATTTTTCTCTACAAAAACTCTGGGTCAATTCAAACCCCAATATATCAATACAGCTGGCCTTCCTTCCTACATCAGCCAAGGCACGGACTGACTAGTTTCACTATTTATCTCCCTTTGACTGCAGGCTGCATGCTCTATCTCATTTTTCTTAGATTTGCAGAACTTTGAGGCTTTTGGCTTTAGTTGGGCTGGTCAGGTTCATCCCCCTTACTTTGATTCTAGTGTGGCACCACATCTACCCCTGAGAGCTGTAAAAATCCAGGAAATGATGCCCCTATTATTATCAACCTATTGTAGGAAGCCTCACCCTGCCAGATGTACTGTCTCATCCTCCCTTCTTTCTGCTGCTTGTGCTTCTTCATTTATTTTATTTTATGTTTTTGAGGTGGAGTCTCACTCTGTCACCCAGGCTGGAGTGCATTGGTGCTATCTTGGCTCACTGCAACCTCTGCCTCCCAGGTTTAAGTGATTCTTCTGCCTCAGCCTCCCAAGTAGCTGGGATTACAGGCGCCCACCACCATGACCAGCTAATTTTTTTTTTTGTATTTTTAGTACAGAGGGGGTTTTACCATGTTGGCCAGGCTGGTTTCAAACTCCTGACCTCAAGTAATCTGCCCACCTCAGCCTCCCAAAGTGCTGGGATTACAGGCGTGAGCCACCATGCCCAGTCTCCTTATTTTTACTTTAGCATTTAGAACTAATCTCTGCAGTTAAGCACATGTTACATTGTCCAGCTGTTATGGTGTTTTTTCAAGAGAACTATTTTTAAACATGTAACTTTTCAGAATATTTCCAGAATCCCAGATAGCCACATTTACCTTTGGAGGAATTGATTATCAGAATAATCAACACAATTATCTTTAGAAAAATCATATGTCCCCAGGGAAAGTTCTAAATTTTTGGAGTGTGTATTGTGTGACATTTTTAGTAGAATGCAGTTATGACAATGTTACCATATGTTTCAAATATAAAATACTTTCTGTTATGTATTACATAAGGATTTTATGTGATCATGCCTTTTGCTGGGGAGAATGCACCTGTGTCTTGTTAAAATTGTTGATAATAATATTTTTATTGCTAATAAGAAAATTAATAATACCAAATCTTTTCATTCTCAACAGTACTACTCTTTTTGATCCTAGTTTCCACTTTTATCATATGCAATAGAAACATTTTTAGAAGTGTTTTCTTCTAGGTAAATAAATTATCTTTATTATGTATTATTAATTTTTTAAAACCATTAAGTAAGGAATATAAGTATGTCCTCTATTATACCTTACTGGAATGTGTGAAATTTTTATAGATGCCCTGTAGGAGAGGTTAAGCAAGATTTTTCTATTCCTAGATTTCTGGAGGCATTATTGTTAACGAGTAATGAATTTTGTCAAATGCTTTTGTGTGTCTACTGAAATCATTATGGCTTTGTCCTCTGTTCTATTAATATGGTATATTACATTGACTAATATTTGAATATTAAAATAAATTTGCATTGGTGAGATAATTCCACTTGGTCATGTTGTCTAACATTCTTATGTGTTGCTGAATTCAGTTTTCTAGCGTCTTTAAAGATTTCTGGCCGGGTGCGGTGGCTCACGCCTGTAATCCTAGCAGTTTGTGAGGCCAAGGCAGTGGATCACGAGGTCAGGAGTTCAAGACCAGCCTGACCAACATGGTGAAACCCTGTCTCTACTAAAAAATACAAAAATTAGCTGGGCGTGGTGGTCTGTGCCTGTAATTTCAGCTACTCAGGAGGCTGAGGCAGGAGAATCACCTGAACCTGGGAGGCGGAGGTTGCAGTGAGCCGAGATCGCACCACTATACTCCAGCCTGGGCGACAGAGCAAGACTCCATCACCAAAAGAAAAAAAAAAGATTTCTGTGTCTATATTTATGAGGAATAATGGTTTCTCATTTTTTTCTTTGATGCTTTCATCTGGTTTTGTTTTCTGGGTGATACTGGCCTCAACAAATGAATTGTTTTCTTTCCCCTTTTATATTTTGCAGGTGTTTGTGTAGCATTCCTATTAATTATTCATTAAATATTTAGCAGAATTTACCAGTGAAGCTATCTGAACCTTTTTTATGGGAAGGAATTTTATTAACCTCTTTACCTGTTGTAAGTATATTAATATATTACCTTTCTTCTTGGATTAATTTTGATAATTTGTGTTTATCTGCAAACTTGTTTCTAATTTCTAGTATTTCATGCCTGTAGATTTTCCTGGAGGTTGAGATGTAAGAATAAAAAAAATGATGTTGAGAGAATAAAGCTTTGGGTAATTCATGAATGATCGAATATCTCATGATCTTCTGTTGTAAGATGGAGAAGCTTATTCTTCATGCTGTACTTAATATTCACATTTATATTGTAAAACAAATATGATATTCTATCTAAAGTGAACTAGGAAGATATGTTAGTTAACTTTGTGTTTAATCAGGATGGAAGTCTGAGTCTACCTTCTCTCTTCCATGAATATGTAGTCAGGACAGAAACATAATTTGAATAAGGACAAACACAAAATGATGGTAAGTGGAGAAGCATACAACAGATTAAAATGTGATGAAACAGCACTGAACACGTACATAGAGTTCACAATGTGTTACGCACTATTCCAAGTCATTTGCACATACAGTTTTAATGCCTGTAAGACTAAAATAAACAACACAAACATTCATGTAAATGAGAAATTGAAACATTAAAAATAATATTAGGTGACATTAAACTGTCATAAAAATAAACTGTTTTCATATACAACAAATAAGTTAACATAAAGAGTGCACATTAACATTTTAAGACAGTTTGGGCTGGGCGCGGTGGCTCACACCTGTAATTCCAACACTTTGGGAGCCCGAGGTTGGCGAATCACCTGAGGTCAGGAGTTTGAGACCAGCCTGACCAACATGGAGAAACCCCGTCTCTACTAAAAATACAAAATTAGCCAGGTATGGTGGCACATGCCTGTAATCCCAGCTACTCAGGAGGCTGAAGCAGGAGAATCACTTGAACCTGAGAGATGGAGGTTGTGGTAAGCCAAGATCATGCCATTGCACTCCAGCCTGGGCAACAAGAGTGAAACTCCATCTCAAAAAAAAAAAAAAGTCAGTTTGATTAGTTATCAGATAAACAAATGGATAGCATTATAAACCTGTATAAAGAGCATACATATTATTTTCTTATTTTCAAATTCCATAGAAAATATTTAAAATTTTAAAATGTTGGATTCAAAATTATGTCAGTAACTTCATGAAAGTAGACATTCAATAGGTCATATTGTTTAGACATTGTGAAATGACATCAGAAGCCGTGAATTAGAGTGCAACCCATAGACAATATCTAGCCACAGACAAGTTTAAGACCAAGTTGAATAATTATTGAATTTCAAAGGAAATTCATACTGAGGTTAATTTAGAGATTCAATGACATGCCAAGAAAGAAGCATTGAGACTGGAACCAAATCACCAAATATTGCATAACAAATTCTACCAGTACTAACTTACTGTTAAAGACAGAAACATTCATTTTAGCCATGTGCAGCTACTAATATTTTCACATATTAATAAAGTAAAGTAATCACACTGTTATGTGTGCAGTGTGAATGTTTGTGCATCCCTACAATGCCAAATAGGGCTAAAAAAAGTCAGGACTTTGCAGGAACACAAATAAGAAAAGATTCAAAGGAGTTGTCAACATGAGAAGCCAATGGTTAATCACAAAGCAAAACTGATAATCTTGTGCCAGGTCAAGGAGAACAAACAAATAAAATATACAGACTGCATATATTTATAAAAAAAGATCTCCAAAACGTGAGATCTAAATGATAAATTATGACATATACAAGCAAATAAGTTCTCAGAATTTTTTTTTATTATACTTTAAGTTCTAGGGTACATGTGCACAACATGCAGGTTTGATACATAGGTATATATGTGCCATGTTAGTTTGCTGCACCCATCAACTTATCATTTACATTAGGTATTTCTCCTAATGTTATCCCTCCCCCAGCCCCTCCCCCCGTGACAGGCCCTGGTGTGTAATATTCCCTGCCCTGTGTCCAAGTGATCTCATTGTTCAATTCCCACCTATGAGTGAGAACATGCGGTGTTTGGTTTTCTGCCCTTGTAATAGTTTGCTGAGCTTGATGGTTTCCAGCTTCATCCATGTCCCTGCAAAGGACATGAACTCATCTTTTTTTGTGGCTGCATAGTATTCCATGGTGTATATGTGCCACATTTTCTTAATCCAGTCTATCGAGTTCTCAGAATCTAGAGTAAGAAGAAATTGAATGTTACATACATTTATAATATTAAAATTGTATTTAAAATGTTTAAATCAATTAAATGGTAAAATAAGAAACCAAAATAATATTGAAAGAGGAAAACACTTTATTTATTTATTTATTTATTTTTGAGACAGTGTCTCCCTCTGTCATCAAGGCTGGAGTGCAGTGTCTGCAATCTCAGCTCACTACAACCTCTGCATGCTGGGTTCAAGCAATTCTCCTGCCTCAGCCTCCTGAGTAGCTGGGACTACAGGCATGTGCCACCATGCCCGGCTAATTTTTGTATTTTTAGTAGAGATGGGATTTCACCATGCTGGCCAGGTTGGTTTCAAACTCCGGACCTCAGGTGTTCTGACCGCCTCAGCCTCCCAAAGTGCTGGGATTACAGGCGTGAGTCATAGCGCCTGGCTGAAGAAGAAACTTAAAAGTTGAAGAGTGTATGTGGAAAGAGCCAAATGTAAATTGAATGAAAGAAAAATAAAATTTATAAATTTGGATATACATTGTATGGGTTAACTATTAACTTATAACAAGCCAATGAGAGAAACAGCTAACTGGGAGATTAAGCAGAGCAAATCTATGGTAATTAAAGACAAACTGATATAAAATGCAAATATATTTACAGATCTATAAAGACTAAAACTAGAAGGAATAAAATATACTCAATTGCTTTACAAAAATATATTTCAAAAATAGAACACAGTTTTAGTCAAAAAAAATTTTTTTGGAAAATTAAAAGCCAGAAATAAATTATTGAATGTAGAAATGCAAAGTTTTCAACAAAAAAGCAAATAAAGGTAATAATTCCAGCAGAAATAATAGTCAAACTGTGTAACATTAAAGGGACAGAAAAAACCGACAAGTAGGGAGATGGAAAACAGAAGTAAACCACAAATTTGTGAGCATCATTTCTACAGTCTCGATAGAAGCCAGAACACAGAGAAATATATATTGAGTGTAAGAATTTAATACTCAGCCAAATATTTTTAATAAATAAAGACAAGCCTGTAATCTCAGCACTTTGGGAGGCTGAGGTGGACAGATCACCTGAACTCAGGAGTGAGACAAGCCTGTGCAACATGGAGAAACCCTGTCTCTAACAAAAAAAATTAGCCAGGTGTGGTAGCATGCACCTGTAGTCTAAGCTACTCAGGAGGCTGAGACAGGAAGATCACTTGAACCTGGGAGCTTGGAGGTTGCAGTGAGCTAGATCACCCCCACTGCACTCCAGGCTGGGTGACAGGGCAAGACTGTCTCCAAATACATACATACATACCTACTAAAAAATTATCCAAAATACCAACATGGAGAGATTTTATTGCCAGAAAGATATTCTTTTTTTTTTTTTCTATTTTATTTTTATTCTTTTGGAGGCAGAGTCCCATTCTGTTGCTCAGGCTGGAGTGTAGTGGCATGATCACGGCTTACTGCATCCTTGATCTCCTGGGCTCAAGTGATCCTCCCACCTCAGCCTCCTGAGTAGCTGAGACCACAGGTATGCACCACCACACCAGGCTATTTTTTTTCTTTTCATTATTTTTTGTAGAGCTGGGGTCTCTCTATGTTGCCCAGGCTGATCTTGAACTCCTGGGCTCAAGCAATCCTTTCACTTTGGCCTCCTAAAGTGCTGGATTATGGGCATGAGCCACCGTGTCTGGCCTCTTGCTTCCAGGTGAGGAGCAGCACAGGTACTCCACTGAGAGTGTATTAGGCCAGAGCCCAAGCCTACTGAATGAGAATCCTTTTATGAGAAAATTATGCCTTGGAGATTCTTATCAGTCTCTCTCAGGAAGTAGACATTTTCGTTCTCACAAACGCTGTTTTTAATAGAATTTAAAGGCTGAACGCAGTGGCCCATGCCTATAATCCCAGCACTTTGAGGCCCAGGCAGGAAGATCACTTGAGGTCAGGAATTCGAGATCAGTCTACGCAACACAGTGAGACTCCGCATCACTTTGGAGGTCCCCTCGTGGTCGCCAAAATGTTACCGGGGGTCCTTGTTCACAGCGCTCCCAAGATGGTGGTGAGCCACTTCTAAGATGGTGGCGGGTGGCTTCCAAGATGGTGGCAAGCCTTATGTTCTCTGACCTGGGATTCTTGGCCTCATGGATTCCAAGGAATGGAATCTTGAGCCATGCAGTGTTATAGCTCTATTAGAAGCTGTGGGTCACAGAAGAGAACAGTGGAACCCAGTGACTAGTGTTCAGCTCGATTAGGACGAACCCAGGCACTTAGCCCTGCAGGAACAATGGCAGCCTTCAGCACGATCGGGAGTGGCAATGGGAGTCTCGTTGGATCCGGAGCACAGCGGACACCCTGCCGGATCTGGAGGGATGGGAGTCAGTGGCGGGATGGGAGTCAGCGGCAGGTCTGCGACAGTGGCAAACAGCAGTGGTGGACAGCCAGCGAAAGCTCAGCTCTAGCCGTTAACAAACATGGACCAGAAGAGCGCAGTGCAAGATTTAATAGAGTGAAACAGAGTGAAAACAGAGCTCCCATACAAAGGGAGGGGACCCAAAGGGGGTTGCCCCAGAAAGATATTCTTAATATAACACTTCAGAAAGAATAAAAACTTTTCTATATTAAGGCCCGAAAATCAAAATGGAAGAGGAAGACACTTGTAAACAGATGGGAATATCAAACGATTATATATATATTAAACGAGAGAAACCACAAACAATTGGCACAGTTTTAAAAATATTTAGAAATATTGAAAGTGTAAATCCATATATTTAAGTTAAATTAGATAGCAGGTTCTGTGCTACTTAAATAACTTAACTGGTGAGAGAATAATCTGTTTTCAATAAAAAGAAAACTGAAACTTCTGTCTCACAGTTTGCATCACATTGGTTATTATTTTTTTTTTTTTGAGGGAGTCTCGCTCTGTCGCCCAGGCCGGAGTGCAGTGGCGCGATCTCGGCTCACTGCAAGCTCCGCCTCCCGGGTTCACGCCATTCTCCTGCCTCAGCCTCCGGACTAGCTGGGACTTACAGGCGCCCGCCACCATGCCCGGCTAATTTTTTGTATTTTTAGTAGAGACGGGGTTTCACTGTGTTAGCCAGGATGGTTTCGATCTCCTGACCTCGCGTGAACCGCCCGCGTCAGCCTCCCAAAGTGCTGGGATTACAGGCTTGAGCCCCCGCACCCGGCCACATTGATTATTCTTTTATCAGATCTGAGGAACACCAAAGGACTGACAGTGGCATATACGGTGCACACAAGCCTCTGGACACCCAGGACAACAGGGTCATATGCCCATAGTGAGGCTGAGGAGAATGAGATGATGAAATCGACCGAGTACACGACCACAAAGAAACTCACTAGCAGCAGGATGGTCTGAGTGGCACTCTGCTCTGGGGAAGGTCTTGGGGAGAGGCAGGTGCTGTGAAGGTACCAGGATTTCTTCTGATGGCTGAGCAAAAGAACCACCATGTATGCACTTGAAAGCAGCATCGGTCCTGCAAGAAAAACATATCTGGATAATGACAGAATAAGAAACAGTCCTCTGACCTCTGATGGTGGACTTCATGGGAAAAGCGAGCAGTATTTACTGAAATGCAGAAGATTGCTCAAGGTCCCACCTTATTCAGGTGAAAAAGATACTTTATACTTGAAGTCATTCTGAAACTACAGTGACTCAAACAGACCTGGAGACAACAGTGAAACCACAGCCAGGAGCATCACTATGTGGATGAGGGTCAGGTGACAGAAGGTCACGTCAGTGGCTTAGGCCTCTGATCTAGAAAAAGTGTGAAGACATGGAATAGAAGGAGGAAACTGTTGGTTGAGATCCCAATGCCAGCTTGAAAAAAGAGGCATTTTTAAAATGGAAGCAGTGGAATGTAATAATCTAAATTGTAAAAAGACACATATTTTGAATATCTGAAAATAACAGACTTCATATCATATTATTTATTGTATGTTCAAAATCATCACTATCATGTTTTTATCTCACTAAATTTTTTTGATAAATCCTATTACATAAATTTTTAAAAATACAGTCTCATCATTATTTTATACACCATCTACTATCATCTATCTATCTATCTATCTGTCTATCTATCTATCTATCTATCTATCTATCTGTGTGTATACTGGGAATATATATATTGTTTGTGTGTATATAAATTATATATATAAAATTTAAAAATTCTTTCTAAAAAATCTGATTGACTCTCTCATATCACAGAATTCAGTTTCTCAGTCTCTCTTTCACATTTCAGGACTCTTGTGATTACCTGAGGCCCAAACTCATAATTTAGTTGGTGGCCCCCCAAATTAAAAGCTGTCATTTGTATTTAAATGTTCACTTAGACCCTTCAAGTTTGTTGTGCTCATTGGTGCGCATAGTTTCGTGATGACCCCAGCTGCACCCCTGGCCTAGCTGGCTGCCTGGTCTGCCATGCAGACCAGGCCATGCCTTTGCTCTAGCTCAGCTCTCAGGGGCTCCTGTGGGCTCCCACACGTTGGCCTGAAGTCTAAGCATAGCACCTGGGCATGCAGAGGTGCACACCACACCGTCAATGCAGATGCAGTCAGGTGGCCTTGGGTCTGGTGTTGCCCATTCTAAACTTTTGATAGCTAGATAGTATTCTATTCTACAGGTATACTTTTTCCCTTTGATTAGCTAGTAGTTATTTGCATTGTTTCTACTTTGGGTTACTATGAATACTGCTGTTATGAGCATTCATATGAGTCTGTGTTGACATGGGTTTTCAATTATTCTGGGAAAATTTCTGGCAGTAGAACTGCTGGATCATATGATAATCCTACATATGACACTCTGAAAAGCCACCAAATCGTTTCTCAAAGTGACTGCATTAGCTTACGTTTTTATGGGCAATGTACAGGGAGTCTGTATTCTGCCCCTCCTTGCTATCGTTATTGTCGTCTATTGTTTGGTAAGAGCATTCCAGTGGATGTAAAGCTGTATGGTATTGTAGTTGTATGGCATCTTTTTGCAGAAACACATTTTGCATTTTCAATAGTTTATCTTTTTTTAATGAGTAGTAAGAGAAGCTTTTGTCTGGATAGAAGCCCATTCTTAGATGTATCCCTTTAAATATTTTATTCCTTCTGGTGGCTTCTCTATTTGAACAGATGAATATACAAAGAGATAACAGCCAGTCTATATAGAAAAAGATAACTCTGAATACAAACTACAATAACCAGTCCCAAACAGCCAAGTTCAAATCAATAAGTCACAGCTGTTCTGTTGCCTCTTTTTCCAAATTAGAACTAAACTGAGAAAGCCAAGCATACATCCTCACCAAGTAAATGGGATATTGTTTCTGGTTAGCCCTCCTACAGCTTCCCCGTGTCAACAGCCTCCAATAAAGGCCCATCTGAAGTCATGTCTTTTTTCACTATAAAGCTTTCCCACTCTTCTGCTGGTTTGAGTCTCCACCAAACATAAGTGATGGTGGCTAATTCCCCTCCTAGGGCAAAGCTAAAATACATAGTCATTTCTTGTTTTCATTTGGCTGATCTCCATTTATTTTTTTTATTATTATAAGTGTCACTGAAATTTCTGCTGCACTAACCTACTTGAGTCACACTGATGGTGATGGCATGGAAGTCACTAAAGAGGGAAGTGGTGTTAACGGTTCCACCTCTGCCCATTCTGTGAACACAGGAAAGCAGTTTGCATCCAAAATTACTAATGAAATGTTTCCATTTTCAAGGTGCCATGATTTCTGAGACTTTTCTAAAGAGAATGATCAAGAATTTGCTGTAGTTAAGTGACAAAGAATATACCTGTGGACTGTAAACTGCACTCATAAAAATAAAAAGGATATAGTACAAAAGTGAGAAAATCTCTAAGACTCCAATATCAATCTGGAAAAGAAAAATCTTTCCAAATCTTAAATCCACAGAGGTTTTTCTTCTTGTTCAACATTTAACAAACACACTCAAAAATAAAAGATTCTGCATAAAAACATAAGTTATCTTATAAGCATTTCATTAAAAAATTCAAACTCCATCACTTCCCATTACCTCTCAAATATTTATTTCTAAGATATATTTTCTTTTAACAGCTTTCCAAATTCTGATGTGCTTCTACATATAGTGCTCACAATTTATGGCCTACCGTTATTAATGTTTTAACTATTCTAACTAATTTTATATTTGCCACACTTTGTGTTGGGATCTAATAACATTTTTCTTTTACAAAAGATGCTGATTGATTTAAGATTCTGGTCTGTGGAAAGTGCATCATTCTTCTTATCTCAATTAGTTGATGCATTTACATCACTTAATGGTGCATTTACAACCCATAAATGACCTTAAACTTTCCAGTTTTTTTTTAAAGCATTTTACTGATTACAAAATTCCAAATATGTCACCAAAACCTACAAGTACTGTGTGAAATGACGCAGGCTGGGGAGAACAGTGAGAAAGCTGTAGCCATACTACAGGCAAATAAGGTAAAAGGCTGTGATACCTATGTAGCTGGAGATGAATATAAAGAAATAGAAATAGACTAACAATATTTACAAAGTGAAAGAAACAATACTTTCTTCTAAATGTAGAGAGTCACTTGTGCAGCATGGGTACAGCTATTTTCTCTTCATAGGCAGAATCAATGTCATTTCTTCACTATAGGTTTTTCAATCTTTCACCTGAGGCCACAGGCTAACTTTAACAAGAATATTCATTATTAATTATTTAGCTTCTAGTACATAGCTAGCATTGTCCTGTGTTTGTTTACTTTATATATATGCCAAAAAGACCTCATGACTTATGAAGCCTCCAACTGTTTACTTGAATGAGTTGGCCCAATAAATTCAATAAACTCAATTATGCCCATTTTAAAAAGTAAAACGAACAATAACTAAACAAAATTGGATTAAACAGCATTCCCTAATTGAAAGAAAAATATACAACACATGAACTAAATAACATATAATAATACACTCACTGTGAAATTACTTACATCTTAAAATTATTTTGTGGACACCATTAAATTTTATAAAAGTCAATTTTATAATCCTAAGGGGATAATATAAAAAATACTTCATGAAATTTGACAAAAAGATAATTATATATTAGGTCTAGGGCAACAGGCAAATAAACAGAAAACAAAAATCTGCATAAGATTCTAAGCCAGGAGCAATAATATTTTAGATAAATGAATTCAATATAAAGCAGAGAAAATAGGTTTGCTTTCAAAATCTTTGAAGTTTCTGGTTGGCTGGTTAATTATCAATACTTGTAACATTATCTTTTTTATTGTAATATTTTTCTTTTCTTCTCAAAGTAGGTACACAGCTATACACAAATATATTACTTTCTCCATAAATCTGTTACACCTAAAGTTTATTTTAAGTGACACATCTGTATATTTAAATCCATGTAAATCAAAACTAAAGGTCTGTATGTGTTTTGCAGACTAGTCACATGTTCAACAACAAAAAAATGTAGGATAAAATTTTGTAAATAGTTGTTCAGAATTCAGAAACATATAGCTCCATTATACTTGTATAATCTTTTTTATAACCATCATAGTTACCTGTAGTTACAAAAAGAAAAAAATAAAAATGCAATTTGTAGGAAAAATATTCTCCAAATTGTTTGAAGTTTAAGGCCACTGACAAAAGGAATCACTACACATGTTATTCCATTGTCACCCAATAGTATATTGTCACCATCTGTTACCTACAACCTTGAGTAAGATAGAATAAGTTAACGTCAGTGACAAGATACATATTCAATGTAAAACACATTAAATACAACTTTAATTAAAACAAATTAAGTTGGCCAGGCGCAGTGGCTCACTCCTGTAATTCTAGCACTTTGGGAGGCTGAGGCGGGTGGATTGCCTGAGCTCAGGAGCTCGAGACCAGCCTGGGCAACACGGTGAAACCCCGTCTCTACTAAAATACAAAAAATTAGCCTGGTGTGGTGGCGTGTGCCTGTAATCCCAGCTACTTGGGAGGCTGAGACAGGAGAATCGCTTGAACCCGGGAGGCAGAGGTTGCAGTAAGCAGAGATTGCGCCATTGCACTACAGCCTGGGTGACAGTGCGAGACTCCGTCTCAAAACAAAAGACAAAAAACAAAAACAAATTAAGTTCACATTGTCATATAAAAGTATTTTGAAATTCACTGTATTTTAATTACCTTAATGTGCAAATGGTAAAACAATTTACTTCTAAAACTAAAAATGTTTCTCTTACTTTAATGCAGAAGGGCATAACAAAACGGTATAGGATTAACGATCCTAAATGTGTATGCACCCAACACAGAAGCACCCAGATTCATAAAGCAAATTCTTAGAGAGCTTCAAAGAGACACGGACTCCCATACAATGATAGTAAGAGAATTTAACACCCGCTGACAATATTAGACAGATAACTGAGACAAAAAATTAACAAGGATATTTAGAACCTGAATTCAGCACATAGTCAAATGGACCTGATAGATATATACAGAACTCTCCACTCAAAACAACAGAATATACATTCTTCTTATCACCACAAACACATACTCTAAAATCAGTCACATAACTGGAAATAAAACACCCCTCAGCAAATAAAAAAAAAACTGCTATCACAGCAATATCTTGAACCACCAAATTCAAAATCATGACTAAGAAATTCAGTCAAAACTATACAATTACATGGAAATTGAATAACCCTGCTCCTGAATGACTTAAGAGTAAATAATAAAATTAAGTCAGAAATAAAAAAGTTCTTTGAACCTAATGAGAATAAAGATATAATACAACAAACCAGCATCTTTGGGACACACCTAAGCCAGTGTTTAGACAAAAATTTATGATACTAAATGCCTACATCAAAAAGTTAAAAAGGCCTCAAGTTCACAACCTCACATCACAACTAGAAAACCAAGAACAAACAAATCCCAAAGCCAGCAGAAGACAAGAAATAACTAAAACTACAGCTGAGCTGAAGGAGACTGAGACATGAAAAACCATTAAAAAAGTCAATAAATTGTGGAGCAGAGGTAAAAAATCTACACTTCAACATTAGAAAAAATATATAAGAAAATCAAAAAGCTAAGCAAATTTCAACTAAAATTAACACAAAGAGATTCCTAACAAGATACAATATAGGCAATATTTTGAAAGTCACAGACAAGAAAAGAATCTGGAATGCAGAAAGAGAAAAGAGATGTGTCATTCATATTCATCCTCCTGCAAAATTACCAGTAAATTTATGAACAGAAGAAATATTTCAGGCAAGAAGAAAGTTGGATGCTATAGTTAAAACACTGAAAAATACAAAAATGTCCAACCAAGAATACCATATCCAGCAGAAGTATTCTTTTTTGTTTTGTTTTGAGAAGGAGTCTTGCTCTATTGCCCAGGCTGGAGTGCAGTGGTGCCATCTCGGCTCACTGCAACCTCCGCCTTCCAGGTTCAAGCTCCTGCCACAGCCTCCCGAGTAGCTGGGATTACAGGCACCCAACACCACACCCAACTAATTTTTGTATTTTTAGTAGAGAGGGGGTTTCACAGTGTTGGCTAGGCTGGTCTTGAACTCCTGACCTCAAGTGATCTGCCCACCTCGGCCTCCCAAAGCGCTGAGATTTCAGGCATGAGCAACCATGCCCAGCATATCCTTTAAAATACGGTAAAAAAGAGATTTTTCCAAGATGACCAAATGCAGAAAAATGTATCATCGGAAGAACTTTCCTACAACAAATGCAAAAAGGTCCCTCCCATTGAAAATAGTGTATCCTATAAAAGAAGAAAAAATCATGTAAAAATACATAACTCTGGAAAAGATACACACATACACCAAAATAAAAATGTACTATACTATAATGATGATTCAAATAGCACTTTGAATTTGGCTCTAAAATTTGAACAATGTGTTTCAGCTAGTTCCTAATTTGTTAAACAAACAAACTGAAAAAGACTTTAAATAATAAAAGCATAAAAATAATTTTAAAAACTATTAATGTATATGCAATATAAAATATATTATTAGTGGTGTTGATAAAAAGGGACAGGTGTAATGAGTATCAATTTTTGTGTGCTACTAAAGGTAAGTTGTTACCAGTTTAAAGTAAATGGTAATGTTAAAAGGATTTATGTAATTCCCATGTTAATTACATTGAAAATAATTGTAGAGATAAAAAGTTAAGTTGAAGTAAAAGCATGTTACTAAATATAGAAAGACAGGAAAAAAGAAAAACAGAGACAAATTAGCTCAAATAGCCAAATAATAAAATGATAATAGTATGTTTTCTTTTAGAAAATTATTTAAATATTCATGAACTAAACTTCCTAATCAAAACACATACATGAATATATAGGAATTTTTTGAAAACTAAAAAAAAATTAACTATATCATGTCTCCAAGGGACTCACTTCAGATCTAATGAAAACAATAGACTGAAAATGGGAGGCTGGAAAAAACATTCCAAAGAAGTGTTAAGCAACTGAGAAAAGGAGAGGCAACAATTATATTGTCAAAAACTGTCATATTTTATATAATTTACTTTAAGTCGAAATTCACAAGAGACAAAGTAGGATGTTAACTTATAATAAGAGGGTTCATTCACTGAGAAACTATAAATATATCTGACATCAGTTTTCCCAAACACATAAAGCAAACATTGAAAGAATTGAAGCAAAAAATAGACAGCAGTATTATAATGGTAGGATACTTAAATATCCCGCTTTTAGTAATGAATAATACTGAATACATAGGGATTTTTGACACAAGACAGAATATTAATAAGGGAACAAAAAACTTGAATGCACTATAAAACAATTACACTTAACAAATGTATACAGACAGCAAAATACACATTATTTTCAATAGCTCATAAAACATTTTCCTAGACAGACTGCTTGTGACACCACAAAACAAGTACCAGCAAATTTTTTAAAACTGAAATTTTACAGAGTATTATTTATAGCCCAAATGGAATGAAACTAGAAATCAGTAACAGAAGGAAAACTAAAAAATTAACAAAATATAAAAATTAAACAACATGGCTGAGCACAGTGGCCCACGCCTGTAATTCCAGCACTTTGGGAGGCCAAGGCGGGTGGATCACGAGGTCAGGAGTTCAAGACCAGCCTGGCCAACATAGTGAAACCCCGTCTCTACTATAGATTAAAAAAATTAGCTGGGCATGGTGGTGTGCGCATGTAATCCCAGCTACTCAGGAGGCTGGAGCAGCAGAATTGTTTGACCTGGGAGGCGGAGGTTGCAGTGAGCCGAGATCATGCCATTGCACTCCAGCCTGGGTGACAGGGCAAGACTCCACCTCAAAAAAATAAATAAATAAAAATAAAATAAAAAAATAAACAACACACTCAAGCATGCTTTTGTTCAAGAGCTGGAAGACATAATGCTGTGAAGATATCCATACTGCCCAAAGTGACCCACACATTCAACATAACCCTTTTCAATTACCCAAGAAGAAAAATACTGCAAGCATTACACTTAATCATTTCAAACACAAAACTAAAGCAGAGTAATCAAAGCACTTTGGTACCAGTATAAAGGCAGAACACCAAAGCAATGTAACTGAATGCAGCACGGATATAAACTCTTGCATATATGGTCAAGTGAGTTATTTGCTCACCATTTACTGAAGCATTATCCACAAAAGCCAATAGGTGAAAGAAATTTAAACTTTTTTTTTTACCAGATGAACAGATGAATATAATTTGGAATACAAAAAATGGAATATTATTCAGCTTTTTAAAAGCAGAAAATCTAATACGTGTTATAAAGACAAATTTCGAAGACATTATGCTAAATTTAATAAGGCAGCCATGGCCACAAAAATACTGTATGAGTCTATTTACATGGAATATCTAAAGTAGTTATACCCTTAAAAAAGAAAATAGAATAATGTTTGTAAAAGGCAGGGCAATGGGAAAAATGAGTAGTGGATTCACATGTATTGCATATTGCTTTTACAAGAGTAAAAATGTTTTAGAGATATGTTGTTAACAATGTCAATATACTTAACATAACTAAACTATATAATGGAAAATATTAAAGATTACACATTTTGTAATGTATGTTTTACATTAAAAATAAAAATATCATTGACTACCCACCAAAAAAAGCAAATACACAAGTCATAAAATAGGGGTAATATTTATACAGGCAAACAAACATAGAAATAATTGTATTGGCAATAGATGTATAGCTGGTTAATATATGTCAATGTTTAAACATTGTCCTAATGTGTACAGAGTTGAATATTGGCATACAAAATTATAATACATAAATAAAACTAAAAACACAATTAATCGGACATAGCCTAATCTAAAACATGAGACAAAGGAATGTAAAATGATAGAACAAATTTCAACAAAAAAATTAACCAAAAAATACTGAATAAACATAGTGTACCACTAAAGAATTTTTTTCAGGTATCTACAATTTTCAGCTATGACTGTACATTCACAAAAAGCACATATTTTGGTGTTTTTAAAGTTTCAACTTTTACTTTAGGTTCAGAGGGTTCATGTGTAGGTCTGTTACATGGGTATATTTTGTATTGCTAAGGTTTGGGGTACTACATCTACTACTCAGGTAGATAGCATAGTACCCAAGAGGTAGCTTTTCTCCCCTTGTCTCTTTCCTTCCCATCCTCCTCTAGTGGTCTGTAGTGTCCATTGTTTTTATCTTTACATCCATGTATACCCAATATTTAGCTCTCACTTATAAGTAAGAACATGCAGTATTTGGGTTTCTGTTTCAGCATTAATTTACTTCAGATAATGGCCTCCAGCAGCATCAATGTTGCTACAAAGAACATAATTTTGTTTTTTTTATGGCTGTGTAGTATTTCATGGTGTATAAGTACCACTTTTTTTTTTCAATCCAATCAACCACTGATGGGCATCTAGGTTGATTCCATGTCTTTGCTACTGAAGACAATAAGTTTGAATCGTTAGTATACAATTAGAGCAATAAAATTTCATAGAAAATCCATCATAATCATTCGTGAAAAGCTCTGATAAAATTTATTGGAACAGGCATTTAAATAATACTGGAGAAACTTCTTATGTCATTAATATTTTGCTGTTATTTTTAAATAAAATGTAAAAGCTATAATGTAACCTTTGGAAGCAAAGCAAAGCATTGCATTTCAAAATAATATAAACAACATAAATACGATACAATATGGTATGAAACACTAATATACAAAATGAACAATTAGAAATAAATTTATATAATCATTTAGATAAATTTTGAGAAAAGTGCATGAAAATGCTAACGATAACTTTTTGCATGCAGTAAACTAAAAAAAAAATCAAATATTTAAATAAATGTGGCATGCCTATTATCTAACTCACTTTTTATATAACATACATTCAAGCACATTATCTCAGAACTTGTGAAACTACAGGCAAAGTTGGCATACAGCAGATCAGAAAATGAAAATATATATAGGACACAATTTTACTAATCTTCATAGTAAAGAAAATAAAATCATAAAATAATAGTTATTAAGAAATACGTAACAATTGGAAATTTACTATATGCTGGGCAGTGTTCTAAGTAACCTATGGTATTAGTGTTTTTAAGAATTCTATGAGGTGAGTAGATAAAATCAACTTTTCTACCGTAGAGGTATTTATCATATTGCATTTAAATTTCTAAGCTTGGTTTCTACTAAGAAAAAGATACTTTTAAAGTAAAATAGATGTTTAGATTTTCTTGTACTTAATTAGATGCTTTGTGCTCTGATGAAAGTTTTCAGTCTCATTTTCTAAATGATCAGCTGACTGAAAATTATAAAACAGAAAACAAAGGATATCTGTCTCCGGTGTCTCTGGAATCTCTTAACCAAATCCCGATGTCTCCCTTACTCCTCTCACAGATGTCTAACACAAGGCACAAACAGATCTTTTAAAACAGCTTAACATAGTGGTCTCCAAAAATGTGCACAAATTTTCCTAGGTCCCTCAAAGAAATGGAAAAGGAGTCAGATTATATGGGTCCTCATATTATAAAAAGAGGAGTTTGCCTCTCACTATGAACGCATAGATCATTGAATGGACAGAAGACTTAGAGGATTTAAGACCATAATAAGCATACATCAGAAACTTTTCCTCCATGACAGTAAGAGAAATATACCTAGGCTTTCAGAATCAATTCCACTGAAGCACAGCCTCCCAATCCACATTTTATTTTATTTTTATTTTATTTATTTATTTATTTTGAGATGGAGTCTCGCTCTCTTGCCCAGACTGGAGTGCCGTGGTGCGATCTCGGCTCACTGCAACCTTCACCTCCTGGGTTCAAGCGATTCTTTGCCTCAGCCTCCCGAGTAGGTGGGACAACAGGCATGTGCCACCACACCCGGCTAGTTTTTGTATTTTTAGTAGAGACAAGGTTTCACTGTGCTGGCCAGGCTGGTCTCAACCACATTTTAAACTCTGGTTTTCTCCTTCATCTTTGGACCTTTCACATGTGTTATCTGCTAAATCATTCACACATATCTGAGTGTATAACTATTCTTTCCTCTCTTTTCACATTTAAGGAATATTTTCTATGCTGCAGAAGGTAACCAGGTCTAGCATAAAGACTGTCCAACACAACCCTTCTTTCCCTGAACAGCAACTGAGCTAAGAAAAACACAACCAACTCCCGGTATCTCCCTAAGGAGAAAGATAGTACAGTGGATCCGTTCAAAGTTGTGGCATTTTAGTGGACTGTCTAATTACTACATTCTGTCTCCCTGAGAAGGTGAACACTTGTTACGATACTAAAGTAACTGCAATGCCACGGTCAACAGGGGAAGCAAAAGAATAGACAATCTGAAAAGAAAATGAAAGAAAAAATATTGTTAACTTGGAAATTACCCACAAAGGTCCAAAGACACAACTGAGAACATGTTTGTGAAGCACTGAAAATCTATTGCTTGGTTAGCTGCTATAACCAGTCTTTAAGCAAGTCTTTAAATATTAGATTAGATGTCTGTGTATAAGTTGCCAAATTTTATCAAAAGATCACAGGACATAAAAACAAGGCACCTGAAGAAACAAAATAAATCTTCAGAACTCAATCCTTAAGAAAAGATGATCTTTGCATTATCTGACAAATATGTCAAAATAATGATACTAAATATGCTCCAATAGCAAAAATAGAACACAGACAGAAAGCAAAATAAGAAAAATTATGCATAAAAATGAGTTAACAAAAAGATAAAAACTATTTTAAAAAGAACCCAGTAGAAATTGCCGAACTAAAAAAAAATTGTTATAAAGTTTACTAGAGTCACAATAGAGTTAATGAGACAGAAAAAACTAAAAACAGAAGACATTATTTATAAATATTGAGCCATGAAAACAAAAACATTGAGAAATATGAAACATTGGATACTATCAAGTAGACTAACATATTCATAAAAGGATTATTTGAAAAAGAATGCAGGGGAAGAGTGGTCGAGAGGTTATTTGAAGAGAAAAGGGACTAAGGACTTCCCAAATGTGAATGTGATCAAGAAAAAAATACTGCCGACCAAGGATACATAATCTGGGAGGCATTTACTTTAAAAATAATAAAAAAAAGACTTTCCAATATAAACAAAAGCTAATGGTGTTCATTACCCCCTAGAACAGTCTTATAAGAAATACTACATGGAGTTCATTATGTTGACAGACATGGTGGTTCACACCTGTAATCCTACCAACTTGGTAGGCTGAGGCAGAAAAATCACTTCAGGACAGGAGTTTGAGATCAGTCTAGGTAATATGGCAAGAACCCTTCTCAAAAAAGGAACCTTTATTATAATTTTGTTTCTAAGGGAGAAGGTTTTAAAAACCTGTTAATGCCAAAGACTAACTGGAGTCATTTTGAGAAGGCAGGCACTCATTCAAGTGACAAGCTTGAGAACCTTTGGTCTTGGCTACAAGGCAAGAAATTGTCCACCTATCTTGACCCCAACCAAAATTCTGCAGTGACTCTGTAACCATCTCCAGCTCCTTCCAGCCATCGTGTAAAAGTCTTGCACATTCAGAGACCTGGGGGAGATGCCTATTTGTGGTTATAGAGGTAGGCCTGCAGAACCTGGCCTTTACTGTGACAGTAAACATTTCAGTGACTCAGTTTCAGCACTCGTAGCCACAGTTCATGGCTAGTTCTGCCCAGTTAGGAACCCAAAGAGTAACCTGGGGAAACCCTGCCAGGTACTCAGGGAGAGTCACACTCAGCACTCACCCCACACCTCACATCAGATCCACCACATGCTGACTCAGCTGCAGAACACCACCCTAGTGCTGGCCCTGTGGATCAACGTCCTGAAGGCAATCCAGTCTTCCAAAAAATAAGAGAAGGTTAATAACTACCCAGGCTAGTGGTAACAAGCCCACTAATGGCAAACTCCACTCAGACCAAGAAGCAGTCACATGACCCACCTACAACCCACATACCACTGCAAACCCAGAAGGGATGTTATCAGCCAGTCAACCCAAGAGAAGATCTATGCCTGCTGAAACCAGTCTATAAAAATGGAAGAGGTGTTTGGTCCTTCAGTTTCAAAGAAACCAATACAAGGGTACATTGTGACCATTAATGCTTCTATTTTTAACATAGTACTGAAATCCTAGGCAGAACAATTAGGAAAAAAATTTTTTAAAGCCATCCAGCCAGATGCAGTGACTTATATCTGTAGTGCCAGCACTTTGGGAGCCCAAGACGGGAGGATCAAGCCTAGTAATTTGAGACTGGACTGGGAATTGTAGTGAGACCCCATCTCTACAAAACATTAAGATATTAACCAGGTGTGGTAATGCATGCCTGTAGTCCCAGATACTTGGGAGGCTGAGGTGGGGGGATTGCTTGAGCCCAGGAGATTAAGGCTGCAGTGAGCCATGATCACGCCACTGGATTCCAGCCTGACAGAGTGAAACCCTGTCTCAATGGAAAAAAAGCATCTAAATTGAAAAACAAAAGTAAAAATGTCACCAAAAGACTGTTTCAGCTAATAAACACACTGAGTAAATTAGAGAAATATAAAACTGATATATAAATCATTTGTGTTTCCATACACTAACAACAAGCTATCAAATAGAAATGAAAAAGAAGATCTTAATTAAATAGCATCAAAATAATAACTTTCTTAGCAATATATTTAACCAAGGAGGTGAAAAAAATTTTTATTGAAATAGTTAAGATATTAATGAAAGAAATTGAAGATGACACAAATAAATGCAAAAATATTTCATGTCTATGGATTAGAAAAATAAATATTGTTAAAGAGTCACATTATTTAAAGTAATCTATAGATTTAATAAATATCCTATCAAAATTCCAGTGGAATTTTTTAAAGTAATAGAAAATGCAAACCTAAAATTTTTATGGAGCTGCAAGAGACTTGCTTGGAATAGCCAAGGCAGTTTTGAGGAATAACAAAGCTGAGGGCATTATACTTTCTGATTTCAAACTACATTTGCAGACTATTGCAATAAAAACAAGATGGTCTGTGTGTAAAAAGGCACACCAAGGCCGGGTGCACTGGCTCACGCCTGTAATCCCAGCACTTTGGGAGGCTGAGGCAGGCGAATCACCTGAGGTCAGGAGTTCGAGACCAGTCTGACCAACATGGAGAAACCCCATCTCTACTAAAAATGCAAAATTAACCAGGCGTGCTGGCACATGCCTATAATCCCAGCTACTCGGGAGGCTGAGGCAGGAGAATCGCTTGAACCCAGGAGGCGGAGGTTGTGGTGAGCTGAGATCCGGCCATTGCACTCTAGCCTGGGCAACAAGAACTTGAACTCTGCCTCAAGAAAAAAAAAAATGCACACCAAAATCAGTGGAGCAGAACGGACAGCCCAGAAACAAACCCCTCCATATTAAATCGACTTTGACATTGAGGCATTGAGAATACACCACACGGAAAGTACAGTCTCTCCCATACTTGCTGCTGGGAAAACTGAATACCCACAGGTAAAATAATAAAATTAGACATTTTTCTTACGCTATATTTAAAAATTAACTAAATATAAAATAAAGACTCTAATGTAATACATAAATCCTTAAAAATCTTAAAAGAAAACATATGAAGAAACCTTAATATTGGTCTTGAAACTGAATTTTTGGATATGACAGCAAAAGTATAGCAATAAAAGCAAATATAAAAACGTTGGACTGCATCAGATTAAAAAGCTTCTGCACAACCAAGAAAACAATAAAATTAAAAACCCATATCTGATTTTAGTATCCAAAATATATAAGGAACTCATATAAATCAAAGGCAAAAACCTTAGTAATAATGGTAATAATACAATTGAAAAACAAGCCAAGGACTAAATATATGTTTTTTTCAATGAAAACATACAATTTGCCAGCAGGTATGTGGAAAGAGGCTCAATATCACCAATCTGGCAGTTGCAAATTAAAACCATGGTAAGGTATTACTTCACGCCTATTATGATTGCTAACATCAAAAATAAGTGTTATAAAAAGTGATGACATGAATATAAAAAAAGAAATGCTATACACTCTTGGTGATTTGTAATTTTTTAGAGTCATTATAAAATCAGTATGAAAGTTCTTTAAAAATTTTTAATAATACTACTATACAATCCTGCTATTACATTTCTGCATATATAATAAATTTAGTACCTCAAAAAAATCTGCACCTTCATGTTTATTGAAGCCTTATTTGCAATTGCCAAGATATGAAAGCAACCTAAAATGTTTGTGGATACTGACTGGATAAAGAAAACATGGTATATATACAGAACAGAATATTATTTAGTCATGAAGCATAATAAAACCCTACCATTTCAACATAGATGGACCTAGATGACATTAGACTAAGTGGAATATGCCAAAAGCAAAAAGATAAATACTGTGCCATCTCGCTTTTAAGGGGAATATAAAAAGGTTGGACTCCTAGAAGCAGAGAGTTTAAAGCTGAGTACTAGGGCCTGAATATGGGAAAAATGGGACATGGTCAAATGGTACAAATTTTTAGTTATAAAACAAGTTATTGTGACCTAATGTACAGCTTCATGACTATAGTTAATAATACTGTTAGGTATGCTGAAAATTTGCTGAGAGATCTTAATTGTTCTCACAACAAAAAGGGTAAGCATGTAAGGTGATAGATGTGTTTGTTCATTAATTTGATTGTATTAACCATTTCTATATATATATATATATATACACACACATATAAAATAAATACATAGTAAACAGTAAACATACAGGTATTCAATTATCTGTGAAAAGATCCACATGTTACATACCCATACATATATACATGTGTGTACATATACGTATCTGTCTATGTGTATGTGTGTGTGTATATATATACATATTTGACACAGTCCCAGTAAGCTAAATACAAAATAAGAGAAAACTGTAAAATAACACTTATTTAAAAATAAAGTTAAAATTGAGAGTTTAATATATGCTCAGCAATGTTTTAAGCTCTTCAGTGACATAGTATATTTGATAAATGTGTGGAGTAAATATATCAAACTTATTACAATTGAGGAATTTGGGTATACGGACTTTAATTTATCAATATTAGTTTACATAAAAAGAATAATATTTTGAATTAATGTAATTTTAGAGTTTCTTATATTTAGGGAGATGGTTAGTGTTTTGATAAAATTACTGAGTATAAATTCCTATAAAATTCCGTTTGAAACCACTGTAGAATAAAAAAATATAAAGCAGAAAACATATATCTTTTTGTGGTGTTCCTGGGATTTCTGAACCAAATCCCAATATCACCAAAACTCTCATGTAATTTAGACATTATCCAAAAAAAGAACCTTAAGAATGGTTTAACATACAGTTTCTCAAAAATACAGATATTACTGTTTCTCCCAAAGCAATGGAAGCCCATCAGATCACACATTCTTAAGTTATCATTAAAACTTTTATTATCACTGTAAACTCAAAGGAAAAAATAAACCTTACTGAAGGGGAAGTACAGCACTTAAAAAATTTATGAGAATTGGACAAAAGATGCCTCTATGTCAAAACAAGAGAAAAAATGCAGGGTTCTAGAAACTGCTTTCACTGGAGGAGAGCTATTCAAACCGTGTGTAAAAGTCTGGCTTCCTCCTTGACATTGGGAACTCTCATTTGTGTCATTTCCTTCATTCACTCCCACCTACCTGGGTATTTGACTACTGTCTTCTGTCTCTTCACATTCCAGGGCTCTTTGCTCCAGAAGGGTAATCAAGTCTGGCTTGGAAATAACAAGACCTGTTTTATTAGAAAAGAATAACATGATTCTTGCTAGGATACTCCAATTACCAATCTAGTAATGTGCTCATTAGAGAAGAGAAAACATTATAGAGATTCTAGAAAATTAATACCAATATACTATTTCCTAACAGGAACTTTAGAATATTAAGAAAAAATTTTGGCCAGGCACGGTGGCTCATGCCTGTAATCCCAGCACTTTGGGAGGCCGAGGTGAGTGAATCACTTGAGGCCAGGAGTTCAAGACCAGCCTGGTGAACATGGTGAGAGCCCATCTCTACTAAAAATACAAAATATATATGTGTGTATATATATATGTGTGTGTGTGTGTGTGTGTGTGTGTGTGTATGTGTGTGTGTATTAACTGGGCCTGGTGGCACAAGCCTCTAATCCCAGCTACTCGGGAGGCTGAGACAGGAGAATTGCTTGAACCCAGGAGGCAGAGGTTGCAATGAGCTGAGATCATGCCATTGCACTCCAGCCTGGGTGACAGAGTGAGACTTCGTCTCAAAACAAACAAAACAAAACAAAACAAATTTTTTTTAGTATGTGGGTTCTTAGCTCTACTACTCAGTAATACTAAATGAAAAATTGGTGGTAAAAATTGGATTTTAAAGTGTGGGTAACAATATTTTATGCCACTAAATTTCTTGTATTACCAGTAATTTAGACTGAAGTATACAGATCAGCTCAAAAAAGGGAAAGATTAATGTTAACATGAAACATCTTGAACATTTTTTTCTACCTCAACAGATACCCAACTTTTTTTGTTTTTGCTTTTTTGAAGATGAATTCTGAAACTCATTTGTGCAAAGCAGAAACTCCCAGAAAATGGAAGAAAATAAAATATTTAGTGTGGAATGTGAATTGTATATTGAAGATATCCTCACCCAGAGACACCAGGTTTCCATAGTTCTCTAACATCGCATCCCTGTGCAAATGCTGCTGAGCAGAGTCCAGGCACTCCCACTCTTCTGGGGAGAATTCTATGGCCACATCCCTGAATGGCAACACTCCCTGAAAAACAAAACATATTTAGCAAATGGTCATAGGAAGAATTCTCAATTTTACATTAGGTAAACAGAGAGCAAAGAGAACTGGTTCTGACTTATGTGAGTGACTGGAGTTATCCAATAAGATGCTTTCCAGCAGAAAAATATTCTCTACTGTATTCTTTAACTCTGAGAAAAGAAGATGGCATAAGATCTACAAAACCAGTGTAGATGCATTACTTTTCTTGATAATAAAATATACAATAAAGGGCACAAACACAGACATGTATATTTTTGAATGCTATATTTACATGATACAAGATAAGTTGTCCATAGCTAATAAACGGAAATTTCATGGTGAGTTAGAAACGTACTGCTCGAATCTTAATTGTGTACAATGATGAACAAGAGATCTTGTTAAAATGTAGACTTTGACTCTGGATTTAGGGTGAAACTTGAGTTTCAGAATTTCTAACAAGTTTGCCAGTGGTGTTATTGCTTCTGGCCCAAGGGGAATATTTTGTCAGAAATCTAGTAAGTGGCACAGCCTAGGTTTTCAGTTTATTTAACCAGTAAAGAGGTTCAGAAACAATAAACTCTTACATAGAAAAACCAAAATGTGAGTTTCCGCTTTCCAACACTCAGGTGCCCTCCTCTGTCAGGGATGGCAGCAATTTCTGCTGCAGCAATAGGAATATGGGCCACCCTCACCTGCCCATACCAAATCCATGCATAGCAGTCCCTATGATCTCT
Source organism: Homo sapiens (assembly GCF_000001405.40). Classification (NCBI taxonomy): domain Eukaryota; kingdom Metazoa; phylum Chordata; class Mammalia; order Primates; family Hominidae; genus Homo; species Homo sapiens. The sequence goes on from NC_000007.14 coordinate 63,982,205, forward strand.
GTTTTAAACTAAAGCTAAGTGCACCTCTTTCAAATGTATCTGGAAGCACTCATGATTGACCCTGGGGTCACCTTTGCCCCACATGTGGCACTTAATTAAAATAACATGGCTGCAGGAGGGAAGTGGGGCAAGGGGACTAAATAGAACCCTCTAACAATCAATCATGTCCCTGATGGAACACCAAATTTAATGGCTATCCAAATAAGAAGCATCTTCATAAGAACCAAAATTCAGGGGAGTGACCACAATATCTGGTTTTAAAAGCACATCAAAGAAAAAGCACTGAAGATGATAAAAAAAGAAAGTCTTGAATTGCCAACAGCACCTCTCCTCCATTCCCTGGTAGAGCAGCTTGGCAAGAAGAGCAAACCTGTGCACTTACAGGAGGGAGAGTGCAGTGATTGGGAGACTCTGCAGTAAAACTCAGTGCTGCTGGTCATAGCAGAAAGCAACACGGGGCAGAGTTCAGCCAGTGCCCCCAGAGGGAGCACTCAGACTAGCCCTAGTTGAGAGAAAGTGTCCATTTCAGTGGCCAAAACCTGAGTTTCAGGTAGCCCCACCACCATGGGCTAAAGCACTCTGGGGTTCTAAATAAACTTGAAAGGCAGTCTAAGCCACTGGGACTGCAACTCCTGGGCAAATCCTGGTGCTTTGCTAGGCTCAGAGTCAAAAAGCTTGAAGTGCATGTGGCCTTATGAGATGCCAACTGGGGTGACCCAAGGAAGTGCCTGCATTGCCCTTAGCCCAGCCACAGGCAATGCAACTCAAAGCTCTGGAAGAAACTCTTTTCTTCTACTTGTGGAGAGGGAAGAGGAGAGTAAAGAAGACTTTGTCTTGCAATTTGGATACCATCTAAGCCACAGTAGAATATGGCACCAGGAATGGTTTTAAGGCCCCCATTCCAAGACTTAACTCCTGGGTGACAGTTCTAGGCACACCCGGGGACAGAAGAGAACACACTGCCTTGCAGGGAAGGACTTAGTCCTGGCAGGATTCATCACCTGCTGACTAAAGAGCCCTTGGGCCTTGAATAAATGTTAGCAGTAATCAGGTAGTACTTGCTGCAGGCTTGGGTGAGACCCAGAGCTGTGCTGGCTTCAGGTATGACCCAGTGCAATTCAAGCTGTGGCAGCCATGTGGAGAGACTCCTTGCTTGAAGAAGAGAGAGGGAAGAGGAAAGGGGACTTTGTCTTGAAGCTTGGTTACCAACTCAGCCACAGTGGAGTAGAGTAACAAGAGGGCTCCTGAGGTCCATGGTTTTTGGCCTTGGCTCCTCAATGGCATTTCTGGAACCACCCTGGGCCAGAGAGGAGCCTACTGTTTTGAAGGAAGAGATGCAGGCCTGTCAGAATTCACCACAAGCTGACTGAAGGGCCCTTGGGTCCTCAGTAAATACCAGCAGAAGCCTGGAAGTACTTGCTGTGGGCTTTGGGTGGTGGTGGCCACAGGGAGTGGCTTCTTATGCTTGAGAAAGGAAAGGGAAGAGTAGGAAGGATGTTGTCTCCTGGCCTCAGTGCCAGCTAAGCCACAGTAAAATAGGGCACCAAGTAAATGCCTAAGGTTCCTGACTCCATGTTCTGGCTACCAGATGGCATTTTGTTATGCCCCAGCCCAGGGTGGGTAAGAAAGCTCACTGCCCTGAAGAAAAGGACATAAGCCTGGCAGGATTTACCACCTCCTGACTGAAGAGAACATGGGCCTTGAGTGAATATCAGTGGTAGCTAGTCAGTGGTCACTGTGGGCCTGTGTGAGACTCAGTCTTGTGCTGGCTTTGAGTTGCACCCAGTGCAGTCCTAGTGATGGTGGCGACAGGGCACTTGTGTCACCCCTACCCCAGCTCTGGGCAGCTCAGCATGAGAGAGACTCCATTTATTTGGTAGAATGTAAGGAAAGAGAAAAAGAGTCCCTGCCTGGTAATCCAGGAACTCTTTTAGATCTTACCTAAGACCACCAAGGTGGCACTTCTACAAGTCTGCAAGCCTTGCTGTGTTACTGGGGTTGGGGAGTCCCTTAATGCAGATATGACTGCAATGACTGAAGACTTAGATTACAACACTGTTTTGTTTGAATACTTAGAAAGCCCTTCTAAGAAGGACAGGTTAAAAAAAAAAGCCCAGAATGCAAAGACTAAAATAAATACCTGACTCATTAATGCCCAGACATCAATGAACATCCACAAAAATTAAGACTATCCAGAAAAACACAACCTCATTAAATGAACTAAATAAGGCACCAGTGTGCAATTCCTAGTGACAGAGACATGTAACCTTTCAGAGAGAGAATTCAAAATAGCTGTTTTGAGAAAGCTCAATAAAATTCAAGATAACACCAAAAAGAAATTCAGAATCTGATCTGGTAAATTTAACAAGTTAATTAAAATTATTTTGAAAAATCAAGACAAAATTCTGGTGCTGAAAAACTCAAATGACATTGAAGAATGCATCAGTCTCTTAACAGCAGAATTGATCAAGCAGGAGAATTAATGAGTTTGAACACAGACTATTTGAAAATATTCAGTCAGAGGAGACAAAAAATTAACAAACAATAAAACATGCTTATGAGATGTAGAAAATATCCTCAAGAGGGCAACTCTGAGTTATGATCTTAAAGAGGAGGGAGAGAGAGAGTTCAGGATAGAAAGTTTATTCAAAGGGATAATGAGAACTTCTCATACCTAGAGAAAGATATTAATATTCAAGTACAAGAAGGTTATAGAAATGAAGCACAATTAACTTAAATAAGACTACCTGAAGGCCTTTAATAATAGCCTCCCAAAGGGTAAAGATAAAGAGTCCTAAAAGCAGCAAGAGAAAAGAAACAGACAGCATTCAAACAGACAAACCAATGTTTGACCGCGGACTCTTCAGTGGAAACCTTAGAGGTCAGGAGATAGTGGCATGATATACTTAATGTGCTGAAGGAAAAGACTTTTATCTAGAATAATATATCCAGCAAAAATATCCTTCACACATGAAGGGGAAATAAAAACCTTTCTAGACACACACACACACACGGATTTTATTAACATCAGGCCTGTCCTACAAAAAATGCTAAAGGGAGTATTTTAATCTAAAGGAAAAAAACATTAATGAGCTACAAGCAAGCATCTGGTACAAAACTCACTGGTAATATTAAGTGCACAAACACAGAATTTCATAGCATTGCAAATGTGGTGTGTAAACTATTGCTATTTTGAAAAGACTGAAAGATTATTCTATAGTGACTTGTATAGTTATTAAAAAACAATAACTCTTTCTCTACCTCCTCTTTAAGGCCATAACTCTTACATTTCCATTTGAGGCTGTTGAAGTTATTAAAAATACTAACCATAGCAAGTTCAAGACACAGACAGTATAATAAGATATAAATAGAAACAAAAAGCCAGGCGCAGTGGCTCATGCCTGTAATCCCAGCACTTTGAGAGGCTAAGTAGGGCAAATCATCTGAGGTCTGGAGTCTGGGACCAGCCTGACCAACATGGTGAAACCCCATCTCTACTAAAAATACAAAATAAGCCTGGCGTGGTAGCACATGCCTGTAATCCCAGCTACTTGGAAGGCTGAGGCAGGAGAATTGCTTGAACCCCAGAGGCAGAGTTTGTGGTGAGCCAACATCATGCCATTGCACTCCAGCCTGGGCAACAAGAGTGAAACTCCATCTTAAAAAAAGAAAGAAAGAAAGAAAGAAACAACAAAGTTAAAAAGTGGAGGAATAAAGTTAAAGTGTATTTTTTATTTGTTTCCTCTTTTCTTTTTCGTTTGTTCTTTTTTACAATATGTTAAGTTGCCATTAGTTGAAATGGGTTATAAGATGTTATTTGCAAGCCTTGTGGTAACCTCAAATAAAAAAACCTGTAACAGACACAAACACATAAAAGCAAAAAATTAAAACATACCACTGGATAAAATCACCTTCACTAAATGGAAGACAGGATGAATGGGAGGGAGGGAGGGAGGAAAGAGCACAAAACAAGAAATCAGATAACAGAATGGCTGAAGTAAGCCTTCACTTATCAATAACAACATTGAATGTAAATAAATTAAACTCTCTAATCTAAAGACATAGATTGGCCAAATGGGTAAAAACAAGCAAACGAACAAACAAAACAACAAAACCCAACAATCTGCTGCCTGCAAGGCACACACTTTACACTTTACCTATAAAGACACACAGAGACTGAAATAATCTGATGGAAAAAGATAGTCCATGCAAATGGAAACCAAAAAAGAGTGGGAATAGCTATACTTATATCAAACAAAACAGATTTCAAGACAAAAACTATAAAAAGAGACAACAAAGGTCATTATATCATGATAAAGTGGTAAATTCAGCAAGAGGATATAACAGTTGTAAATATATATGCACCCAACCCTGGAGAACTCAGATATTGGAAGCAAATACTAGAGCTAAGGAGAGAGATCAACCTCAATACAATTATAACTGGAGCCTTCAACATCCCACTTTCAGCAGTGGACAGATGACCCAGATAGTAAAATCAACAAATAAACACTGGACTTAATCTGCACTATGGACCAAATAGATCTAATAGATATTTACAAAGCATTTCATCCAATAGCTATGGAATACAAATTCTATACCTCAGCACCTAAATTATTCTTAAGGATAGACCATATAGTAGGCCACAAAATAACTCTTAAAAGATTCCCTTCCAAAATGAAATCATATTATTTTCTCTGACTATAGTAGAATAAAACTAGAAATCAATAACAAAAGGAACTTTGAAAACTATACAAACACAGAGAAACTAAAATATGCTTCTGAATGACCAGCGGGCCAATAAAAAAATTGAGAAGAAAATTTGAAATTTATTTGAAACAAATGAAAATGGAAACACAACATACCAAAACTACAGATACTGTAAAAGCAGTACTAAGAGGAAAGTTCGTAGCAATAAGTGCCTACACAAAAAAGTTTTCAAATATGAAAATAAACTATTAATGTATCATAAAGAACTAGAAAAGCTAGAACAAACCAAACCCAAAATTAGGAGAACAGAAATAATAAGGATCAGAGCAGAAACAAGTGAAAATAAAACAAGAAATACAAAAGAAGAGCATAATGTAAAGTGAGTTTTTTTGAAAAGATAAGCAAAATTCATAGAACTTTAGCCAGGCTGTTTGGGATTCAGGGCCCCATGGTGTTTGAATTATCTTTAGGTCTGAAGATGCCAAGTGCATTGAAAGATGGAGCTGGAATGGCTGATTGCTCTTCTGTGAAGGTGTTTTTCTAGAAACCTGGTTGAACTGCTCCAGAAGGGACTGTATATCACAAACAGGCAGAGAAATATTCTGCCTGCAAATTACGGGGCAAGCCAAAGAGAGAAAAGCCTCTCTGAACTAAAGTATTGTGGGCACCTCATATGTTTATATCCCGTCTGGTAATTTTGTACAGTGTTTGAATAACATAATTAAAATCAAAATTATCTCCAACCTCAGAGACACTCAATAATAGCAGAAGAAAAAGAACATTGTTTTATTAAATAAATCAGAAGGTGATCTGCATCACAGCAAATCTGCCAAGATTGTTCTTAAATAGACTTAACAGCACAATTGTCATACATAGTTGATCCTAAATTCATTTGGTGATTGAGAAAGCCATCTGTATATTGGGCATATTCAATGAAATTTTAATTGGCTATATTCAGGAGAAAAATTAACTTTTTTTATCTTCATAGAAGAAGATAGTTTTACAACTTGAAGTCAAGTGTCTGCTGAAGGTAGGCACCTACTATCCAACAGAAACTGTGGCATAGGGTACTATCTTTTTTGCTGTTTACATTTCAAAGCAATGGTTTCCAGGTCCTAGAGAAAGGCATTTCTAAGTTAAAATGATTGACCAAGTCCTATTTAGCTATTAAAATGATTTACATATATTTCAAAGAGTCAGAGAAAGAATTTACATAGCAAAGTTTTCTAAGTTAAATCCTTTAAGAAAAAAAGAAGAACAAAATCTCTTCCTTTATTTTCAAGTTGAAGAATTAAGTCTGCTATTTCTAATTTCTATTTGCCTTTACAACAGCCAGGTCTAAGTCCATGACCCTGAACTCATGGACATCTGAATTCCAGTAGGTATTGGAAGCAGGCACCTGAGTCATGGTGTTACGTACAACGTGTGTGTATGAAAGAGGATTTAGTTAGAAAGTAAAGGCAGAGGCCGGGTGTGGTGGTTCAAGCCTGTAATCCCAGCACTTCTGGAGTCCAAGGCAGGTGGATCACCTGAGGTCAGGAGTTTGAGACCAGCCTGGCCTACATGGTGAAACCCAGTCTCTACTAAAAATTCAACAATTAGCCGGGTGTGGTGTTGGGTGCCTGTAGTCCCAGCTACTCAGGAGGCTGAGGCCGGAGAATCTCTTGAACCCGGGAGGCGGAGGTTACGTGAGCCGAGATGCGCCATTGCACTCCAGCCTGGGTGACAAGAGTGAAACTCCATCTCAAATTAAAAAATAAAAAAGAAAGTAAAAGCAGAAGACAGAAAAATGCTATGAAGGGCTGTCAATCTAAAATAATCAAAAGGCTCAAAATTCAGTTTTAGAGTTTATTCAAGTTAAAAGCAAGAAACAGTCATCCGGGAGACAAAGACTCCAGGTGTGGTGGCACATGCCTGTAGTCCCAGCTACTCATGAGGCTGAGGCAGGAGAATCACTTGAACCCAGAGGATGGAGGTTGCAGTGAGCCCAGATCACACCAGTGCACTCCAGCCTGGATGACAGGAAAGAAAGAAAGAAAAGAAAGGAAAGAAAGAAAGAAAGAAAGAAAGAAAGAAAGAAAGAAAGAAAGAAAGAAAGAAAGAAAGAAAGAAAGAAAGAGAGAGAGAGACAGAGAGAGAGGGAGGGAGGGAGACAGGGAGGAAGGGAAACTTAACAAAATTTTCCAAGTCCCCGTCTCATCTCTGTCACATTTGTTCACGTGATGACACCACTTGTAGCTATCCTAAGACCTCAGAGTGATTACAGGGAAGTCACTTCAATTTCTACCCCATATTTCAAACGTATCTGCTATATATTTTTTTCAATAGGCCTCATCTACCTCACTAAGAAAGACACCATTATCATGTTTAATCTGTCTCCACATCTGCCACAGTGCTGACTGCTTGATCTGATCCTCTGGACTATTGCATTACTACTTCAATTAAGTGATCAGAATGTGGTATTTAAAACCTATAAGTGGCCTCAAACTCTTCAGTAAAAAACAATTTATCATTGCATTGCAAAAATTCCAAACTATTCATCAGAACTGCAAAAAGTCTTGTGTGAGATTCCATGGGGTAAGGAGAGCAGTGAGAAAGCTGTAACCGTAAGACAAGAAAGTGGCTTTGATGCATATGTAGCTGGGGATAAAAATAAAGAGAGAATCTGGGCGCGGTGGCTCATGGCCTGTAATCCCAGCACTTTGGGAGGCCGAGGCGGGCAGTTCACGAGGTCAGGAGATCGAGACCATCCTGGCTAACATGGTGAAACCCCGTCTCTACTAAAAATACAAAACGAAATTAGCCAGGCGTGGTGGCGGGCACCTGTAGTCCCAGCTACGCTGGAGGCTTAGGCAGGAGAATGCGTGAACCCGGGAGGCGGAGCTTGCAGTGAGCCGAGATCACACCACTGCATTCCAGCCTGGACGACAGAGTGAGACTCCGTCTCAGAAAAAAAATAGATAAATAAATAAAATAAAAATAAATAAATAAATAAAGAGAGAGTGAGAAACTGGAGATAATTATAAAATAAAACAAGCAGAATTTTATTTTCTAAATTCAGTCATTCAGTTGAAGAGCAGGTGTCCTCTCCCCACATGCACAATCAATGCTATTTCTTCACTCTAAATGTTTCAGTCTCTTACCTGAAACATGTAATATTACTCTAATAGAAACAGTTTTCTCGGCTGGCCGGGCGCAGTGGCTCACGCCTGTAATCCCAGCACTTTGAGAAGCCGAGGCAGGCGGATCATGAGGTCAGGAGATCGAGACCATTCTGGCTAACACGGTGAAACCCCATCTCTACTAAAAATACAAAAAATTAGCCAGGCATGGTGGCACACGCCTGTAGTCCCAGCTACTCGTGAGGCTGAGGTAGAAGAATCGCTTGAACCCAGGAGATGGAGGTTGCAGTGAGCCCAGATAGCGCCACTGCACTCCAGCCTGGGTGACAGAGTGAGACTCCATCTCAAAAAAAAAAAAAAAAAATAGCTTTCTCTTAAATGTTGAGTATCTGCTTCACACCCAGCACTGTCCTCTGTATTTGTTTACTTTATATAAACATTAAAACAACTCCATAACTTATAAAACATCCTAAATTTCCACCGGAAAAAAAGTCAGCCTGGTAAAATTTTAAAATTGTATGATGTCACTTAAAATAAATAGAAGGAAAAATTAACTAAAGAAAATTTTGACTTAAATAGTTTTTTCTCCAATCAGTAAGGGAGAAAAATGGAATGCAATAGTGAAATAAAATGTAATATGCTCACTCACTGTAGAACTAAATCTTCAAATAAACTTCTGAGCAACATTAAATTTTATGAAATCGCCGGGTGTGGTGGCTGACGCCTGTAATCCCAGCACTTTGGAAGGCCAATGCGGGTGGATCACGAGGTCAGAAGATCGAGACCATCCTGGCTAACACGGTGAAATCCTATCTCTACTAAAAATACAAAAAATTAGCCGGGCGTGGTGGCGGGCACCTGTAGTCCCGGCTACTTGGGAGGCTGAGGCAGGAGAATGGCATGAACCCGGGAGACGGAGCTTGCAGTGAGCCGAGATGGCACTACTGCACTCCAACCTGGGTGACAGAGCAAGACTCCATCTCAAAAAAAAATAAAATAAAATAAAAAATAAATTTTATGAAAACATTCTTAAAATCCCTGAGCAGAAAATGTAAAAATATTTCACAAACTTTGGAACAAAAAAATTATATATTTGTTCTCATGTGAATAATATGCAAGTAAACAAAAAGTATACATAAACAAAACTATATATAAGAAAGATTCTGAACCCAGGAGACTTGAGATTTGGGAAAAATAAGTTCAGTGTGCAATAGAGAAACTAATTTTACTTTAAGCATTGTGAAGTTCCTGATTTGCTAGCAAATTGCGGATTTGACACCATTTTTTTGGTCCACTATTTTCTTTTCCATTTAAAGAAGTGTACACACACACACACACACACACACAGAAATTTGTTCCTCTATATTTCTCTTACACTTATAGTTTATTTTTAGCTTAATATATTTGTATATTGCATTCAATGTAAATCAAAACACAAAAACATCTTTATGTGTTCAGTTGGAAAAATATTCAGTAATTTTTTTTTTTTTTTGAGATGGAGTCTCACTCTGTCACCCAGACTGGAGTGCAGTGGCGCGATCTCGGCTCACTGCAACCTCTGCTACCCAAGTGCAAGCGATTCTCCTGCCTCAGCCTCCTGAGTAGCTGGGATTACAGGCGCACGCCACCACTCTCGGCTAATTTTTTGTATTTTTAGTAGAGATGGGGTTTCACCATCTTGGGCAGGCTGATCTTAAACTCCTGACCTCGTGATTCACCTGCCTCAGCCTCCCAAAGTGCTGGGATTACAGGCGTAATTTATAATCATTTAAATTTAATCATTTATAATGATTTGAAATTCAGAAACTATGGCTTCCAATTACATTCCTATATGATTTTTTTTTTTTTTTTGAGACCGAGTCTCACTCTGTTGCCCAGGCTGGAGTGCAGTGGCATGATCTCGGCTCACTGCAACCTCCAGCTTCTGGGTTCAAGCGATTCTCCTGACTCAGCCTCCCGGGTAGCTGGGATTACAGGCACATGCCACCATGCCTGGCTAATTTTTGTACTTTTAGTAGAGACGGGGTTTTGCCATGTTGGCCAGGCTGGTCTTGAACTCCTGACCTCAGGTGGTCCACCCACCTGTGCCTCTCAAATTGTTGGGATTACAGGTGTCAGCCACCCTCCTGTTCCTGTTATCTTGATTTCTGAATTTTATGCTAAACTTTATGAGATGGGACTGGGCACCTTCTGGAAGTTTGTTCATATTACTAAGTGTTTACTGAATATCCTGTTATGGAAATAAGTTAGTGATATGTGTATTGTCTGAAAGTGATAAATACTTTTGCTTTTCTCATTGAGCTATAAAATGTAAGCACCTTAAATTTTTTTCCCTTGCATAAACACTGCGTTTCAGTAATTTTTCTGGATTTATCACCACTTAGTTTCTAAAACTAAATGAACATCTCTGACTTGGAAATTAAAGCCTGAGCCCTGTGACTCCAAGCTAAGGGCAATATGGAGCCTGCAAAAGGAGGTTATTGAAGACCTTGAAGACCTAGTCAGTTCTTTCTAGGGAGCCTCTCCTGCAGATGTCCCAACCTGCTCACCCCAGCCATGGAAGAAGTATTTTTACTGAGATAAGCAACAGAGTCCAGGAAAGCTGGGGACCCACAGGCAGATGCAGTTAGAGTTAGAATAGATGGGAATTGGGAGGATCTTACTGAAAATAAAGGTGTTGCTGTTTTGGGGCAGTTTCTAGACTTTGTAAAATAAAACAAATTCAGATTTAGGTAAGAAGTTCTGAATCCCAACAACAGAAAAAAGTGTCAAGTATAAGATTTTTAAGGATATCAACGTGTATAGGCAGACAAGGACTTTCTTTCGTAGAGAATAGCAAACAAGTTTAGAAAGAAGATGGAGTAAGAATGGTATGATATAAGGGGGCAAAATTAGATTCTAGATCAGAGAATGTTTTACCCTGAAGTTAGCATGTTCTTAAGGAGAGACAGAAAATGGGGTTGTATGTTGGCTCAGACTGAGGGTACTCAAAGGTCAGGAGCCCTGAGATAAGAGAAAAATTTAAGCAAAGTTGATTTAAAAATATTTTGACCACTGAAGAAAAGTATTTAGCTGATTCTTTTATAAGAAACAGGTGGAAATTTGCAGAGTCTGTATCTGGCTATGTGATAAGTAAGAAAATACAAAACCACCTAAGTCATAACAGGAAAAAGTGTTTCTCTTAAGCTGTTGGTGAAGACCACAAAGGATGGAGAAATTTATTTATTTATTTATTTATTTATTTATTTATAGACAGTCTCGCTCTGCCACCCTGGCTGGAGTGGGAAAGAGTGCAAGGAATTTTTTTTTAGATGGAGTCTGGCTCTGTCACCCAGGCTGGAGTGCAGTGGTGTGATCTCGACTCACTGCAACCTCCGCCTCCCGGGTTCAAGCAATTCTCCTGCCTCAGCCTCTTGAGTAGCTGGGATTACAGGTGCATGCCACCACCCCAGCTAATTTTTGTATTTTTAGTACAGACAGGGTTTCACAATGTTGGCCAGGCTAGTCTCAAACTCCTGGCCTCAGGTCATCTGCCCGCCTCGGCCTCCCAAAGTGCTGGGATTATAGGCATGAGCCACAACGCCCCGCCAAATTTTTCTTTCTTTTTCCAAAAATGTCATGGCATAAAATATCGTTGCCCACACCTTAGAATTCAGTTGCTGCCACCAATTTTTGATTCAGTAGTACTGAGTAGTGAAATTAAGGACCTACAAATTTAAAATATTTTCTAAATATTTAGAAAGTTCTGTTATGAATCAATATTAATTTTTTAGAATTTTCTATTATATCCTCTTTACTAAGCATAATACTAGGTTGGTAATTAAAGAATTCAGTAAGATTTATGTTTTTTTTTTTTTCTTAATAAAACAGGTATTGCTGTCTCTAAGCCAGACTTGATCAACTGCTTGGGGCAAAACAAAGAGCCCTGGAATACAAAGAGAAATGAGATGGTAGCCAAACACCCAGGTAGGTGAGAGCGAATGAAGCAGATGACACAGATGAAAGGTACACAAATCAAGGAGGCAGCCAGTCTTTAAAATGTGGTCTGGGGAGCTGTGCTTTGATGGAAAGTTTCTGGGAAGCCCGAGTCATTTTTTTCTTTTTCTCTCACATAGGGTGGGACACGTTCTGCCCCATGCTTTTAAATTCTCTAAGGATTCTACTTTTGCTTCAGTAATCTTCCTTCAAGTTCACAGTGTGAGTCAAAGTTTTCTTTATGGCTTACCAGGGACTGCACAAACTGACTGCTTTGCCATTGCTTTTGGGGACATACAAATATCTGCATATTTTTGAGAAACTCTATGTTAAAACATTTTTAAAATTCTTTTTTTGCATCATGTCTAAAATGTGTGAGAATAGTAGTTTCTGTTTCATTGGTGATTGTCCATTTTTCTGCACATGCCATTCTGTTTTTATTACTATAACATTGAAATATAAAGTTTTTTTTACTAAATTTTTTTATTTTTTAATTTTTATCCATGTATTTATTCATTTAGAGGCTGGGTTGTGAGACTTGCTGTGGGGGGATATGCAAGCAGGGTACTGCTTATGTCTTCATTTTACTGTGTTGCATACTTTATATATATAGATTCATAGATGGAATTGCTATATTATATGATAATTTCATTTTTAATTATTTGACAAACATTCATGATGTTTTTTATGATGGCTGCATCTTTTTTCTCATCAACAACTTACATAGGTTTCAGTTTCTTTACATCATCAACATAGTTGGTATTTTTGAAAAAATTTGTAGTGGCCATTCTAATTGATGTCAGGGAATTTTGTTTTGTATTGTGATTTTGTTTTTCATTTTTCTATAAGTTATTAATTATGTGCAACCTTTCAAATGCTTCTTCCCATTTGTGTATCTTTTTTTTTTAATTAAAATTTAGTTTAATCATTTGTCCATTTTTTTTTTTTAAGATGAAGTTTCACTCTTGTTGCCCAGGCTGGAGTGCAATTGTATGATCTCAGCTCACTGCAGCCTCCGCCTCCTGGGTTCAAGTGATTCTTCTGCCTCAGCCTCCCAAGTAGCTGAGATTACAGGCATGCACCACTATACCCAGCCAATTTTTTATTTTTAGTAAAGATGAGGTTTCACCATGTTGGTCAGGCTGGTCTCAAACTCCTGACCTCAGGTAATCCACCCATCTTGGCCTCCCAAAATGCTGGGATTACAGGCATGAGCCGCTGTGCCCAGCTATATCAACTTTTTAAATTACAATTTAATAAAAACTAGAAAATAATAGCCAAATAAGAATTTAAAAACTCACCAATATGTGGAGAGTAAACAACATGTTCCTGGACAGCCAATAGGTCAAAAGAAAAAGCAAAGGGAAATCAGAAAGTATAATGAGAAAAAAGAAAATAGAAACAAAGCATACAATGACTCCTGGGATACAAAAAAAAAAAAAAACCCACAAAACAGTTCTAAATCAGAAGTTTATAGTGATATATTTCTATATTAAGAAAAAGGAAAAGATGTCAAATAAAAAACATAACTTTAATCCACAGAAATACTTGAAAAAGAGCAACTAAATAATCCCAATGTAAGCATAATAAAAAAAATAGGTTGGGTGCGGTGGCTCACACCTGTAATGCCAGCACTTTGGGAGGCGAAGGTGGGTGGATCACCTGAGGTCAGGAGTTCAAGACCAGCCTGGCCAACATGGTGAAACCCCGTCTCTACTAAAGATACAAAAATTAGCTGGGTGTGCTGGTGGGCTCCTGTAATCCCAGCTACTCAGGAGGCTGAGGCAGGAGAATCGCTTGAACCTGGGAGGTGGAGGTTGCAGTGAGCCGAGGTGTCGAATTGCACTCCAGCCTGGGCGACAAGAGTGAGACTGCATCTCAAAACAAACAAACAAACAAACAAACAAAGACAGCAGTGGTTAACATTCCATAATGCCAAATCTAATCTTAGCTCAGAGGGACTTTACTGAGAGGGGCCTCTAACCCCCTAAATCTTAGGAAAGACTCTAACCTTTCAAAGTTGCACCTCAACCACAAATTTTGTTAAGTGTTCTTGCCTTTTATTAAAAAGGACCTTTTATCTTATCTGTCTTAGGAGACACTCTAACTCCCGTAAATTTGGCTACTAACCCAATCCCATTCCATACCCGGGTATGCCAACACTTGCAAAAGGTTAGCCAGTTGGTGATTCAGTCTATTTCCTGTGGGTTGGTGGTTTCCTTAGTATCATTCCTTTGTGATTCACTGAAAAGAAGCTTCCAGAAATGGTCCCAATCCAGAACCAAAGAGTGGGTTCTTGGATCTTGTACAATAAATAATTTAGAGCCATGGGTGGTGGCTCACACCTGTAACCCTGGCAATTTGGGAGGCAGAGGCAGGAGGATCACTTGAGGTCAGGAGTTTGAGACCAGCCTGGCTGAGACGGTGAAATCCCATTTCTACTAAAAATACGATGGTGGCGTGGGCCTGTAATCCCAGCTACTCCAGAGGCTGAGGCAGGAGAATCTCTTGAACCTAGGAGGCAGCGGTTACAATGAACTAAGATGGTGCCACTGCACTCCACCCTGGGTGACAGAGCTGGACTCTGTCTCAAAGAAAAAAAAAAAGAAAAGAAAGAATTTTGGGTGAGTCTGCAGTGCAAAGCAAAAGCAAATTTATTAGGAAAGTAAAGGAATAAAAGAACAGCTACTCCGTAGGCAGAGCAGCAGTGTGGGCCACTCAACGAAGGATACTTACAGTTATTTCTTGATTATATTCTAACCAAGGAGTGGATTATTCATGAGTTTTACAAGAAAGGGATGGCAATTTCCAGAACTGAGTTTTCTCCTTTTTAGACCATGTAAGGTCACTTTCTGATGTTGCCGTGGCATTCGTTAACTGTCATGGTGCTGGTGGGAATGTCTTTCACATGCTAATGCATTATAATTCGCGTGTAACGATCCATGAGTACAATCAAAGGTCCCTTTTGTTCGCAACTGGTTTTGGTGGATTTTTGTGGCTTCTTTACTGCAAACTGTTTTATCAGCAAGGTCTTTGTGAACTGTATCTTATGCTAATCTATTTATCCTGTGACTTAGAATGCCTGACCGCATGGAAAAGCAGTCCTGTAGGTGTCAGCCCTGTTTTACCCAGAACCTATTCCAGATGCAGTTGCTCTGGTTCTAACACCTCTGACATGGCCACAGAGTGCTGGAATGTGGCTGGTCTGAACTGCAATGTGCTGGAAAGGTAAAATGCAAGGGTACATTCAAAGATTAAGCTTCAAAAACATATATGCTTTGTTAACCATTATACACTAATCAGATATTAAAATAACAATATTTTGGATATATTGGACGGATTAAATTGTTACGATCAATTCCACCTGTTATTCCACCTGTTTCTTTCTTTTTTATTTTGAGACAGAGTCGCTCTGTTGCCAGGCTGGAGTGTTGTGGCGGGATCTCAGCTCCCTGCAACCTCTGCCTCCGGGGTTCAAGCGATTCTCCTACATCAGCCTCCAGAGTAGCTGGGATTGCAAGTGCCTGTCACCACACCCAGCTAATTTTTCTATTATTGGTAGAGCCGGGGTTTCGCCATGTCAGCTAGGCTGGTCTCGAACTCCTGACCTCAGGTGTTTCGCCATCTCGGCCTCTCAAAGTGCTGAGATTACAGGTGTGAGCCACTGCGCCTGACACCTTTTTCTTTTTACTTTTTAACATTTGGCTACTAGCACGTTCAAAATTTACATGTGGCTCATATTTTACTGCAAAGGATTGCCTCCTTTTTGAAATCTCAGGGTGCCTGAATGTATTAGTCCATTTTCACACTGCTATAAACAAATACCTCAGACTGCGTACTTTTTTAAAAAGTGGTTTAATTGAATCATAATTCTACATGGCTGAGGAATCCTCAGGAAACTTAAAATCATGACCATGACAGAAGGTGAAGGGAAAGCAAGGCACATCTCACGTGGTGGAAAAAGAGAAAGAACTTGGGGCTGGCGGGGGGACGTGCCACATTTTTAAACCATCAGGTTTCTTGAGAGCTCCCTTACTATCACAAGAACACATGAGGATAATCCACCCCAGTGATCCAGTCACCTCCCACCCGGTCCCTGCCCTGACACGTGGGAATTACAATTTTTTTTTCTTTGATAGGGAGTCTCACTCTGTCATCCAGGCTGGAAGGCATTGGTGCCATCTAGGCTCACTGCAACCTCCGCCTCCTGGGTTGAAGCAATTCTCCTGACTCAGCCTCCCGAGTAGCTGGCACTATAGGCGCGCGCCACCACTCTTGGCTAATTTTTGTATTTTTACTAGAGGAGGGGTTTCACCATATTGCCAGGCTGGTCTTGAACTCCTGACCTCGTGATCCGCCTGTCTCGGCCTCCCAAAGTGCTGGGATTACAGGCGTGAGCCACCGCACATGGATGGGAATTACAATTTGAGATGAGATTTGGGTGGAGCCACAGAGTCAAACTATATCATATGCTGTGCAAAGGATCCACAGCAAGGAAGGTCACAACATCCAAATTTTTAAAATAATTGTCATTATATTCTTTCAATTTATGAATAACTATATTATATATCATTTATAAATGCATATGACGTTATACACAAGGTTAAATGCAAATATCCTCCGGTGTCGGCCTGGCTGAGATCAGGGAAGAAGCCTTGCCTGTAAAGGCTGCAGCCCAGCCTGTTATTTTTGCTTCCTTCAGCCCAGTGATCAAATATTGTGTCATTCAGGCATGAAGGGTGGGGCCTGAAACCTTATCCAATCAGGGGCCGTGGACTAGAAACTGGCCAATCAGGCGTGCAGCTGGAGAGACCAGGACGCTTCCGTAAGTTTGCGGGTCCTTTTGTGCTTCTCTGCGTCCCGAGCTCCAGTTCTTTTCTTCAGGGCTCTGCATTCTCTGCTCCTAGAGGCCAAGCCTCTGTGGCCTTGTGTCCTGCAGGTATTCGCAGATTTATGGCTGAAAGACCGGGATCCCCTGGAAGCCGAGAAATGGTGAGTGCTGGGTCTGTCATCGTGAGAGGGGCGGGAGACGGTTGGAACCGGCTGAAAGTGGCTTGTAGCAGGACCCAAACTTCCTCGCAGTCAGCTCTGGAGTCTGAGGACCCAAATCCTCCTTGTCCCAGCTCGGCTTTTAGTCCCCTCGAACCGTAAGATGCTGCCTGGGCCAGCGGCTGGGACCCTGGGAGTTCTGTCTTTTTCCTCTGCAGTGGCTTTGCCCTGGACTGGAGGCCTCTCTGGGCAGCTCTGCACTCCCAGCGCCTCATCTCACCCAGATTGTACAGGGATGGGAAAGTCATCAGGGGAGAATCCAGACTCAGGGTGCAGGATTCATAAGTGGTAAGAGCTGTGGTCCCTGGGGTCCCTAGTTCACCATTTTTCCTTTTAGAGGTGTATGGGAGTCACTGTAAAAATATTAGAGAACTTGATCAAAGTGTGATTCAAGAGTCATAGAGCGCCCAGCTATGATTTGTGGGTTGTGATCCATGGGAGAGACTTGAAGGAAATTCTGTTATAAGTTGCGTGATGAAGGAAACCAAATTCAGTAATTGGTTTGGTACAGTTATGTAGTTTCCTTATTTGTAAGATCCAGGTGAAAATGCCTTGGTTATGTCATCAGAGATTAGTTGCCAGTCTGTGGTTGACTAGGCCTGAATTTTTTTCTTCAATATAATAATTTACAAGAAATGTATTTGTTTATTTATTTTTTGAGAGGGAGTCTCGCTCTGTCACCCAGGCTGGAGTGCAATGGCGCGATCTCGGCTCACTGCAACCTCCCCCTCTCGGGTTCAAGCGATTCTCCCACCTCAGGCTCCCGAGTAGCTGGGATTACAGGAGCCCGCCACGACCAGGCTAATTTTTGTATTTTTAGTAGAGACGGGGTTTCACCATGTTGGCCAGGGTGCTCTCGAACCCCTGACCTGAAGTGATCCGCCCATCTTGGCCTCCCAAAGCATTTGCATTACAGGCGTGAGCCACCTCACCCAACCATAAGAGATACATTTGAGTTAGATTTTTTTTTTAAGTGAGAACCGAAAAAAATCAATCCACCTCAGCCTAATTACCTACTGTTTAAATATTTTTACACTGCAAAGGAAACTGCTTTTCCCTTACTTTTTTTTTTTTTTGTGTGTGTGTGTGTGTGACAGAGTTTCGCTCTTATTACCCAGGCTGGAGTGCAATGGCGTGATCTTGGCTCACTGCAACCTCCCCCTCCCATGTTCATGCGATTCTCCTGCCTCAGCCTCCCAAGTAGCTGGGATTACAGGCATGCGTCACCACCCCAGCTAATTTTGTATTTTTAATAGAGACGGAGTTTCTCCATGTTGGTCAGGCTGGTCTTGAACTCCCGACCTCAGGTGATCCACCCACCTGGGCTTCCCAAAGTGCTGGGATTACAGGATTACAGGCGTGAGCCACCATGCCCGGCCTTTTTTTTTTTTTTTTTTTTTTTTTTTTTTTTGAGAGGGAGTCTCGCTCTGTCCTTCAGGCTGGAGTGCAGTGGTGCGATATTAGCTCACTGCAACCTCTGGCTTTCGGGTTCAAGTGATTCTCCTGCCTCAGCCTCCCAAGTAGCTGGGATTACAGGTACCCACCACCACACCTAGCTGACATTTTTATTTTTAGTAGAGACACAGTTTTGCCATGTTGGCCAGGCTGGTCTCAAACTCCTGGACTCAAGTGATCAGCCTGCCTCAGCCTCCCAAAGTGCTGGGATTACAGGAATAAGTTATCACACCCAGCCTGCATTTTTCAACTGTGTCTTTTTTTTTGGCGGGGGGAGCGGGAGCAGGACGGAGTCTCACTCTCCGCCCAGGCTGGAGTGCATTGGTGTGATCTCACCTCATTACAACCTCCGTGTCCCGGGTTCAAGTGATTGTCCTGCTTCAGTCTCCAGAGTAGCTGGAATTACAGTTCCCACCACCACATCCAACTAATTTTTTTATTTTTAGTAGAGTCTGGATTTGACCATGTTGGACAGGTTGGTCTTGAACTTTTGGCCTCAGGTGATCTGCCTGCCTCAGCCTCCCAACGTTCTGGGGTTACAGGCATGAGCCACTGTGCGCAGCCGAATTTTTTTTCTTTTACCTTTTATTTTAGGTTCAGGAGTACATGTGCAGGTTTGTTGTATAGGTAAAATCATATCATGAAGTTTTTGTGTACAGATTATTTTATCACTCAGGTGGTAAGCATAGTATCCAACAGATTTGTTTTCTGATTTTCGTCATCCTCCGACCCTCCACCCTGAACTGGGCCTCAGTGTCTGTCTGTTGTTCTCTTATCTGTGTCCACGTGTTCTCATTATTTTGCTCCCACTTATAAGTGACAACATATAGTATTTGATTTTCTGTTCCTGCACTAGTTTTCTAAAAATAGCAGTCTCCAGCTCCATTGACGTTGCTGCAAAGGACATGATGTTGTTCTTCCTTATAGCTGCATCATATTTCATGGTGTTTACGTAACACATTTTCTTTATCCACTCTACCACTGAAGACATATAGGTTTATTTCTGGTTCTTGCTATTGTGAATCGTGCTGTAATAAACATACATGTGCATGTGTCTTCATGGTAGAATAACTTACATTCATTGGGTATATTCCCAATTGTGGGATTCAGAATGGTAATTCTGTTTTCAGGTTTTTGAAAAAATGCCAAACTGCTTTTCTCAATGTTTAAACAAATTTATACTCTCACTTGCAGTGTATAAGCATTCAGTTTCTCCACAACCTCACAAGCATCTGGTTTTTTGTTTGTTTATTTGTTTGACTTTTTAGTCTAATTGTTTTTATTTGAATTATTTCTTTTTTCTCCATTAGTCTAGTGTTTTATCTATCTTAGTCATTTTTACATAGAATCAACTTCTGGTTTCGTTGAAATATATATATATATATTTTTAAGATGGAGTCTCACTCTATTGCCCAGGCTGGAGTGCAATGGCAAAATCTCGGCTCACTGCAACCTCTGCCCTCCAGTTTCAAGAGATTCTCCTGCCTCAGCCTCTCGAGTAGCTGGGATTATGGGCATGTGCTGCACGCCCAGCTAATTTTTGTATTTTTAGTAGAGATGGGGATTCACCACGTTGGCCAGGCTGGTCTCAAACTCCTGACCTTGTGATCTGCCCGCCTTGGACTCCCAAAGTGCTGGGATTACAGGAGTGAGCCACAGCACCCAGCTCCTTGTACTATTTATGTCTCGACGTTCTTCATTTCAGCTCTGATTTTGGTTATTTTTTGTCTTTTGTGAGCTTTGAAGTTGGTTTGCTCTTACTTTTGAAATTCTTTTAATTGTAACAATAGATTTTTAAATTGAGATCTAACTTTTTGATGTGGATGTTTAGTGACATACATTTTATTCTTAACACTGCCTTAGCTGTAACCCAGAGATTCTAGTATGTTGTATTTTGGCTCTAACTAGTTTCAAAAAATTTTTTGTGTCTGCCTTAATTTCATTATTTACAAATAGCCATTTCGAAGCTGATTATTCAATTTTTATGTAATTGTATCATTTCATATGTTTTTTGTGGTATTATTATTCTATACGTTTTCTTTTTAAAAGTAATGATAGAGAAACATAAGAAGAAATAAAAATGCTGTGCTCTTAATCTAAATACTAAAAATTATTCAACACTTAGTAGCAACTCCCAGAGTGCTATGAAAATTAAATCACATTATGTGTTATTCCCAGCACAGTGTTCTGTGACATGCTCCAGAGCACATAGTACCTGCTTAATAAACATTTTTTTAGTACATGCATACACATTTCCCAAGAGCAGACTTACTCAGATATTGCTGTCTTCTGTTGTCCCTGTAAACTTAAAAAAGCCAACAAAAAATATTTCAGCATGATGATTGGTTGTCTTTATTTGTACCAGATGTATTTGTTTTGTGACAAATGTGGTGGGTGTAAGGGACTCTGCTGTGCCTGCTTTCTCTCGCTAATGCTAATAATGTGTCTGGGAAAGCACAGTCAGCATTTACAGGGGACTTGTTGAAAAAGCCCATTCCTGGAACTTTTTGGATCCTGCAGAATCACATTGCGAAAAGCAGGGCCAAGATTACCAAGTGATTTATAAACTTGAGGGGTTCAAGATACATTCAGGAGAGTTTAGTTCAACCTTTGCATCAAAGGAAGGCTGCACTGCCTGCCCTGTTTCAGTTTGGTAGGAAGAGGTCAGTGCGGTTCATGCTCCCATTACTGTAAAGAACATTGCTGGTGTCTGATAGGGGAGGGCAGGGAAAAAGAAACTTATATTTTAATAGTTATGGAGAAGCTCATTGTTCTCTCATTGCTCTTAAATCTTTTCAGTTATAAACAACAAAAATGGGTGAATGTTTTCTGCAAGTCTCGGTCTTTCTGCCGTGGGTGTGTGTGGCGGTAGCAGGTGAATAGGTTGTGCTTTAAAGGCATATTCTCAAGATGCAGGTTTGATATGTCCAGAGCATCTTATCTGAAAATACATTTCAGAGAAAGAGGAGGAAAAGAAAAAAATCACTTTTTCTTGGTGAACATGTCTCAGATCAAGCACAGTGTCCACTCTGCCTTTTGGAATGCCATCTGTTTGGAACTTGCAAATTTTTACTTCTGTACTTGTACTGTTGATCCCTAATGAGTTTGTTTCAACTATTTTTTGTTATTTTTATGATAGTCAAGGCGTTCTGAAAAAAAATATTTTTTCTATATGCCATGGTGTTCTATACATACTTTTCATCTTGGGTTCTTGTATACCATGCAGAATTCTCACTACAAATTTATGACCTGCAATATTTAAAATGTTCCCATTGTAGCTGTTGAACATGAGAAGGTGTAAATACTCAAGATTTCTATTGGGGAAACACAGTTGTCTTTGGATATTAGTGAAAAGTGAAACATGTCCTGTTGAGTTTTCATCTGTGTGCTCTATTAGTTCCATGCAGGACAGGATTTAGAAAATGCTCATTTATACAGAATGGCGTGTATTGCCCAGAAAGTTCTGAAAAAGCTATAAGGAGATACTTGCTCTCCAGGGTGCTAAAGAAAGACTACTTAAAATTACTATTAAAAATTACAGAACAGGGAAGTTATCTGCACCTTCGACTTTGCATAAAACTGATGGTTTCTTTATAATTAAATTTAGGCCGGGCGCAGTGTCTCAGGCTTGTAATCCCGGCACTTTGGGAGGCCAAGGCAGGCGGATCATGTGAGGTCAGGAGTTCGAGGCCAGACTGGCCAACATGGTAAAACCCCGTCTCTACGGAAAAAAAAAAAAATACAAAAATTAGCCAGGTGTGGTGCACACACGTGTAATCCCAGCTACTCAGGAGGATGAGGCAGGAGAATTGCTTGAACTCAGGAGGTGGAGGTTGCAGTGAGATGAGATTGCACCACTGCACTCCAGCCTGGGTGACAGAGCGAGACTCTGTCTCTTAAAAAAAAAAAAAAAATATATATATATATATATATATATATATATAAAATTAAATTTGGATTACCATTTACTTTTCTGAGAGGTGAGAAATACCACAGCAGTGATGTTGTGTCCTGTGTGCATCAGCACATAATACAAATGTGTCCTAATAAAGTTGATAACAATTTTATTCACTTGGTTCACGATGTCTCTGACATTTTTTCCACTATAGAGTTAATTATTATTCTCTTAATTATTAAGTACACTTAGGAGATTTACTAGCTGAAGTGCATAAACCATCACATTTAATCTGGAATCTGTCCTTTCTTTTTAGATGACTTTTGCATATATTTGTCTTTTAAAAATGAAGGCTCTTTATTTACAGGTGAGAGAAACTGGGAAAAACTCAGACTCTGCCACTTACTGGATGTTTGACAAAATATTCTTACTAGGCTAGAAACATTGGTGAGCTTGCTAAAAATTCAGAAATTCAGACTTTATCCCAAATCTCCTGAAACAAAATCTGCACAAGATGTTTAGTTTATTGCACATATTAAGACTTGAGAGGTACCTTCCAAGTCATCATGACTGTTCTATCTGAGAAATAACACAACTTATTCTGTATGATGTAAATATAGCCCTTAAAAATAGACATGTCCCGCACTTTGGGAGGCCGAGGTGGGTGGATCACCTGAGGTCAGGAATTCAAGACCTGCCTGGCCAACATGGAGAAACCCCATCTCTACTAAAAATACAAAAATCAGCCAGGCATGGTGGCTCACGCCTGTAGTCTCAGCTACTTGGGAGGCTGAGGCAGGAGAATCGATTGAACCCGGGAGGTGGAGGTTGCACTGAGCCAAGATCATGCCACTCCCATTCCAGCTTGGGCAACAGAGTGAAACTCGGTCTCAAAAAAAAGAAGAAAAGAAAAATAGAAAAAAAAGACATGTCCATGTTGATGCCCTTAATTTTATAATTTATCATCCAGAAAACTATCAAATCTACAGTGGTATTGTGGATCTTATGCTATTCTCTTTTCTTAGAGTTAGAGAATACTTCAGTGTTAAAAATTATCTTATCGAATAATTTTAGTCAGTCTTATAAGTGAGAACCACTTCATTTTACTCTCTTTTTTAACTTGAGTCAAATACAAATCTCTGCCTATGGCCACATGGTAACTGTGTTCATGAGTGTTTTTTGTTTTTGTTTTTGTTTTTTTCAGAGACTGTTGACATTCAGAGACATAGCTATAGAATTCTCTCTGGAGGAGTGGCAATGCCTGGATTGTGCTCAGCAGAATTTATATAGAGATGTGATGTTAGAGAACTACAGAAACCTGGTCTCCCTGGGTGAGGAAAACTTCAATACACAATTCCTAATATATTGCCTTTCTCTCTTTTCTAAGATGATTTTGGTAATTTCTGCTTTGCATGAATAATTTTTAGCTCTCCAATTTTAAGAAAATCTTGGGGATTCATTGGTGTAGAACAGATTCTTCACGATGTTTTATCTTGACCTGAACTTTTCCCTTTCCTGAGCTTATGTATCTTTTGCTCTAGGTTAGTTGCAATTCCAAAAATGTCATGGCATAAAATAGCGTTTCCCACGCCTTAGAATTCAGTTGCCACCACCAATGTTTGATTCAGTAGTACTGAGTAGTGAAAATAAGGACTTACAAATTTAAAATATTTTCTAAATATGTAGAAAGGTCTGTTATGAATCAACTTTAATTTTCTAGAATTTTCTATTAAATCCTCTTTACTAACCATAATACTAGTTTGGTAATTAAAGAATTCAGCAAGATTTATCTTACTTTTTTTTCTTAATAAAACAGGTATTGCTGACTCTAAGCCAGACTTGATTACCTGTCTGGAGCAAAATAAAGAGGCTTGGAATATAAAGAGAAATGAGATGGTAGCCAAACACCCAGGTAGGTGAGAGCGAATGAAGCAGATGACACAGATGAGAGATACACAAATCAACAAGGCAGCCAGTCCTTGAAATGTGGTCTGGGGAGCTGTGCTTCGATGGAAAGAGTTTCTGAGAGGCTCGAGTCATTTTTTTCTTTTGCTCTCACATAGGGACACCTTCTGCCCCATGCTGTTAAATTCTCTAAGGATTCTACTTCCACTTCAATAATCTTTCTTCAAGTTCACAGTGTGAGCCAGAGTTTTCTTTATGGCTTATCAGGGACTGCACAAACTGACTGCTTTGCCATAGCTTTTGGGGACACACTAATATTTGCATATTTTTGAGAAACTCTACGTTAAACTATTTATAAAATTTTTTTTGCATCATGTCTAAAATGTGTGAGAATAGTAATTTCTGTTTCATTGGTGGTTGTCCATTTTTCTACACAGGCCATTCTGTTTTTATTACTATAGCCTTGAAATATAAAGTTTTTTTACAAATTTTTTTCATTTTTAAATTTTTATATATGTATGTATTTATTTATTTATTTAGAGGCTGGGTTATGATACTTGCTGTGGGGGGATATGCAAGCAGGATATTTCTTTTGTCTTCATTTTACTGTGTTGTATATTTTAGATATAGTTTCATAAATGGTGTTGCTGTATTACATGATAATTTCATTTTTAATTATTTGAAGGACATTTATGATATTTTTATGATGGCTGCATCTTTTTTCTCAACCATTTACATAGGTTTCAATTTCTTTACATCATCAACATAGTTGGTGTTTTTGAAAAAATGTATAGTGGCCATTCTAACTGATGTAAGGTAATTTTGTTTTGTATTGTGATTTTGTTTCGCATTTTTCTATAAATTATTAATTTTGTGCAACCTTTCAAGTGCTTCTTCCCATTTGTGTGTTTGTGTGTGTATATATATATATATATATATATATTTATACTTTAAGTTCTAGGGTGCTTGTGCACAACGTGCAGGTTTGTTACATATGTATACATGTGCCATGTTGGTTTGCTGCACCCATTAACTTGTCATGTACATTAGGTATTTCTCCTAATGCTATCCCTCCCCCATCCCCCAACTCCACGACAGGCCCTGGTGTGTGATGTTCCCCGCCCTGTGTCCAAGTGTTGTCACTGTTCAATTCCCACCTATGAGTGAGAACATGTGGTGTTTGGTTTTCTGTCCTTGTGATAGTTTGCTCAGAATGATGGTTTCCAGCTTCATCCGTGTCCATACAAATCACATGAACTCATCCTTTTTTATGGCTGCATAGTATTCCATGGTGTATATGTGCCACATTTTCTTAATCCAGTCTATTCTTTATGGACATTTGGGTTGGTTCCAAGTCTTTACTATTGTTGAGTAGTGCTGCAATACACATACATGTGCATGTGTCTTTATAGTAGCATGATTTATAATCCTTTGGGTATATACCCAGTAATGGGATCACTGGATCAAATGGTATTTCTAGTTCTAGATCCTTGAGGAATCGCCACACTGTCTTCCACAATGGTTGAACTAGTTTACAGTCCCACCAACAGTGTAAAAGTGTTCCTATTTCTCCACATCCTCTCCAGCAGCTGTTGTTTCCTGATGTATTAATGATTACCATTCTAACTGGTGTGAGATGGTATCTCATTGTGGTTTTGATTTGCATTTCTCTGATGACCAGTGATGATGAGCATTTTTTCACATGTCTGTTGGCTGCATAAATATCTTCTTTTGAGAAGTGTCTGTTCATATCCTTTGCCCAGTTTTTGATGGGGTTGTTTGATTTTTTCTTGCAAATTTGTTTAAGTTCTTTGTAGATTCCAGATATTAGCCCTTTGTCAGATGGGTAGATTGCAAAAATTTTCTCCCATTCTGTAGGTTGTCTGTTCACTCTGATGGTAGTTTCCTTTGCTGTGCAGAAGCTCTTTAGTTTAATTAGGTCCCATTTGTCCATTTTGGCTTTTGTTGCTATTGCTTTTAGTGTTTTAGTCATGAAGTCCTTGCCCATGCCTATGTCCTGTATGGTATTGCCTAGGTTTTCTTCTAGGGTTTTTATGGTTTTAGATCTAACATTTGAGTCTTTAATCAATCTTGAATTAATTTTTGTATAAGGTATAAGGAAGGAATCCAGTTTCAGCTTTCTACATATGGCTAGCCAGTTTTCCCAGCACCATTTATTGAATAGGGAATCCTTTCCCCATTTCTTGTTTTTGTCAGGTTTGTCAAAGATCAGATGGTTGTAGATATGTGGTGTTATTTCTGAGGGCTCTGTTCTGTTCCATTGGTCTATATCTCTGTTTTGGTACCAGTACCATGCTGTTTTGGTTACTGTAGCCTTGTAGTATAGTTTGAAGTCAGGTAGTGTGATGCCTCCAGCTTTGTTCTTTTGGCTTAGTATTGTCTTGGCAATGTGGGCTCTTTTTTGGTTCCATATGAACTTTAAAGTAGTTTTTTCCAGTTCTGCGAAGAAAGTCATTGGTAGCTTGATGGGGATGGCATTGAATCTATAAATTACCTTGGGCAGTATGGCCATTTTCACAATATTCATTCTTCCTATCCATGAGCATGGAATGTTCTTCCATTTGTTTGTGTCCTCTTTTATTTCATTGAGCAGTGGTTTGAAGTTCTCCTTAAAGAGGTCCTTCACATCCCTTGTAAGTTGGATTCCTAGGTATTTTATTCTGTTTGTAGCAATTGTGAATGGAAGTTCACTCATGATTTGGCTCTCTGTTTGTCTGTTATTGGTGTATAGGAATGCTTGTGATTTTTGCACATTGGTTTTGTATCTTGAGACTTTGCTGAAGTTGCTTATCAGCTTAAGGAGATTTTGGACTGAGACAATGGGGTTTTGTAAATATACAATCATGTCATCTGCAGCCAGGGACAATTTGACTTCTTCTTTTCCTAATTGAATACCCTTTATTTATTTTTCTTGCCTGATTGCCCTGGCCAGAACTTCCAACACTATGTTGAATAGGAGTGGTGAGAGGGCATCCCTGTCTTGTGCCAGTTTTCAAAGGGAATGCTGCCAGTTTTTGCCCGTTCAGTATGATACTTTCTGTGGGTTTGTCATAAATAGCTCTTATTATTTTGAGATACATTCTGTCAATACCTAGTTTATTGAGAGTTTTTAGCATGAATGGCTGTTGAATTTTGTCAAAGGCCTTTTCTGCATCTATTGAGATAATCATATAGTTTTGTCTTTGGTTCTGTTTATGCAATGCATTACGTTTATTGATTTGTGTATGTTGAACCAGCCTTGCATCCCAGAGATGAAGCTGACTTGATCGTGGTGGATAAGCTTTTTGATGTGCTGCTGGATTCGGTTTGCCAGTATTTTATTGAGGATTTTCGCATCGATGTTCATCAGGGATATTGGTCTAAAATTCTCTTTTTTTGTTGTGTCTCTGCCAGGCTTTGGTATCAGGATGATGTTGGCCTCATAAAATGAGTTAGGGAGGATTCCCTCTTTTTCTATTGATTGGAATAGTTTAAGAAGTAATGGTATCAGCTCCTCTTTATACCTCTGGTAGAATTCGGCTGTGAATCCATCTGGTCCTGGACTTTTTTTGGTTGGTAGGCTATTAATTATTGCCTCAATTTCAGAGCCTGTTATTGGTCTATTCAGGGATTCAACTTCTTCTTGTTTTAGTCTTGGGAGGGTGTATGTGTCCAGGAATTTATCCATTTCTTCTAGATTTTCTAGTTTATTTGTGTAGAGGTGTTTATAGTATTCTCTGATGGTAGTTTGTATTTCTGTGGGATCGGTGGTGGTATCCCCTTTATCATTTTTTATTGTGTCTATTTGATTCTTCTCTCTTTTATTCTTTATTAGTCTTGCTAGTGGTCTATCAATTTTGGTGATCTGTTCAAAAAGCCAGCTCCTGGATTCATTGATTTTTTGAAGGGTTTTTTGTGTCTCTATCTCCTTCAGTTCTGCTTTGATCTTAGCTGTTTCTTGCCTTCTGCTAGCTTTTGAATTTGTCTTCTCTTGCTTCTCTAGTTCCTTTAATTGTGATATTAGGGTGTTGATTTTAGATATTTCCTGCTTTCTCTTGTGGGCATTTAGTAGTATAAATTTCCCTCTACACACTGCTTTAAATGTGTCCCAGAGATTCTGGTATGTTGTGTCTTTGTTCTCATTGGTTTCAAAGAACATCTTTATTTCTGCCTTCATTTCGTTATGTACCCAGTAGTCATTCAGGAGCAGGTTGTTCAGTTTCCATGTAGTTGAGCGGTTTTGAGTGAGTTTCTTAATCCTGAGTTCTAATTTGATTGCAATGTGGTCTGAGAGACAGTTTGTTGTGATTTCTGTTCTTTTACATTTGCTGAGGAGTGCTTTACTTCCAACTATGTGGTGAATTTTTGGAATAAGTGTGATGTGGTACTGAGAAGAATGTACATTCCGTTGCTTTTGTGTGGAGAGTTCTGTAGATGTCTATTAGGTCTGCTTGGTGCAGAGCTGAGTTCAAGTCCTGGATATCCTTGTTAACCTTCTGTCTTGTTGATCTGTCTAATATTGACAGTGGGGTGTTAAAGTCTCCCGATATTATTGTGTGAGTCTAAGTCTCTTTGTAGGTCTCTAAGGACTTGCTTTATGAATCTGGGTGCTCCTGTATTGGGTGCATGTATATTTAGGATAGTTAGCTCTTCTTGTTGCATTGATCCCTTTACCATTATGTAATGGCCTTCTTTGTCTCTTCTGATCTTTGTTGGTTTAAAGTCTATTTTATCAGAGACTAGGATTGCAACCCCTGCTTTTTTTTTGCTTTCCATTTTTTTGGTGAGGATGGATCTTCCTCCATCCTTTTATTTTGAACCTATGGATGTCTCTGCATGTGAGACAGGTCTCCTGAATACAGCACACTGATGGGTCTTGACTCTTTATCCAATTTGCCAGTGTGTGTCTTTTAATTGGGGCATTTGGCTTATTTACATTTAAGGTTAATATTGTTAGGTATGAATTTGATCCCATCATATGATGTTAGCTGGTTATTTTGCCTGTTAGTTGATGCAGTTTCTTCTTAGCATCGATGATCTTTATAATTTGGCATGATTTTGCAGTGGCTGGTACCGGTTGTTCCTTTCCATGTTTAGTGCTTCCTTCAGGAGCTCTTGTAAGGCAGGCCTGGTGGTGACAAAATCTCTCAGCATTTGCTTGTCTGTAAAGTATTTTATTTCTCCTTCATTTATGAAGCTTAGTTTGGCTGGATATGAGATTCTGGGTTGAAAATTCTTTTCTTTAAGAATGTTGAATAGTGGCCCCCACTCTCTTCTGGCTCATAGAGTTTCTGCTGAGAGATCTGCTGTTAGTCTGATGGGTTTCCCTTTGTGGGTAACCCGGCCTTTCTCTCTGGCTGCCCTTAACATTTTTTCCTTCATTTCAACTTTGGTGAATCTGACAATTATGTGTCTTGGTGTTGCTCTTCTCGAGGAGTATCTTTGTGATGTTCTCTGTATTTCCTGAATTTGAATGTTGGCCTGCCTTGCTAGGTTGGGGAAGTTCTCCTGGATAATATCCTACAGAGTATTTTCCAGCTTGCTTCCATTCTCCCTGTCACTTTCAGGTACACCAATCAAACATAGATTTGGTCTTTTCACATAGTCCCATATTTCTTGGAGGCTTTGTTCATTTCTTTTTACTCTTTTTTCTCTAAACTTCTCTTCTCACTTCATTTCACTTCTCTTCTCACTTCATTTCATTAATTTGATCTTCAATCACTGATACCCTTTCTTTCACTTGATTGAATCGGCTACTGAAGCTTGTGCATGCGTCACATAGTTCTAGTGCCATGGTTTTCAGCTCCATCCGGTTATTTAAGGTCTTCTCTACACTGTTTATTCTAGTTAGCCATTCATCTAATCTTTTTTCAAGGTTTTTAGCTTCCTTGCAATGGGTTCGAACATCCTCCTTTAGCTCGGAGAAGTTTGTTATTACTGATCTTCTGAAGCCTACTTCTGTCAACTCGTCAAAGTCATTCTCCATCCAGCTTTGTTCTGTTGCTGGCAAGAGGCTGTGATCCTTTGGAGGAGAAGAGGCACTCTGATTTTTAAAATTTTCAGCTTTTCTGCTTTGGTTCCTCCCCATCTTTGTGGTTTTATCTACCTTTGGTGTTTGATGATGGTGACCTACAGATGGGGTTTTGGTGTGGTTGTCCTTTTTGTTGATGTGGATGCTATTCCTTTCTGTTTGTTAGTTTTCCTTCCAACAGTCAAGTCCCTCAGCTGCAGGACAAGTGATCCTTCCACCTTGGCCTCGCAAAGTGCTGAGATTACACCTGTGAGCCACTGCACCTGGCTGATCTTTTGAAATTTACTAAGACTTATGTGTTCTAACAGAATGTGCCAGGTGCAAATAAGAATATTGTGTATCCACTTGCTTTTGACTGGAGAGTTCTGTACATGTCTGTTTAGCCTATTTGGTTTGTGATATGGTGTAGATGCCCTCCAAATCCCATATTGAAATGTAATCTCCAGTGTTGGATGTGGGGCCTAATGAGAGCTGTTTGCATCGTGGAGACAAATCCCTTATGGATGACTTGGCACAATCCCCTTGGTAATCATAGAGTTCTCACTCTCTTAATTCACATGAGAGCTGCTTGCTTAAAGGAACTTGGTTCCTCCACCTCACACTCGCATCATCTTTCACCATGTGACATGTTTGGTTCTTTTTTGACTTCCACTGTAATTGTAAGCTTCCTCATATCCTCACCAGAAGCAGATGCTGGCATATACTTCTTTTACAGTCTACTGAACTGTGAACCAAAGAAATCTTTTTCTTTATAAATTACCCAGTCTCAGGTTATTTTCTGTAGCATTGCAAAATGAATTCATACACAGTATAATGTTATTCAGGCTTTCTGTTTTTTAATTGATATTTTATTTAAATTTTTTATTCATTATTGAAAGTGAGGTCTTAATGTTTATAATTTTATGTTGCTATTTTATTTCTTGCTTCATTTTTGTCAATATTTGCTTTATATATTTTGAAGCCGTGATGTTATATATGCCTATACATATAGATAGACATAATAGTTATAGATTCCTAGTAAATGGACTCATTTTACCATTATATAATATCAATCTTTGTCTCATGCTAGTAATTGACTCATTTTCTTTTGTGTGTCTATAAAGATTTTTTTCTTTATGCTACATTAGAGATTTTATAAAACCTGTTAAAGTTACAACAGTACATTTTAAACTGGTAAAAAAAAAATGACTTCAGTTGCATAGAAAAATTTGTCCGCATTATATCTACCCTATACTTCTTATTGATATTGCTAATTGTATATTTTTATGTTTTATGATTATTTTTATGCTTATATCTTTCAAATTTTAAAGAATAACTAAAAATGTTTTCGGCACCATCACAATAATGCCACGGAATTTTATTTTTTTATATATGCATGTTTTTCAGAAAGTTATGTATTTTCATATGATTATATATTCTTCGTCATATTATTTTAAGTGGAAAGACCTCTTTTCAGCATTTTATTTAGGGTACATGCAGTGCTTATATGCTTTTTCAGCATTTGTTTATTCTGGAAGATCTTTATTTTTTTCTTTATTTTGTAGTACATTTTTGCTGATTACATTATTCTCACAATGAAGATTCTTTTTCAGCCTTTGACCATTTAACACAGTTCTTTTCTGACCTGCAAGGTTTCTGTTGACAAATTCACTGGTTGTCTCGGAGGACTAGGCTTATAAATAATACCTCACTTTTATCTTGCAGCTCCCAAGATTATCTTCTGGTTTGTGACTTTTGAAACTTTGCTTAAATATGTGTTATGGATCTTTTTGTGTATATCCTAGTTTGTTTGTTTAGCTTCTTCATTTTTTACATTACTTTTTTCATACTTTAAAATTATTTCACTTATTCTTTTTTACTTCCACAATTGTTTATTTTTATTATTCCAAGCCTTTTGTTGACATTCTCATTTATCTGATATCTGGTTTTCCATTTTTCTCATTGAGCAAAATACGGATTATCTTAAATTTTAAAAATTAATATATACATCTTTATTTTTATAGTTGCTTTTTGAAAATTTTGATTTTTTTGATTGGACCTTGTTGCCCAAATATTTTGTATACATTATAATCTTTGGTTGAGATTTAGACATTAACATAAAACTACCTTTCACAATCTTTATAATGCAGCTCTTTTCTGGCATAGCCTGAAACCAATTGTATTGGGTAGAGATTCTGGGAGTCTTGCAAACATGTTCTCAGGATGTGTCTTGTCTGCAATTTTGTATTTATTTTTCAGTTAAAAGACTTCTTCATATTTCTTATTACTGGTCAATAACTACTTTCTACACCTATTTTCTGTCCATGGTACTTCAGTCTTTCTGCTGTTGTAACATTCACTTTTGATCACAGAAGACTTAAAGCTGTCATTAAAGACACCATGTTCTTCTACTGGGGATGAGGAAGGGCTGTGTTGGGCAAATGTAGCAGACTTTTCTTTTCTTTCTATATGGCTTTTGACATTGTGCTCACATGGGGCACACACTTATTCTATAAATTTCCAACAAAGGTATTTTGATCACTATGATTTTGTTAGGTTTATACATCTATGAAGGAATTATGGCCTGTGGTAATTTGATATGCCATTTTGCTAGTGTGCCTTGTATAATTTTATATATTCGATTTGTAAAGTATATTCATCTGAGTCTAGTAAGTGGAGTAACTTGTGATTTTTATGTCTTTCAGTTACGTGTTCTCATTTCACCCAAGACCTTCATCCAGAGCAGGGCATAAAACATTCACTCCAAAAAGTAATACCAAGAACATATGGAAAATGTGGACATGAGAATTTACAATTTAAAAAATGCTGTAAAAGTGTGGGTGAGTGTGAGGTGCACAAAGGAGGTTATAATGAAGTTAAGCAATGTTTGTCAAATACCCAAAACAAAATATTTCAGACTCATAAGTGTGTCATAGTCTTTGGTAAATTTTCAAATTGCAATAGACATGAAACAAGATATACTGGAAAGAAACATTTCAAATGTAAAAAATATGGCAAATCGTTTTGCATGCCTTCACACCTAAATCAACATCAGATAATTCATACTAAGGAGAAGTCCTACAAATGTGAAGAATGCGGCAAATCCTTTAAACGCTCCTCAAACTGTACTACACATAAAAGAATTCATACTGGAGAGAAACCCTACAGATGTGAGGAATGTGGCAAAGCCTTTAGGTGGCCCTCAAACCTTACTAGACATAAGAGAATTCATACTGGAGAGAAACCCTACACATGTGAAGAATGTGGCCAAGCTTTTAGGCGCTCCTCAACACTTACTAACCACAAGAGAATTCATACTGGAGAGAGACCCTACAAATGTGAAGAATGTGGCAAAGCCTTTAGCGTATCCTCAACCCTCAATGACCACAAGAGAATTCATACTGGAGAGAAACCCTACACATGTGAAGAATGTGGCAGAGCCTTTAACTGCTCCTCAACCCTTAAGACACATAAGAGAATTCATACTGGAGAGAAACCCTACAAATGTGAAGAATGTGACAAAGCTTTTAAGAGGCATTCAAGTCTTGCTAAACATAAGATAATTCATACTGGAGAGAAACCCTACAAAAGTAAATAATGTGGCAAATTCTAGCCCTCAGGCCTTATAATACATACAATAATTTATGCTGGAAAAAAACACTACAAGTGTAGAGAATATGGACAAACCTTTAACAAGTTCCAAACCTTAATAGAAAATAAGAGAATCCATATTGGACAAAAATTTTATAA
This sequence comes from Homo sapiens, assembly GCF_000001405.40. Classification (NCBI taxonomy): domain Eukaryota; kingdom Metazoa; phylum Chordata; class Mammalia; order Primates; family Hominidae; genus Homo; species Homo sapiens. Next base: position 64,016,073 of record NC_000007.14, read on the forward strand.
ATGTAAAAAAATGTAACAAAGCCTTTGACCAACCCTCAAACCTTAATGAACCCAAGAGAATTTATTTAAAAAAAATATTTTTTTGAGATGGTATCTCCCTTTGTCACCCAGGCTGCAGTGCAGTGGCACAAACTCAGCTCACTGTAACCTCTGCCTTCCAGGTTCAAGTGATTCTCCTCCCTCAGCCTCCTGAGTAGCTGGGACTATAGGCATGTGCCACCACACTGGCTGATTTTTGCATTTTTAGTAGAGATGGAGTTTCACCATGTTGGCTAGGCTGGTCTCGAACTCCTAACCTCAGGTGATCCACCTGCCTCAGCCTCCCAAAACCTAAGAGAATTTATATTAGAGATACCCTAGAAAGGTTAAAAAAAAAAAGTGAAAAAACCTTTAAGCACATCTCAGGCCTTACACAATATCTGTTAATTCATTCTAGAGAGAAATCCTACAAAAGCAAAGAATGTGGTAACGCTTTTAACTAGTCTTGAACCCTTATTATACATAAGAGATGTAATACTTAAGAGAAACCCTACAATAAGGAATATGGCAATGTCTTTAAAAAGTCCTCAAACCTGAATAAATGTAAGATAATTGATATTGGAGAGAACCCCTGAAACTGTAGAAAAAAATGTGGCAAAGCCTTTAACTGGTTTCCATCCTTATTAATTAAAAAAATTTTATACTGGAGAGAAACTCTACAGCATAAAAATGTGACAGAGCATTTAACCATACCTCAAACTTTTCTAAAAAAGGGAAATCATACTGGTGAGAAACTAGAAATGTGTTAAATGTGGCAAGGCCTTTAAATGGTAGTCACACGTTATGGTAGGTAAGATAATGTATACTGAAGAAAACTACAAATATGAAATGAAGAATGTGGCAAAACTTTTAATAAATTCTCACACCTTATGCCACAGGAAAGCATTTATACTAGAGAAAAATTGTAGAAATACAAAGAATGTGAAAAGCCATTACTATCAGCTCACATTTTACTCAATATCAGAAAGTTTATAGTTAATAATAGCATTATAGGTTGGGCGTGTTGGCTCACCCTTGAAATTCCAGCACTTTGGGAGGCCAAGGTCAGTGGATCATGAGATCAGGAGTTCAAGACCAGCCTGGCCAACATGGTGAAAGCCCATCTCTACTAAAAATACAAAAATTAGCCAGGTGTGGTGGCGTGTGCCTGTAATCCCAGCTACTTGGGAGGCTGAGGCAGGCGAATTGCTTGAACCTGAGAGGTGGAGGTTGCAGTGAGCCAACACAGAGCTGCTACACTGCAGCCTGGGTGACAGAGCAAGACTCCATCTCAAAAAAACAAAAAAGGCATTATAAATGTGATTACTGTAAAAACACCTTTTGGAAAATATAGGCCTTTAAAGTAAAGACTATTTATTCTGAAGACAAACATACAAACATAAAGAGGATTGTTATACCTTTACTGGCATTACAGATGTTATTGTATGCATTTTATGTTAAAGGAAAACCCTGAAGCAGATGCTCAAACTTTGTGGAACATCAGAGAATTTATATTTGAGAGAAAGCCTAAACATGTAATGAATGTGAAAAAACATTTGTTCAAAAACTACAGCTTAGAAGACACCAGTTTATACTAAATATTTTTGTAGATCCAAAATATTCACAGTAGAAAGAATGAAGGCACTGAAACTTCAGACATTACACTAAATCAGAGTGTTGAATGTAAAAGAGATCCAAAGATAACAGTATATACATTTCAAAGAAGTAGTTTTTTTTGGAGATTTATAATTACATTCGAGCTATGCTTCATTTTCTGTAAAAAAAATTTAGATTTTCTGAAAAGCAAATAATATTGTAACTCAAGTCTCAGATTACTTAATGTTGATTCTTCCCATTGTTTGTGAAAGTATTTGATCAATTGTTGCATCAGAGATATAAGAGATTGTTTATCAATTGTACCTTTATGTAATAAAATGCAATAAATTTAACTTAATTTTTCATTAAATAAAGTTGTTTTTAATGTGTTAAAACTATTGTGCTTTGAAAAATGTGTTAATTTGCCATCAACATTAATGTGTCTCATCTTACTTAAAGTTCTAAGTAAATGATGGTAACAATATACTATTTGTTAATGTAGGGGAATGACATCTCTAGTAATCTCTTTTTTGCCAGCGTTTTTTGTTTGTTTTTTTTGAGATGGAGTCTTGCTCTGTTGCCCAGGCTGGAGTGCAGTGGCACAATCTCAGCTCACTGCAACCTCCACCTCCTGGGTCCAAGCGATTCTCCTGCCTCAGCCTGCCAAGTAGCTGGGACTACAGGCACGTGCCACCACACCAGGCTAATTTTTGTATTTTTAGTAGAGATGGGGTTTCACCACGTTGGCCAGGCTGGTCTTGAACTCCTGACCTCAGGTGATCCACCTGCCTCGGTGCTGCAAAATGCTGGGATTACAGGTGTGAGCCACCACACCTGGCCCTCCAGTGGATTTAAACTGCAAAAAAGTTGAAGAATTTTGTTCTCATAGGTGAAATTTGTATTCTTTTTTACCTTATTTACATTTTTAAAAAATTTTTATGGGTAGTTTGCATACACAAAATGGCATATATGAGGTATTTTAACACAGGCATACATTATTTAATTATCACAGCAGGGTATATGAAGTATTCATTACCTCAAGCACGTATTTATGCTTTGTATTACAAACATTCCCATTATATAGTTTTAGTCATTTCAATATGTGCAATTGAATTATTAACCACAGGGTCAATTTATGATCATAAAAATTATATGAGTATAATTAATATCCATACATTTCTGAGTCTTGATTAAATATTTTTTAAAATTTGTTTTATATATTTTTTGTACGTGTGGCCTCTCTGCTGACAAACAAAAACAGGCTTTTAGTTTTTATTTACATAGAGTTACATATACAAATGTATTACTCTAAAGATGTACCAGCCGGGTGCAGTGGCTTATGCCTGTAATCTCAGCACTTTGGGAGGCCAAAGTGGTCAGATAATTTGAGGTCAGGAGTTCAAGACCAGCCTGGCCAACATGGTGAAACCCCATCTCTACTAAAAATACAAAAAATTAGCTGGGTGTGGTGATGCGTTCCTGTATTCCCAGCTACTAGGGAGGCTGAGGCAGGAGAATTGCTTGAACCTGGGAAGCAGAGGTTGCAGTGAGCCAAGATGGCACCACTGCACTCCACCCTGGGTGACAGAGCGAGACACCATTTAAAAAAAAAAAAAAGATGTACCTTAAGTATAAAAAAGTTATATAGCAAGTGAGTGTGTTTGTGTGTGACTTTGTTTGCATTTTCAGAACAGAGGAACAATATTGAAACAAAAAAGTTTATTTTAATAAGGTGGGTAATTAACAAGAAACCTGGAAACCTTAGAGATTCTCAAAATAAATCTATATTCTGTGGCTTATATTGAATTCGTTACTGTAAAATCTTATCCCACCCAAATCTTATCTCAAATTGTAATCCCCATGTGTCAAGGGAGGGACTTGGTGGGAGGTGATTGGAACATGGGGGTAATTTTCCCCCATGCTGTTCTCATGATAGTGAGTTCTGAAAGATCTAATGGTTTTATAAGTGGTGGTTTTTCCTGCTTTCCCTCCTGCTGCCTAGTGAAGAAGGTGCTTGCTTCTCCTTTGCCTTCCACCATAATTGTAGGTTTCCTGAGACCTCCCCAGCCATGCAGAATTGTGAGTAAATTAAACCTCCTTTCTGAATAAATTACCCATTCTCTGGTAGTGTCTTTATAGTAGTGTGAAAACAGACTAATACAGAAAATTAATACTGGGAGTTTGGGGCACTGCTATAAAGATAATTGAAAATGTGGAAGTGACTTTGGAAATGGGTAATAGGCAGAGGTTGAAACAGTTTAGAGAGCTCAGAAAAACACAGAAAGATGTGGGAACGTTTGGAACTTCCTGGAGACTTGTTGAATGCTTTTGACCAAAATGCTAATAGTGATATGGATGATAAAGTCCAGGCTGAGGTGGTCTCAGATAGAGATGAGAAACTTATGTTTAAAATGGAAGCAGAACATAAAAGTTTGGGAAATTTGAAGCCTGACCATGAAGTAGAAAATAAAACCCAATTTTTTGAAAAGAAATTGAAGCCACTGCAGAAATTTGCAGCAGTAAAGAGGAACTGAATGTTAATACACAAAACAATGGGGAAAATGTCTTCAGATCATGTCAAAGATCTGAGGCAGGTCCTTCCATCACAGGCCAGGAGCCCTAGGAGGCAACAATGGTTTCATGGTTGAGGCCCAGGGCCCCACTGCTCTATGAAGTCTTGGGACTAGGTGTCCTGCATCCCAGCTGCTCCAGATCCAGCTGTGGCTAAAAGGGGCCAAGGTACAGCTTGGGTTATTTCTTCAGAAAGTGCAATCCTCAAGCCTTGGGTGGCTTCCATGTGGTGTTGGGCATGTGAGTGAACATAAGACAAGAGTTGAGCTCTGGGAACCTCTGCCTAGATTTCAGAAGATGTATAAAAATGCCTGGATGTTCAGGCAGAAGTCTTCTACAGGGGCAGAGCCCTCATGGAGAACCTGTAATAGGGCAATGCAGAAGGGAAATGTGGGATTGGAGCCCTCATGCAGAGTCCCCACTGAAGCTGCCAACTGGAGTTGTGAGAAGGCCACTATACTCTAGACCCCAGAATGACAGATCCTCCATGAGCTTGTACTGTGCACCTGGAAAAGCCACAGGCACGCAATTCCAGTCCATAAAGGAGTTGCCTAAGGCCATGAGGGCCCACCCCTTGCATCAGCATGGCCCAGAAGTGGGACATGAAGTCAAATGACATCATCCCAGAGCTTTAAGATTTAATTACTGCCCCATTGGAATTCAAGCTTGCATGGGGCCTGTACCTCCTTGGTTCTGGCCAATTTCCTCCATTTGAAAGAGTTTATCTAATTCCTGTACCCCCATTGTATCTTGGAAGTTACTAACTTGCTTTTGATTTACAAGCTCATAGGTAGCAGGGACTTTTCTCAGATTGGACTTTGGAGTTAGACTTTTGGGTTAATGCTAAAATGAGATAAGACTGTGGGAGATTGTTGGGAAAGCATGTTTGGTTTTGAAATATGAAAAGGGCATGAGATTTGGAAGGGGCCAGGGGCGGAATGATACTCATGGTGTTCTTGTGATACTGAGTGAGTTCTCATGAGATTGGATGGTTTTATAAGTGGTCATTTTTCCTGCTTTCCTTCACCTAGTGAAAAATATACCTGCTTCTCCTTCAACTTCTGCCATTATTGTAAGGTTCTTGAGGCCTCCCCAGTCATGCTTATCTGTGAGTCAAATTAACCTCTTTCCTTTTTAATTTACCTAGTCTTGGGTGTGTCTTTATAGCAGTGTGAGAATGGACTAATAGACACAGTAACTTAATAACAAAGGTATTATTGTCCTCAATTTACAAAGAAAGAAAAAGAGCCAGAGAAATAATTTGCTCACAATAGCAGAGCCAGTATTAAAACACAAGCAACTTTGACTCCAGAGATAATGCTCTTGAATACAACAATAAAAACCCTTTCAAACAGAAAAGAAGTTACCTTTAACATCCATTCTTAAAAATTTAACAAAAATGAAAATGGATACATTTGTATTGTTATATATGTATATATGTGAATGTATATTATAAATAAGAAATACTTCATATAAGCCAGAAAAAGATAAATACTTAATGAATAAAATTGAAAAGCAGATGAATTAATTATTATTTGCAGATGATATATGTGTTTACTTAGACAACAAAGGCAACTGAAAGGCTATTTTAGAAATCTATTCAGGTGGAGAGGCAGAATTCTCAGATGACCCTCAGGTTCCCACTTCAGTGCACACCTGCTGTGTATCATTTT